>NC_000014.9:40861713-41486713 GCF_000001405.40 Homo sapiens | reverse complement strand
TTGTGGCAACCCTACGTTGAGCAAGTCTATCAGGATTTATTTTACAAATGTTATTTTATTTTAAGTTCCAGGATACATATGCAGAACTTGCAGGTTTGTTATATAGGTAAACTTGTGCCATGGTGGTTCGCTGCACCCATCAACCCATCACCTAGGTATTAAGCCCCGCACGCATTAGCTATTTATCCTGACGCCAAGTCTCCATTTTCATGCAGAGGTAACAAACTATGGCCCAAGGGCAAAATTTGGCTCAGAAAATTGTTTGAATTGGGCTGCAGAGTGCTCACTTTTTAAAGCCAATATTTTGAATCTGGACGTTTTATATGAAAATTTATGTCATAAATTATACTGAAAAATTAGAAGGGCTATAACGTGATTTTTCATTTCTGCACGGCTAAAATTCACTAGAGACAAGTTTCCTCTTTTGAATGAGATAAGTTCTTTTGAATTCACCATACTAGTCTGCCTCTTCACACACTGCCCATTTTCTGTGATCTTCTCCTTGTCTGTTTTACCTGAGTATTACCTACCTTACTCTTAAAGCATTTGCATTTTGGAGAAGATAGAGGTCTAATTCATCAAAATTGTCTGGATTTCCCCTTTAAGTATTTTTCTCTTTGATTTTTGTTTACTATCCTTAGAATATTTCTCTAATTTTGAAGTTATTTTTCTAAGTTAAATCTTAATTATGAAAATATAATTATTTCTATTCTTAACACTCAAAATTCTTAGTATTGTTATTTTATGGGTTCCTTGACTATCAACATACACACATACACAAAAACATCAATTGGATTTTCACAGTTTAAGAGGAAGAATGTATATACTGAAAAGTTTGTGTGGTGGAGGTGCTTTTCAGAAAACCAAACTGATGTTATGAGCGTGAAATATTTACTATAACATGTCAAATAATTCAAAATTTGCCTATCTTGTGTTCGCCCTTCTTAATGTGGTTAGTCTGTCTGTCTGTTTTCTTCTTACAAATGCTGACCTGCAAAGTAGCTGAAAAAAATAGCAAAACATCATTTGTGAAATCAATGGATTGCATCTGGACATTTCATAAAGAAATGATTTTAAATTATGGAAGAAAATTTAGCAGGCTGTGGTCAAAGTATTAAATATCTGTCTTACCATTTTTCAGTAGATGTTTCTTGTGCAGATTCCTCAGAATACTTGGAATATTCCTTCAGTTACAACTTATCTGTTGAAACTACACATCTATTTTCTCACAAAATGGGCTATGAACATTCTAGCAGTGATTCAAGTTTCCAGAATGTACTGATACATAGCCCTGGTTTATGTTATTGAGGTTGTGAGGCTAGTGGCTATCACCCCAATTAGACTTAGGATGAGTGTTCCAGATATCCCTCTCATTTGGGATCATATGTGAATGAATCCCTAAAATGAAGAATACTGCTTCAACATCTGGAAAGAGGTTGCCTTGATTCCTATTAGGACTCCCTGTACTCCTGGTGTGAATGAAAAAGAAGACACTTAACATATGCATTTTATCTTTGGATCGTTGTTTCTCTTTGTATCTGGTTAGAATGTGGAGATCTGCTTTTTAATTAACTAGAATCTGGTTTGGGATTTTTAAATTTAAGTTTAGTATGCATATTACTCTCCCAGATGATTCCCACATTTGGCATAGAAATGTTTCCATCTTGCAATTCGAATAGAAAGTACAATTATTCTATTTCCACTTGAACATTCTACATAGCCTTATCAAAACTTTATTTTTTGTCTGCATTTCTATCTTCTGCCTTAGCTTACCATGTATTACTATGAGATTTTAAATAATCATTTTTGCTTTTCAAAAATGTGTAAGAATTGAATTCTTTTCTATTTACACTTTGAGATTATATATGTTCAGACAGGTGTCAAAAGGGAGGAAGGGCTGGCTTGACATGTTATGGACAAAGGCTTTACTTATAGGAAATTTGTGGAAGGGAGATACTATAACTCAGTCCTTGTATTATCCACTATTATTTCATAGGATAAAATTATTGAGTTAAGTACTCATTTATCTCAGTTACTAAAGAAACATTATTAATAATAATTATTTACATAAAACACATTGGGAATTGATGATACTGTCCCATAGATTTATTATTGTTTTCAATATTTTCTGAGACTGTTTCCTGTTTTCACCTCTATACGATGATACCAATTAGGAACAAGTATAAACCACTTTAATAAAGTGGTCTGGTTAAGTAAATAAGATTGTGGAGGAGGCAATGAAACTGTATTTCATCTATTTTTAATAAGAATAATGTATAAACTAGCACCTAATTTGCTGAATTTGTTGGAAGGGCATTATCAAATGTTAACAAGTGTTATGGATTGTATGTTTGTATACCCGTAAAATTCATATGTTGAAACCTAATTCCCCATGTGATGGTATTAGGAAGAGGGACTCTTGAGAGATGATTAGGTCATAAGTGTGGAGCCCTCATTAATGGAATTACTGCCCTTACAAAGAGCTGAAGAGACCAGAGCTTCCTATTTACCATGTAAAGACACAAGAAGAAGGAGCCACTACCAACTACGAACCAGAAAGTAGGCCCTCACCAGGCACCAAATCTGCCTCCATCTCTGACTTCTCAGCCTCCAGAACTGTAAGAAATAAATTTCTGTTCTTTATAAGCTAGAGATTCCACGGTATTTTGTTATAGCAGCACAAATGGACAAAGACAACAAATAAACCCTTTATTAAATTAAATATTTGTCCACAAAATCTGACTTGTTTGGTAAAGAATTGGCAGAGTATCATAACACTTTTTTCGAACTCTATTCAGTCACTCTGTTCACAGCACATGTTCAACTGTCCTTTTTTCCATTTTCTCTATAGCAAACCTACAAACCCCTTACTTTAGATAAAGGTTCCATTTAAGTAACCAATTTAGAGATATATACTTTCTGATTGAATCCAGCTTAGCCAGTTCATAGATATTTCTAGTACCAACTGTCAGTCTCCTAATATTATTTCAGACTGCCTGACACCAGAGTATTACTCGTTTTTGATAACATTGCATTCACCTTAGAAAAAGGCCCTCCTTAGATCCATAGCCTCAGCTGCTTAGCTGTTTTCTCCATGATTGACTCATTTTTCCAACAGCAGTGACAAGCTTTTCCTTTTATCTCCAAAGTGGGGAAATATTCAAGGTTGTATATTGGAGATTTAAAAATATATATTTTTATTAAATATTAATACGTGTATATCCCTTTTAATGATAAAATAAATCTTATTCAATTAAATTAAAACACAAATATAAAAGATTAAGTTTTAAAATATATACATATATGAAACCATGAATAACTACTCTATATAAAACTATAGCTAATGTTATTACTCTTATAACTGTGGTTGATGTAGTTATACATATATAATTATATATAATTCACATTTTGCTTTTTTTCTTCATTTTACCTTTAATATTTCTAGATTCTCTGATGGCTGTTTCACATATGCTCATAGACTATTCACAGTAATGATGTGGCAACTTTGGTTTTATTTCAATACTTTTCCCCAGCCCCATTGGACATAGACAGATCATGGCCCTTAGGCACCACCAACCCTATTGCTTTTTGCTATGGCTCCTGCCTGCTCACTGATGCATTATCTGGATTCACTGTATTTTGCACAAACCACCAAATTATCAGGCAAGCTCTGTGGTTTCCTGTCTTCATTCATTGCAGCCTTCAGAGACAAAGTGGCCTCCAAGTTGAGAGAACTTTATAGTCACTAGCAATCTGAGATTTGGTCATATAAGAAGAAAAGATCATCATCTATGAACAAGTGAGGTGTAAATGGTTGCTGATTAGAGGGAGTTTAGGAATATAATGACTGGTCAAGACAGAGGAATAGGGGATGAGTGAAGGTGGCCAAGGAGATGGAGACATGTTATGATTAATTTTTTTGTTTGTTTCACACAATTTTCTAGGCTGACCACAATGGCTCACATCTGTAATCTCAGAACTTTGGGAGTTTGTTTCACACAATTTTCTAGGCTGACCACAATGGCTCACATCTGTAATCTCAGAACTTTGGGAGGTAGAGGTGGGTGGATCTCTGAAGCCTAGGAGTTCAAGACCAGTTGGGCAACGTGGTGAAACCCTGTCTCTACAAAAAATACAAAAATTGGCCGAGCATGGTGTCATGTGTCTCTGGAACCAGCTACTTGGGAGGCTTAGCTGGGAGGATCACTTGAGCCTGTGATGTTGAGGCTGCAGTGAGCCATGATGGCACCACTGCACTCCAGCCTGGGTGACAGAGTGAGACCTCGTCTCAAAAAAAAAAAAAAAAAAAAAAAAAAAAAAAAGAAAAAAAAATAGTAGTATGCAGCTCCAGGCTGAGCCTAAAAGTGACACCATTTAACTCTGCCAAGAGCATGCAGCTGTCCAGTCTCTGCATACCTGATCTATGAGGAAGCCTGGGACCATAGGAGGTGGGAGAGCAGATGTTTCTTCCAGAAGCTCTGTGCTCATGCTATGGTCCTTTCTCCCTAGTTGATTTGCCTTCTCTGTCTTCTGGGCTGCATTTGATAATGCATGCTACAGGAGAATAGCCAAATCAGGTTTAACATAGAAATATAAAAATTTTAATAGAAAACTGTTTAAATTTTCAAATATAATAGTATGAGGCTAGTCTTTCAATGTAAGGTTTCAGGACCAAGAGACAAATCTAAATGTCAGGCACCATGTTTTCTTCAAAGTCACTTGGCCCTGCTTAAGACTAAAACTTTGACATTAAGTCAAGCTCATCTGAGTTTTTTTTTATTATTATTAAAACAGGTTGAGTTATCTCCCCCAAAATCCTAAGTAATTTATGCAAAGAGATTTCAGTTGGGCAGGTGCCAATTATCTCCAGATATGTCCAGATTGAGCTGCAAATAAAGCTTAGACCATAGGAGAAACATCTGCTACATTTATGTTGTGTAAATACTCTGCATTTATTAATGTAGTTTAGTTTATACATCCACAATTTTAATGCATTTCAGTTAGTCATTTCTCTATTTAGCTTTTGGGTATTATTTACAAATTGTATCTTTATTTGTAGCAAAACTTTTTTTCAGTTGTTTGCTTGTTGGTCTATCTTCAAAAAGAAATAATTAGAGCAAAACTAATGAAAAGTTTTAAAACACATGTTGTACATTATCCTCCTTTCATTCACAAAATATATTGATGGAATAAAACTTCAAGGCATTCAACTATAAGCTGAATACACAATGGTAGGCAAAATAGACATGCTTTCTATATTTATGACCAATCATGTAAATTCAGAAAAATTACTAGAAAATTAGATATGTGCAAATACAAATAATCATAATAATAAAATTAGGAAAAAAAAGAGAGAGGATGCTAAGTTGGACCTAGAAATCTAAAGAGTAATCTAAGGTTTAAAGCATCAGTCTGTCTGCTAAGCAAAGAGCCAAGGGGGAAATGCTACAGTAGAAAGGCTGTATTTTAATTGAAAATGGGGCAGTGTGTCTGTCAGGTAGTGAACTAGACAAGAGAGGTGTGAGAGGAGGTGGTAGAGGTAGTCAAGAGGTTATGCGGGTATGTAGTGGCTTACAGGTCAGTGTAATATTTAAGAAGTTATTCCCAAGTGTAGGGGAAACAGTTGACAGGTTTTAAGTGGGATATGAAGGGATAAAAATTTTACTAGTCTTTTATTAAGATCATTTTGACATTTTATGTATGATAACCACATGAGGTAATGGAGTGGGGGGGGGTGAAAAAATTTAAAAATTAGAGAAGCCAATTTGAATACATTTACAAAAGCTCAAGTAGGAGGTGATAGTGAGTTATTCTGTGTTAGTGGGAGAATGGAAATAGACAAAATGCAGGTATCAGAATAAGATTTTGGGGGTAGAATTTAAAGAGTCTAATATGGTCAAGTGTTAAAATTCTTTCATATCTGTGGTTTGAGCAAACAGAGAGTTGGAAAAATCACTATAGAAATTTGATAAATATTTGCTATCTCATTTAAAGCTGAAAATACTGAAAACCTATCTGTGAACACATTTCTGCATTAGGATATATTTGCTCAATTGTGCATTTTGAAAAACTATTTATTAGTACAATATGTGTGCCGGACATTTTACTAAGTATTGAAGATATAAAAATGAATAAGATGTGGTCCTAGCTTAAGAAGCCATCATTATTCTGCAAAAGATAGACAAACAATTTTGTGCAAGCAAATTTTATTCATAAATATTTATGAAACGATCCAAACAAATTATAATCAAAACAAGTCCATTGATGTACATAAGTGATAGTGTATCAAGACCTAGTTGGTTTTGTCCTAGGATGCAAAGGTCAATTAACATTGGAAAATATGTAACATATTAACAGATAAAGCATGTATAATCATCTCAATGGGAGCTTTAAAAGATTCTGAGAAACTAAAATAACCTTTCATGATAAAAAATCTCTTAATTAAATTTAGAAGAAAATTCCATTCACTTGCTAAGAAATATCTATTAAGACCTGTAGCATATATTATTTTAATGGAGGAATTTTATAAGCAATCCTCTTAGAATTAGGAAAAAGTGTACCGCTTGTCCCACTTTTATTTAGCACCATACTAGAGACTCTAAAAGGTATAGGAAGACAAGAAAAATAAATTCCACATGGGAAAAACAAAATAGGATTTCATGCTATTTTATATGAGGTTGGACTAAGCTTTCAAAAGTAACATAAAAATCCCCCAAATTCCAGTGTCTTAACACAATAAATATTTACTTCTTCATCACATAATATTGAATTCAGTAGGTCAAGAGCATCAAGAGTATGATATTTTACCCGACTTGCAAGCTGTAAATTAGGCCAATGTATGAGAAAAAATGAACTTTATTCCTCATGGCAGCAAGCAGCATGCACATCATGTTTGTTTAGTTCCTATTGCCTCAACTCCCCAGGACAACTCAAAGAGGGCCAGGTAGCATCTCATACTAATGGGACTGCATAAAAGGGAGGAACCCTGAGTTAGACAACCTGAACCTAATACTGGAGAATAAGCATGCCTGGCCTGTGAAACAGCATGAGAGTATCTCTGTCCTCCAATGTTGCTTGCCATACATAGTCCTTGGAAACATAGTCCAGACAAAGGCAATCAATGCCTCTGCTCTTCAAACATGCAAAAACGCAAGAGACCAATGGAGAAGAATTGTCTCCCAATAGAGTAAAATCATCCTCCTAATCTTATCCTTAAGTATTCAAACACTCTCCTTCTTGTAACACTCTTCCATTTCCAACACAAAACCTTGTCACTAAGCCTGGGGAAGAGAGAATGTGGAGAAATCACACCCACTCACAAATACTTCATCCAGAAGTATCAAGCAATACTTTCTCTTATGGACTCTGCCCTGCTCCCTAAAATGAGAGTGTCTTAGTCCATTTGGGCTGCTATAACAATATTCTATAAACTGGGTAGCTTATATACAACAGAAATTTACTTCTCATGATTCTGGAAGCTGGGAAGTTCAAGACCAAGGTAGATTGAGTGTCTGGTGAGGGCCTTTTTTCCAGTTTATAGATGGTGCCTTCCTGCTGTGTATTCACATTGTAGAAGGGGCACAGAGCTCTCAAGGGCTCCTTTTATAAAGGGCACTAATCCCATTCATGAGGACTCTCCCCTCAAGGCCTAATTACCTTCCAAAGGCCCTGTCCTTTAATAACATCATCTTGCAGATTGGTTTCAATATATGAATTTTGGGGGGACACAAACATTCAGACTGTAATAGAGAGTATATGGATTATTTGGTTGATGTACTGTGCCTGCCATGATTTTAAATCACTATCCCACAAAGTTTCTAAGAAATGTATTTAGTTGATTTTAAATATTGATATTTAAAAGCAAAGGCCTAAGAAGAACCAAGATTCTCCTAAAGAAGAATAAGGTGGAAGGTTTGCAATGTTTACCAGATATCTCCCTGTATTTATGCCTATTAAAACCTAAAGTAAAGGCCATGAAGTTTTAGCATAAGCGAAACAAAATAGAAAGACTAGAAAAAGCCATGCATATATAGAAACCTAATATATGACAGATATGGTAGATGACTGAGGAAAGGAAGTTCCATTCATATAAGTGTGTTGATAAATTAACCAAACCATAGAAAAAAATTAATTCATTTCTTAATGAAAATGAATAAAACTTTTTTGAGATTTAGTAAATAAATAGGGAAAAACATGATGAAATTAAAACAAATACAATGAAATATTTTTAAAAATAACTTCATGACCTCAGGATAAGAAAGAATTAACTCATAACAAATGTGCTAAATATAAAAAGATGGTTAAATTAGAACACATTAGAAAACTAAAATTCCATTCTACACAGAGTACCACAAAAACTCTGAAAACGTAAGATACAAAGCAGCAGCAAATATTGGCAATGCATAAAATTGATAAATGTTTGGCACAAAAATATAAAAGGAACTCATAAATCAACAGAAAAATAATTTAAACAAACCTTCAGATAAATTGCCAAAGACTTAAAAAAGCATTTTTAGAAAGAGGAAACAACTTCTGAGTGAACATATGAAAAGATGTTTAACTTTATTAGTAATCAGATCAAGGGAAATTAATACAAGGTGTTCCTATTCTCATGATCCAGATTGGTTAAAGTTTAAGAGTCTTAAAATACCAATGTTGACGATGATATAAAATAATGAGAACTTATTTGGTTTATGTGTGAGTGTGAACTAGGACAATAATAATCTAAAACAATCGGCTACTACCTAAAATTGAACATAGGTACACACTAAGATTTAACAATTTCAATTCTTGCCATAAACGCTAGAGAAAGTCCTTCACGTAAGAATCTCTTGTTTCTGGAATATTCTAACCCAAGATATGCTGGATCTATACCAAAATATCCTGCACCCATGTGTTTATTATCAAAACCAAGAGAGTGTGAATAAAATCTTCATTAACAGGAAGTTAGACAAATTAATTGTACTCTTTCATCACCATGAAAAAGTATA
The DNA here is from genome assembly GCF_000001405.40 of Homo sapiens. Lineage (NCBI taxonomy): Eukaryota > Metazoa > Chordata > Mammalia > Primates > Hominidae > Homo > Homo sapiens. Next base: position 41,477,723 of record NC_000014.9, on the reverse strand, counting down.
CAGTAGAGAAAATAAATCAACTTCAGCTACATGCACCATTATAAAACTATGTTATAAACATAATATTGAATAAGATAGTTTAAAATAAATGCATGATATAAGGCTAGAAACTTAGGAAAAACAACAATAAATCAAGAAAAAGATGAACAAGGAAGTCAGGGTGATTATCTCTAGGGCAAGAGTGATATGAAATAAGATAAGAGCAATAGGTAGTTTCAGTGGACTGATAGTGGTCTAGTTTAAAGTAGGTAGGAAATTACCAGATGATCATTTACTATTTTATGTTTCATAATATATATATGTGTGCATGTGTCATGCCCTGTTACACACACTCACACTAGATGTACAACATGAAAAGAAAGGAAAATGGTATTTATTCTCTGGGCTTGAGAGGGTTGAGGAACATTTCCATAAAGGAAGCAAAAATTGAGAAAGAGACCCTATAGAGGAAGTAGGCTTTTGTCGGGTAAGAAGGTGGAATATTCTTTCTTCTGACAAGAAGGAAGAATATTTAATAATGGCAAGAAATTGTAAAATTGCATTGAATATGCAGAAAATCCAAGCATTAAGGGGTGGCCATGGTGTAAGTAGGATTATTAATAAAAGTCATAGAAATTCACCAGGATCAAATTTGTTCCAAACTTCACATACTAAAAAATTTGGATTATATTGCATAAGCACAGAAATATTAGCTTAAATTTAAATCATGTTTACTTTCAGATTCAAGTATAGAAAGAAAACCTAGGAAAATTATTGTGACATTTAATTTATGGGTACTTGACTGACCTATGGGGTGCTCAGGTATTTGGTCATATTTGGTCAAATATTATTCTAGATGTTCCTATGAGGCTGTTTTTGGATGAGATTAACACTTAAACTGTTAAAGTGAGTAAATCAGATTGCTCTCCCTAATGTGAGTGGATCTCATGCAACTAAAAGGCTGACTCTTCCCTGAGTAAGAGAACATTTTTCCTGCTTGATTACCTTTGGACTGAGTCATTAGCTTTTCCCTGCATTCAGAGTTGAACTAAAATTTTGGCTCCTCCTGAGTTTCTGCTGTGCCAGCTGTCAAAGTGGAATGAACTGGAACTGCAATATTGGATCTCCTGGTTCTCAGGCCTTTGGACTCATACTGGAACTATACTTTCTGCTCTCCTGGGTCTCTGACTTGCCTATTCACCCTACAGATCGTGGGATTTCTCATCCTCTGTAATGACATGAACCAATTCCTTGTAATAAATTTCTATCTCTCTACATCCTACTTATTTTGTTTCTCTAGAGAATCCTGACAAATACAATTACTAAGGTCATCTGATAGCATTGGTAAACTAATAAATAGCAAAAAATACTGGATCCAAATTGGGTGAAAGGGAAAGAACCAGGAAGTTTAACCCAGATTTGAGGGTTTTGTTACAGTTGCTGGAGTGAGTAATTCAGCAGGCAAGAGCCTGAGAGGCTGTTTTGAGGATTTTGAAAAACTAAAGTGACAGAAATTGATGTCCAGGTGTTATTAAAGGTGAAGGAATGGCTGGTGGATCTGCCTTGCTTTAGGATGAGAACTTAAAACACTGTAATCTGAGAGTAAGGGTCAACCAGAATAGGTTTTCTGTAACCTAGAGCTCATGTTTGAACATATAAATCTATGATTTCAGACAAAGATAATACTAAATTATAGGCGTTAATAGGTTCCTCAAGAAAACACACAAAAATATGCTATGGAAAAAGATAATATGATTCTAGTTCTCAAAATTATTTCTACAAATATTTAAAAACAAATGTTGGACACATACAAAAATTACTAGACCCACAAAGAGACAAGAGGGCAAAACCAAACCAAATCAAAACAAAAATCACATAAAACAGTAAACATTAGATAATAAAAACCACTAACAATTGAGCCAAATACACAGGGGAAGAGACATTGGACACCTCACATAAACTTCAGGTAACTTAATTTACTGTGCTTATTAGAATAAAAGATAAGAATAAGAATATAAGCATAAAACTGGAAATATATAAAGGTAGAAATTCTAAAGTTGACAAATTCATTACTCAAAGAATCAAATGTGTTGATTAAACAGAAGATTGTATATATGGAAATGAAATAAGTCAAAAGAAACTATTGAGAATAAAGTAGCGGGAAAAAAGGTTTTAAAATTAGAAGGGGGAAAAAAGACACAGAAGATACAAGGTAAAGATCTATTATATATTATCCTGAAAATGAGAAAAATAAAAAAAGTAGGCAGAATAAATAACATGTGAAAAAATAATGTCTGATAGTCTTCTTAAAACCATCGAAAGATATTGTACTTCAGATACAGCAACCTCAATAAATTCTAAGCAGAAAAATTATAAGGAAACCTAATGAGCCGGGCATGGTGGCTCACACCTGTAATCCCAGCACTTTGGGAGCCTGAGGCAGGCGGATTATGAGTTCAGGAGTTCAAGACCAATCTGACCAACATGGTGAAACCCTGTCTCTATTAAAAATACAAAAATTAGCCTGGCGTGGTCATGCGCGCCTGTAATCCCAGCTACTCAGGAGGCTGAGGCAAGAGAATCGTTTGAACCCGGGAAGCGGAAGTTGCAGTTAACAGAGATTGTGTCACTGCACTCTAGCCTGGGCAACAGAGGGAGACTCCATCTAAAAGAAAAAAAAAAAGAAAAAAAGAAGAGGAAACCTAAGGTAGGAACATTATACTGTATTGCCTTTCTATTGTGGCATCACAAATTTGCCAGCTTAAAATCATAACTATTTCCTAGCTCACAGTTCTGTGTAGTTGGGTTCTCTAATCTGAGCATCACAAGGCGATGGGAATCAAGGTGTCTACTGTGCTGGGTGTTTGTCTGAGGGCTCTAGGGAAATAAGTTCTTTAGCTCATTCTTTTTGTTGGTTTTCTTGTGATAGCAGGACTGAATGAGGTCTTTGTTTTCTTGCTGGCTGCCAGCTGGGAGGTGCTCTCCGAAGGCCACCCATATTTCTTGTCACATGGCCTCCTCCATTTTTAAGGAAGCAATAGTGCATCAAACCTTTCTGGTGTTTTAAAATCTCTGACTTCCTGTTGCTACCAGCTGGAGAACACTCTGCTTTTAAGGTGTGCACATGATTAGGTCAGAGCTACCTGGATAAACTCCCTACGAACCAGTCAACTAATTTATAACTAATATAATCAACAAATAAGAAATCAACTAATAGGATATCTAAATTACAATTGTAAAATCCCTCACAGGAGTCCTGGCTGAGTGTTTAATTGACTAAAAGAGAGAATGTGTTTGTACATCAAGGACTAGGAACAATAGGGTCTTCTTAGGATGCTGCCTACCACACACATTAAAATTGCTGAGAAAAAAAGATAAACAGAAATGATTAAAAGCAACCGCAGAGGGAAAAGTAAATCATATTATCTTCAAAAACATCACAAATATCTCAGGAATTAATTGAATTAATATTAATTTCAGATAAGAGAAAATGAGAAACTTTATCACCATTAGACATATTAAGCAAAAAATACAAAGAAAGGTTCTTCAGGCAGAAGAAACATAATCAAGATAAAAGTTCAAAAAACATGGAAGTGCAGATATCTCTTTGATATACTGATTTCCTTTCTTTTGGGTATATACCCAGCAGTAGGATTGCTGGATCATACAGTGGCTTTATTTTTATTGATTTGAAAAACATCCATGTACCTTATAAATATATACACTTAGCTACGTACTCACAAAAATTAAAAAGAAAAAAATGAAAAAGATGAAATTTTAGAAATACAAGAAGGAATAAAATGAAATGAGTAAATCTAAAGAAATATTGAGTAAATAAATGGCAAAATATCTTGTTGAATTTTAGACATACATAGAATAAAGCATGGAAATAATGTCAAATAATTCAAAAGGAGGTGAACTGGGTTAAAGTGTTTTAGTATTCCTTAAATTATTCAGAAAGAAAGTAAATTATCAGTTCATATTAGATTTTGATTATTCGAGGATGCAGGCTAAAATTGCAAAGAAAATCATTAAAATAAGTTTTAAACAGTACATACCAAGCTCACAATGGAAAAAATTAATAAGAAGTAATCAATGGAAAAGAAAGAAAGTAAGTAAAAAAAGAGAGAGGGGAGGTGGAGCAAGATGGAGGGATAGGAGGCTCCACTGACCTCGACCCCAAGCCACCCAGTGCCCCCAATCCCCTGGCGACAACTCCCTCCACTCTCATCCCTGACAGCAGCAGTATGGTGTGGAGAGTCTCTTTGTTCACTGGGGAAGGCATTTAACTCAGTGTTATCTTGTTAGAGCAGCAAGGAAAATCACCCCAAACTCAGCTGATGACCTTTCATGGAGGGAGCATTTAAAACAGCCCTAGCCAGAGGAGAATTGCTTGTTCCCAGTGATCCTGACTTGAGTACCCTCAAACCTTGTCACCGAAGGCTACAATTCTCTTTGTCTCTAAGTAAACTTGAAAGGCAGTTTAAGCCATAAGGGCTACAACTCTTAGGCAAGTCCTAGTGCTGAACCAGCCCCAAAGACTGGGCTGGCAAGGCATGCTGCCTACTGAAACACCATCTGGGTGGCTAAGGAAGTGCTGGCATCACCCCTCCCCTAACCCCAGGCTGCACGGCTGGTGGCTCTAGAAGAGACTCCTTCCTTCCACTTAAGGAGAGGAGAGGGAACAGTGGAGAGGGCTCTGCCTTGCATCTTGGATACCAGCTCAGCCACAGCAGGATAGGGCACTGGTCAGAGTCAGGATTAAGAATCATTGAGTTATGGTTCATATATACCAGTATAAATCTGATATGGAAAAATTTAAAATAATATTTCAGATATGACATAGTAATGAAAAAAAAAAACTATGCAAAGGAAGAATTAGAATACTTGGGAGTGATTCTTGGATACACTATATTAAGTGGTTGTATGGCCTTCAATAACTTCCTTGAAGTAAACTCTACCTGTGTTTTCTCATCATTTTCATGAGACTGTTGGATTTTTTTTTTTTAGAAAAAAAATTTAAAATACTTTTTATAATAACCACAGAAAATAGCAAACAACTAAGGATAAGTCTAAGTAATTTCATATAAAGCAGTACATTAATTTATTAAAAAATAACTTCATTTCACACCCTCCCCTAAACAAATAGTCTTCAGGGCAAAAAATAATAAATTTATCAGAATACAATATAGAATATGCTTAATGACCTTGATACAGGTAAAAACTTATTTAACACTTTATAAAAAGTAATAAACACTAAAAAAATTTACAAATTAGACTGAGATTAAAAGAGAGACTCTGTATATCCAAAGATACCATTTAGAAAGTGAAAATTTACGCCACCATGTAAGAAATTACATTTCAAATGCATATTAAGAACTTCTAAAATTAGTGTGAGAAAGTCAGAAATTACTAAATAAAAATACTGGCAAGAACTTTAAATAAAAGAATATTCTTTTATTCTTTTATTTAAAATAAAAGGAATAAAAGAGAATATTCATGTGGTCAAAAAGATAAGAAAACTCATCAAATTTCATTAGACATCAAGAAAATACAAATTAAAGTCACAATGGGAAACCACTGCAAGTTTACCAAAATGATTCAGATTAAACAAGGGCAATGCGTAGTTTTAGGGAGTAAAGTAACAGAAACTCAGGCACTGCTGACGGAAGTTTAAACTGTGCACGCTACCTGGGAAAGGAATGTGTGGGCCATCACAGAATTGGCTGAGAAGTTTGGAATTCAAAATCTCCTTGAATTTTTCTTGCTAATAGATAGAGCAATCTACTCCTCTCTTTCCTTGAAGTCTTAGCTATGGAATTTGTCTCACAGGAGGATGCCACTTTTTCTCAGAACGCAATCTTCACCTCCTCCAGGTCCAAGAGAATTAAACCCCAGGATAGAAAAAAGCAGAGCGCCAGAATTGTAGGGGAAGGCATTGCCTGGGAAGATTTCAGATACAGTGAAAAAAGACATGGGACTTTATAATTTTGTATTGGAAGGAGGCTGGAGACTGTTATGGATTTATTGTGACCCAACCCCAAAAAAGATATGTTGAAGTTCTAACCCTCAGTATCTCAAAATGTTATCATATTTGGAAATTGGGTCTTCATAGAAGTAGTCAAGATAAAATGAAGTTGTTAGAGTGAGCCCTAATATAATATAACTGGATATCCTTATAAAAAGAGGAAATTTGAACCAAAAAAGCCAACCATGCACAGAGGGAAGATAAAGTGAAGACACAGAGAGAGAAGGTGGCCACAAAACTGGCATGATGCATCTAAAGGCCAAGGAACACTAAGAATTGCAAGCAAATCCCAGAAACTGATATGCAAGAAAGCACTTTCCCGTAGAGCCATCAGAGAGAATGTGCTCTGCCTATACCTTGATTTTGGACTTTTAGATTTTATAGCTGTGCGAAAATGAATTTCTGTTATTTTAAGCCACTCAGTTTTTGATACTTTGTTACAGCAACCTTACAAAACTAATATAAGCAATGTATATAGTGATGAATTCTATGGGAAGTAGATGAAGGAAGACTGATATATTAGATTAGATGGAGTCAAATTCATGGGTACACTCACCTGGGATTCAGGACTTAACACAGTAGCTTGAGCTGTTGGAAGTTGTATTAATAATCCACTGAATTGATTAATTGATGCCTGGACTGATTGATGGTCTCATAGTTAATGAGGGTAAAATGCTAGATGTTCCACTGTCATGCTGGAAAAATAATCTGAAAGATTAGGAAGATGATAATTTTTGAATGGATTATGAGCAAATTGTTTAACTACTCCTTCAGTATTCTCTTCAGTAAGGACCAGAGGATACTCTCTTTGCTAGGCTATTATAAAAAGCAGTCATGAAGGGTCCTTGATGAGTACCATGGTGGCTGTCCTGGTAAGCTAGAGTTGACTGTGGGGGATGCCCTGATCTTAATGGAAATAATGAGACCTATAGGGATAAAAATAGATGGAGACAATACAGTTATCAAAATAAGCCATAGGAACAGAATAGTAGACTATTTTGATTTGTTGGGATTTTTTGGCACTGACAAATTGATCCTGAGATCCCCAGAAAGGAGCAATGATAGTTGACTTATATAGATATATTGATTATATTTTGCTACATACATTACAAATTACCCTAATATTTAGCAGCTTAAAATAACACGTTTATTAATTCATAATTTTTGAGGGTCAGAAATGTAGGAGCAACTTGTCTGCATGTCTCTGGTTTCCAGGTCTCTCATGAAGTTGCTGTGAACATGTCAGCCAGGAATGCATTCATCTGAAGGCCTGAATGAGGCTGGAGAATCCACTTCCCACATAGCTTGCCTACATGACTATTGACAGAAGGCCTCAGTTTCTTGACACATGGAACTCTCTATAGGTTGCCTGAGTTTCTGTCATGACATGGCAGCTGACTTCCCTAGAAGGAATGATCTGAGAAAGTCGGCAAGGAGGAAACCGAAATGCCTTTTATGACCTAGTCTCAGAAGTTATACTTTATCAGTTCTGCTACATTTTTTTTCATTACAAATGGAGTCACTAAATACATCCTATAACCAACAGGAGGAGAATTACGCTCCATCTTGATGGAAGTATTGGTACATTTATTTGGTAGACAGACGCCTAACTTGAGTCTCCATAGTGGAAATTCAAGGATTTTTGCTGAGTTTTTGTGTGTCTGTTCACAGACTTGAAGCCCTTTGAACAACTGGAAGAACAGAGTACTTTGAGTAAGGACCATGCAACAAAACCAAGGAGTGTGTGTGTCTGTGTGTGTGTGTGTGTGTGTGTGTGTGTGTGTGTGTTTCATTCACTAGGGTGACTGTGCACTGCAGAAAGGGAAATGAGGAGACTTTCAGGAGGAAAACAGATACTGGTTCTGATCTCCTGCTAATCCCCCAAAATTCAAAATGACATCATGGTGTACTTTTCAAAGTGCTGTCAAGGGAGGACTGGTGATAACAGACTTTGTGTGTCCCCATTTTACCTTTTTTGGTTTTTTTTGTTGTTGTTGTTTTTTGGTTTTTTTTTTTTGAGATGGAGTCTTGCTCTGTTGCCCAGGCTAGAGTGCGGTGGCGCGATCTCGGCTCACTGCAAGCTCCGCCTCCTGGGTTCACGCCATTCTCTGCCTCAGCCTCCCAAGTAGCTGGGACTACAGGCGCCCACCATCACGCCCGGCTAATTTTTTGGTTTTTTTGTTTGTTTGTTTGTTTTAGTAGAGACGGTGTTTCACCGTGTTAGCCAGGGTGGTCTTGATCTCCTGACCTCATGATCTGCCTGCCTTGGCCTCCCAAAGTGCTGGGATTACAGCCGTGAGCCACCACGCCTGGCCGTGCCCATTTTACTTTATGGAGCACGAGGTTGACAGGGCAGCAGCTGCCCAGGCCATGCTTTCTTTTTGCAGAGGTAGAAGTGTTTATTCAGACAAATGACAAGAATAGATAACAACAGGTAAAAGTACTGCACTCTGCTAGATACTTCCTGATTGATTCTTCAGACCCACCTGCACTCTGCTTCATTCTGCTTTGTGCCTGGGGAGGCTTTAACTTTAGAGATTGCATCAGCAAGCTATCTTGCCCTCTGGATCCCAGTTAGATTTAGCCAATGGCAAGCACTAGTAAAAAATCAGCGGGCGAAAGTAAAGTTTAGACATTTATTTTCCTGAATTCATGTTTATTTCTCCATCTTTTTCTCTTTCTTCAGATAGGCAGTGGCTGCTTTTCGTTATTGAAAGCCAGAGGTGCTATAGTTGTAGGACTCTCCCTGGGTAACTAAGGTAACTATTCCCTATGGATAATCAACTACACTGGGATATGTTGAATTTGAAACATGGCTGTCTTTGGTAGGTGAATTTGAAAGGTAACTACATCAACAGAGAGTTAGATACATGGTTTTGATTTTCAGGTGTGATATAAGACCTGTTGAAAAAAGATATGAGTGTTGTCAGCTTAATGATGGTAGTTAGAAGTCATGCAGGACGATGGAGGATACTCACAGAAAGTGCACACAATGAGAAAAGAAGGAGGCTGGTAGCTAAAGAAGGAGGCTGGTAGCTGACACTTGGGCTATTTAAGGGGTAAGCCCAGAAGGAAGTAGTTGCAAAGGAGATTAAAAAGCCATGACTAGAATACAATAAAAAGAACCAATGTCGATATATGCCAAAAGAACATTTCTAAAATAAAAGAGTTGTCAGTGTTGTAAAATGAGATAGAAAGTAGATAAAAACAAAAACTTAAAGTATAATAATAATAAAATTAAAAAAAAAACTCAAAAATATTCAGTGAATTTAGAAGGAAGAACTATTGAATTTGGTAAGAACAATTTCAGTGAATTAATGGTGGCAGGACACAGAGTCCAGTGGTTTGAGATAAAGAGTAAAAAAGTGGTGAAAAAGTAAAAACTGGGAATGTTTCTTTCATGAGTCTTGTATGTGAATGGGAAGAGAAATGACTGAAACTAGAGGACTGAGAGATTCATTTGAGGGGTTGTGGTGGTGGGGGATACTTATGAGTATGTGTAAAAGATAGGTGGGAAGAAATAAAGAGGGAAATGTCTGTGGTACAAGAAATGACACTTTTAATTTACTTCCCTACCCTCCATTTTTTAAGAAAGGTGCATTTCAGTCTCTTTAGTTCTCTGGTTCATAGTATCTGTATCAGGTGACTGCTGATTTCTTTGTATGTGATTGGTTTATATTTTGACTATCAACACTCTCCACTGGCATTTACTATCCATTTATTATCTAGGCATTCAAGCCTGCCTAATAATCCTATGCTAGATTAATTGAGTCATATATTTGATATCTCTAAATTTTTGGTAAAATAGTCTCAAATTCTTATCCTAAGCTAAAATATCAGGAGAGGAGGGTTTACTACTTAACAACTGTGAGAACCAATGCCTCCTTTTCTCAGATGAACTTTAAGTGATATCAATAATCCAACTATTCATTAGAAGAGAAAAACAGACATCTATGGTATTAAAGAAAAAAATTATTCTGACACATTAAAACAGTAAAGAAGACTCCAATCAGGAATATTGCAATAGAAGTCAATTCTACTGTAATAGGGAAGAGAGAGTGAGTCCAGCTCCAAATACAGCAAAGACAGCTGGAGATTCATAGCCAAGGAGTAGAGTGAGGAAATTAGAGGATGGCAAATTATTAAGAGGAAACATCAAGGATAAGGGGATTCTTATTGAAGGCAGGCCCAAGTGATCAGAAATCAAGGGTAGGTGTTCTTGCTAAACTGATGTAGCGATATTTACTGAAAACAGGCCTAATTGAGAAGAGTGCTTAGAGGAACCTAATTTAGTTTGAAGAAAAAGATAGTCTTTGTCAGGGATGATGGTGAAATAAATTAGCTGAAATGAGCTGATTCTGGTTAAAAACATATCTGCTAATGGAAGTCAGGCAATTTTGTGCTGTCTAATATTTTATGACTGAACAATATGAAAATTTATCTTGTATCAAAAACTATAGCATTATGATGATAAGAGTTCATGTTTTCAAAGAAACAATAAAATAAAATAACATCCAATGCATTGTCTTTTATTATTTACTAGATTAAATGGAGCTATGTCAAAAATCATTAAGAACCACATTGTCCCTTATAAGAAATTTCCCCTCTCATACAAGCTACATAAATAAGCCATTTTTACATGAACCTGTTCAGGGAAATATTTAGCCAAAGCTGTAACTGTTTTTTTCCTTGCTTGCCTGTTGTTTACTATTATAAACAATGAAATAGAAATACTTTAAGAGAGTAAGTCACAAAGGAAATAAGTGCAAAAATTCAGTCAAATAAAATGGACTTTTCTGGTTATCTTAGGATGCTGTTTCTTTCCCATATATTATTTGGTGATAGGAATATGCAAATAAGTGGTTTAAATAATGTTGTATTGAATGTATATCCTACTGCTTAGAATCCTGAGAAACAAGGTCTCAGAAGAAAAGTACTAGAAGGTCTCAGAAGAAAGAACTAGTAAGCAGTGGAACTTACTAGTTCTTACTATTGTTCTGTTTCTGTTAGACTTAATAGATTACAATAGATTTAATAACCTATTTACTTGACTGTCAGATGCGAAAAGCACAGAAATAAGTTATACATTTTTGAAGCTTTCTAAGGTAGACAACTTTGTTCTTAAACATTTTTAGTATGACATTCATTAATTGCTTTGAAATGGGAAGATAGTAGGAACTAAATTACCCTTCATAATTCTGATTAAGAAAATAGCACCTGCAATCCCAGCACTTTGGGAGGCCAAGGCAGGCGTATCAGGAAGTCAGGAGATCGAGACCATCCTGGCTAACACAGTGAAACCCCGTCTCTACTAAAAATACAAAAAAATTAGCCGGGCATGGTGGCAGGCACCTGTAGTCCCAGCTACTTGGGAGGCTGAGGCAGGAGAATGGCGTGAACCCAGGAGGTGAAGCTTGCAGTGAGCCGAGATTGTGCCACTGCACTCCAGCCTGGGCAACAGAGCCAGACTCCATCTCAAAAAAAAAAAAAAAAGATATTAAAGTCAGATTAGCTATAACATCTATAAGTAGTTTTCTACTTAGTCATATGTGCAATCATTTATATACTTCAATGTAAACAAAACAGTTAATAAAAAACATTAAGGGATCTTTTTATAGGGAACTCTTCAAAATCTGTCAACTTTTTATGTTTTCCAATTAAAAAACAATCCCCTTTGGCATTTATATTTCTTTTTTTTATTTCCATGAAGACCATATTACATTTTGCAGAATTAAACCAGATGGCCTGTAAAAGGAATCTATCACCAAATTTAACTAGTGCATTTCATAGAAGTCTTTCAATTTCTACATGACATTTTTATGAAGTGTTTTTTCTTCATACCCTTATGTAAATTAGCACAGACCCTGCGGCCCAAAGTTTGAAAAACGTTAGGCCAGACATAAAAAGAACCAGGCGGTTGAAAGATAAGAAGCATAAAGTGAAGACATAGCACTAATCTATACTCATGCTTTTAACAAGCATTAACTGCACTGGCTCATATATTAGTCGTGATTATGTTTAGAAGTAGTTAGAGAAGGTTGTAGACTGAGAAAGGGTTTAAAAAGAATAATTCTATTTAAATAGCTGGCCTAAAGCCTTCTTAATGTTTATTGTCCTTGCTTTTGTAAATTGATAATTTAAGTGGTTAGCCTCCTTAGCCAGTTCCCCAGACCTGGTTTTTCTCTCCATTGCTAATCCTTGACTTTGTTCCCTTCCTCCAAGTTTCCTTATGGAATTAATATTCATAGCTCTGATGGTCTATGAGGGCTCTGTTGAGTCAGTCATTTTCTATCTTCATTTATTGCTGGGTGCAGCTTTAGAGCGTGAGGAGTTGATCAGGTTAGGATTTAGTCTGACAGGAATTTCTAATCATAGATTTTCTTTAAGAATAGGATATGGGAAAGACATTAATAATAAAAGATTTTGTCCCCTTTGCATTTGAAAATGATACTGTGACTGGTATTATCATTCTAGGTTTTGGGGTGTGGCTGAAAACCTGGAGCCTTTTGCAGCAGCTTTCTGTATGCTGCTAGAATATTAAAGAGAACCCTTTGGTCTACAGCTGCTGATACAATTCACTAAGCCTAATGCAGCTTGGAACTGTTTCCCTTTTCTTTTTCAGAAATTAATTCAGAGCACAGAAAGGCTTCGAGAATGAGCATATGTTGGTGCACACATGCTAATACGAAATCAATGAGGAGCCTTTCATAAGTAACAGAATTTGACTCAAGCTAAATTATAACAAATTTATTATCAGACACTAAGGATTACAAAGAATTTTGTTTTTAAAAGTTTGGAAAACCTGTATAGTAGTCAGGATAACCCAGATTGCAAGTCAGGAGCTGATGACTAGTTTCCATATTCATGTTGGAAAGAGAAGCTGAAAGCCTTCCTGTCTTTTTGCCATGATGATTGAGATTAAAATTCTATGGAGGGAGAGATATTGATTGGCTTGTTTTGTGGCACAGTGAATGACAGCTCCACCAGAACACTGTGGAATTGGGAAGGGTAGTACTTAGGATTAACTAATGCTAAAGAAAATAGAAGGTACAAGCAGTGGGCTATTGGTCTTATTTCATTACTGCTACTGGTCTTTGATAATGAGGTGCAGGACTGAAGAATTATCATTAAGGATCATGTTTTAGAAAGCAGCTGTTTTAATCTTTAATATTATCGAGATTTTTCTATCTTCTCTATTTCTATCTCTCTCTCGCTGTCATTTTTCTCTCTCAATAGTCATTCATTGGATCATTTCATAGGACAACTTCTGGGCAAAAGCATTTTGAAAATTGTAACTGCTGCAGTCTGAATGTTTGTGTTCCCTCAAAATTCGTATGCTGAAACCCTAACACCCAAGGTGATGGTATTAGAAGGTGGGACCTTTGGAAAGTAATTAGGTTTATATTAGGTCATGAGTGTGGGTCCTTATGATGGGATTAGTGCTTTAATAAGAAGAGGAAGAGATCTTTCTCTATTCATGAGCGTGCACCCAGGAAAGGCCATGTGAGGACACAGTGAGAAGGTGGCTGTCTACAAGACAAAAAGAGGGCCCTCACAAATAACCAAATCTGCCAGCACCTTGACCTTGGACTTACCAGCCTCCAGAATGGTCAGAAAACAAATTTCTGCCAATTGATTTACCTAACCTTTTGTTATTGCAGTCCAAACTAAATAATACAGACAGGTTCTAAGAAAGGGACTATTATTATTATTATAGTTTGCTTTGTACTTTCAGTTAGTAGACTAGCATGTCCACATTTGCCCAAAAAAATGAAATAAAGCTAAATAATACAGACAGAGACTAAGAAAAAGATTATTATTGTCACAGTTTGCTTTGTACTTTCAGTTAGTAGACTAGCATGTCCACATTCACCCAAGAAAATGAAATCAGTTCCCAATATGAGTAACTCAGAGAAAAACAATATAGGGGTGTTAGTCAAGTTACCTATTTTCCTGAAGTCTTTGTTTACTATTTCAATATTTTAGTAATATTAATAATACCAGGAAGTGTCTGGGAATTACGTACAGCATTCTTCACCGAAGAACACCTGTATTTTTACCTTCAAAGACTGCTATTATATTTAGGACTCCTCTCTTTTGAAATACAACCTATTCAAGGTCACAAGTTTCAAGGACAGGAAAATTTATGCTCTTAGTGAAATGCCTCCCATGCAAATCTCACATAAAATTATTTTTTCCAATTTTCAGACTTACTGTAAGCATTAAATAAAGGACATAGAATACTGAAGAAGTTAACACCAAATTTCTTTTCAAGGGGGTATGTTTCAGAGTTTCAAATAGAGAACAAATTTTTCTCTTCTTTAAATTATCTTAAGGCCTCTTTTGCTAGGAGCAGAAAGTTGATGAGATAAAGCAAACTCTAAGTGAAATAAGAAATTGAATGCACACGTTAATTTATTGAGAGAAGAAATTACTGATCTTCTTGCAGAGTTTAACCGATAGGCTTTTGTGGAATGATAGACTTTTGTGGAAAAAAGCTAATACCAGTTAATGGTAGTGATGGTGAAGACACACAATCATCTAATTTCAGCCAAAATATTCCAATGGGATTGATGAATCATATTATGTAGATTGGTTGTCACCGAGGAGTGTGCTGGCACACAAGTAATGAGACTAATAGTACAGAGATTACCAACCAGGTAGGTTGAAGCAAAAGAACATGAGATTGAGTTTAAATTGGGAGAAATTCTTCACATGGTCTGTAAAGTAAGACAACTTCCACAATGACACCATTTTCCAAGGTTACTTTCTAATCTCTATTTCTGCGAAACTTCAGTTTTAAGGTCTACAAAGTTTCAAAGGCTCAAGTATTATTTCAGTGGAGATAGCAACCTCTCTTTTCTGGTATGACATGTCTGGCCTATTGTTGTATATTTTACATAGAAAATCACATTTGAGGTACATGCAATTACCTAAGAAGTAAACTCATTTATTAAAATGAACTTTGTACTGAAGAGAGATTTATACCAACGTTCTTTTAGGTAAATTCTAAAAGAAAGGAAGTATAAATCTATTATTTGGTTTGGTTTTATGTGCTTTAGTCAATTGTAAGAGAATCTGTAGTCCAGGACATTAAATCAATAAAAAGACAAAAAAAAAAAAAAAAAAGCTGTAAAAATAGAGAACATATGCATGTTACTTGAAACCTGGTAATCTTTGGCCCCATTCATGTCAATCTAATTCTGTAGGACTTTTTTTTTGACATTATCTCCTTTCCAAAGATGATCTGCTCCTGAGAAATCACTAAAATCTTCAGCTTGAGATGTCTGATTGAGATAGTTTTCCAGTAATCTGAGGATGGCTTATGTTTCTTTTATTGAAAATTAGGAACCCAAGGATTAAGTTTCTGGAGTTTTACTGATATCCTACTAGTTGACATTACCTGACGTGGTCCTTCCAACTGTGTTTCAAGAGCTGTATTTATCTGTATCTCTTCTAGAAGACTAGATCTTCAGGCTTTAGATCATGTAAGAGTTGTTTGGGAGGATATTGAAGAAAAGTTGATGATCAGATATGGTATATTGCTTGTATGGTATTGGTATAAACAATATCAATATAGGTAATGTATTGTTTTTCAGTATTCATCCATGTTTGTGTTGAGTTGGCCTATTCTTTAACCATGAGGAAACAGCCAATTAATCCCAGAAGTTGATTTGGTTGTTAAAGCCCATGGCTTTACTTTATGAAATGGAAGTTTGAGTGTCTCCAAGCTTTGCTGATTTTAGTTTGACAATTCAATTCTCATACATTTTGCAGTGATTGAGGGTGATAAGAAAGTGAAATTTCTGAGTTTGTTATTACAAAGTTATTACAAAGCTGTTAATAACCATCTCGGTAAAACACACATTTAAGCTTTTATTTATTTATTTATTTATTTATTTCTATGATCAGAATGCGGAGGTTTGCTAGGTAGCTTTCTGGCAAGGAAAATTTTCACTCTATCCTAAGGCTCAGCAGACAATGACAGAGATGTATTCAAAACTATTTAGGGTTAGTCTTATGAAACATTTTGGAAATTTTAAAGAGGCCTAGGATATTGGTATCTTGTTAGTGCCTTATTTTTATCATTTTTGCAAGATTATACTAGTGATGGGTGAGTCAGGCACCAGAAACTTACTCAGCAAATTTTATAACATTCCCCACCAATATTCATTGAGCCTATTGTCCAATTTGTACTTTATTTGGTAGGCAATTTTATTTAAAATTTTGGATGATTTCTTTTGAGTTACTTTGGTACTATTCAGCAGCTATTTTGAAAGTGCCAGAAATTATCATCATGTAAATTGCAATCAGACTGTTCAAAAAATCTTTTTTTTTTTTTTTTTTTTTCCTGAGTCTAGATCACTAGCACTCTATATAGCCTCTTTGAACTTTTCCAAAGTTTTGGTCTTCTCAGATGTAGTGGGAGACAGGATGTTAGGAACAACTGCCTGCCTGTCATGCTGATCAGCTTGGGCATTTCCTTTAGCCTTCTATTTTCCTTTTATACATGTGTTCCTACTTTTATACTAGCTATCTTCTTAGGAAGCTATAGAGCACTTTGCAAAGTGCTCTATAGCTTCCTAAGAAGATTCTAAGAAAAAAACTATTTAATTGTTAACGATTTAAATTGGGTTTCCTAGGTAATGTCAAGAACCCTCATTGTTTCCAAAGCATTCCAAAATTAGGTACTGCCACAATAGCATGTTGCTACCAATTTATGTATTGATTCTTCTATCACTAGCCAACTGGCAAGCTCTGATGGATGCAATGAAGTTACCATTCCTGCTGACGTGTGCTTCTGAAAAGCAATAATTATCTATGGTTGAATGGACTTCTAGTTTGGTGGTAGAATTTGAAATTTTTCTATTTCAGTCTTAAGGTATGACCTAAGAGCAAAAGAGATTAGACTTGTGTTTTCTAGAAAAGTTTCTAATAAGTTTCTTTAGAACATAGTTTACAAACAAAAGCTAATATTAACTTTCCCCTTATGGTAATAAAAGGAGAGTAGCAAAGCACATTAATAATCATCTTGGGCTGCCGTAGCAAAACACTAGACTAGAGAGCTTAAACAGAAATGTATTCTCACAGTCCTGGAGTTTGAGAAACCTCAATCAAAGTGTCACCAATTCAGTTCCTGGTAAAGGCACTCCTTGTGGCTCGCAGATTTTCAGCTTCTCACCGTGTGCTCATGTGGCCTTTCCTTAATGCATACACAGAGAAAGAGATTTAAGTTTTGTATTTTTTAAATTTGCCTTGGCCAATGAATCACTTCAGGATAAAATTATGGAATCTTGATTTCTTTTGGAAGTTTTTTCATACAAAAATTTCAGACTATTGAATGTTTGGAAGTTTGCTCACCTTTTGCTTCAATTTCCTTTCTATTAAAGTTATCTAAAGTGACAACTATAATTGTAAATTATTCTTGGTGAAATTATACCATTTATAAACATAAGCACAAAAGTGATGTTTATAGCACAAAAAAGCAGGAGTTTGTGCTGAACAAAGTGTGTCCTTAGGCTGAGATAAACCCATGAGAATCTGGAAACATTCAGTCAAATTTTTTATTCATTTTATATGTGGGGTTGCCACCTGAGGACTGGCCATTTTGTGTTGCAGACCCAATCAATCTGCAACTCCTGATAGACAAGAAATTTTCAGATGAGATATTTCCTTTAACTAGACTTTCACAAAACAAGATAAGACTGAGGAAAGTTGTCATAAATTTTGGTAGATGTCCCTATACAATAATGAAAGGTCTAGAAGAGACTATTACCAGTTAGTCTCTGAGATTAGTTCCAGAGATGCATTTATCAGAACTACGTATCTCTTCCACTCTGGGATTTACTCTTATAGACTCACAACAGATACAAAGACAGAGGGGCAAACAGAAAAGGTACTAACTTCCATAGTTACAAGAAAAATTAATACCAAGAAAAATTATTTTCAAGTCTGATAAAATAATCTAAGAATCCCTTAAAATGGAGGCTAAAAAAAGTAATCAGAGCTCAGACTTAATGTGGAAACTCAACTTTGCAGTTTGAGAGACCCTAAATTTGTAAATTCAATGGTATCCTGATCAGTATACTATTTACATGGTGAGAGATTTTGCTGCAGTACTGAGGATCCTTGGCTTTATCTCAGTGGGTCCTCTAAGACTATTTGCCCCCTGAAATACCACCAGAGAAACCTACTGATTAATTAAACTTGAGTGTATTTAATTTACTGAAACAAGGGAAAACATCACTTTGATTAATTATTGGTAATATCTCAAAAGGACTAAATGGACCGAAGGGTATTTATCAAGCTTTGAAGTTTAGGCTTATATTGTTTAAGCTGGCTCATTCAATGTGGGAAACTCATAGGGACTGCACAACGTTTGTGACATTAGAGAGGAGGATTGTTGGAAAAAGTGAGATGGGGGCCTTGAGATAAATCTTGATAAAAAATGTCTTCATAGATTAGCAGTTTTTCACAGATAAGCAGTCTTTGCTTGGGTGAATTTGTTTGCAAGAACTCATTACAAATTATTATATCATTAAAGTTACTTATTAGTTTGCAGCCTTGATTATGTATGTAATTATCTTCTGGAGAGAATACTTATCAAACATGAGTTAATCCAGACAGAACTGGGTATTGGGGCAGACCTATAGTTCCCGGTCTGGTGGGCACAATGGAGTCAATGACTAGAGAATTCTTATCAGGCAAAAATGTTTTCAGCTGCAAGCAATAAACCTTATGATGTTAAAAAACCAAAAATCAAAATAAAAAGTTGGATACATTGTATATTAGGACTTTGGGTGTTCTTCAGATTTTCTTGACTTTGACCCTCACTGAGTTTTGTAGCAAAAAGGCTGCAGTAATTCTGGGAATTTAAATAATTATATCCACACATGACAATGTCAAGAAACAATAACAAACATGTATTTCTCTTTTAAAATTGCTCACTGAAGAAATCTCACTATGAAAACTCTAGTTGCACAAGCTAGAAACCTTGGAAATATCTTTGAAATTTCCCTCTCTTTAGCTTGGAATATATCCTTATATACTCATATAGTCTTTACTTAAGACTATCATCCTGACATTCCATTGGTTTAACATTTTCCTGGACTTTTATTTTTAATGTGGTATTTTTATTAGAAGTTTTATATAATAAATTTTTCATATAGTTTTAGATTTTTAAATTTTTGAATATTATAATGTAAAGGCCTACTTATTTAATAAGGTTAATTCAATGATTACTAAATAAATACATTTTTAAAAAGTTCTGGCTATGGTGCAGTAAGTGCCATTTGTTGTTGTTAACCATAGAAGCATAATTGTAATATGAATATTAGGCATATCATATTACATATATGTAATAAGCATATTAAAATTTTGCTTCCATGGTTAACAACTATAGAACTGACAAAATATCTGAAATACATATTTGTAAGCATTTTATTACAGACAATGCAAAACTCTGATGTTTGAGAGAAGAGAAGCAAATTAAGTGAGCCCCACACTCCCTCATGCTCTTCACTGGAATCATTTTCCAGATAATAACCAGGGTAAGTGAAGCCCTTGCAGAACATGGTCAATATAACCTGAAGAAGAGAATTTCAGACTTCAAAACTTTGATAATTTAAGTATCAGAAAGGAGAGTGATGTCTTTCTGGGGCATGACTGAAGTTTCATGATGATTTCCTAGGGACACTTGTCTTAGGACTAGTTTATTATATCACAAGTTGGTACTACAGAAAGCCTAGCAGAGAGTGACTCTGCTGCATGACTAAGACTCAAATGGACATGTAAGAAGTCACATGGTGCTAAAATACATTGAAATTGTGACCCAGTCAGAATGTAGAGAGCATCTTGGCAATTCAGCTGAAAGTCCAGAAATGTGCCATGTCTTAGTGTTAACTCTATGATTTAAGGGAAAAACTGAAATAGGCCCTATAGAAAAAAAAAAAGCCCAAAAAGATCACATGATTTACAAGTATTTTAACTGCCTGCCTTCTAAAATACAATTTAATATCCTTCAAAGGAAGACAATAAACTGGGCTCTCTAAAGTACATTAGTTACAATATAAAGCATACAATAAAAAATTAGCACTCACAAAAAGAAGGAAAATATAAGCCATAACCAACAATAGTAAAATAGGTCAGAAGAAACAAACACAAGATGACTCAGATGTTGGAATTAGCAGATAAGATCTCCAGAAAATAGTTGTTATATGTATTTTCAAGGACTTACAAGTAAAGTTATCAGAATGAGGGAATGGATAATAATCTTAGCAGACAATTAGAACATAAAAAAGAACTACGTACCAATTTTAGAACTAAATAATGCTAAATAATGCAATATCTGAAATGAAAAATTTACTTTTTGAGTTAAACAGCAGACTGGAGCCTACAGCACAATGGTTTAACTAAAACTAGTGATGTGTTGAACAGTATCAACCTATTGAACATCCATGTATTTGGAGGCTCCATGTGCATTTGAAGCAATGGTTGTTTCTTTAGAGACAGATATAGAAGTTATGTACAACCATTTACATCTATCAGAAATGTTCTCTTTCCCCCCACTACCTTCAGTTTATAACCAGACTTGTAAGTTTTTTTTCTACTAAACAAAGATTTCTGTTGGTTATTCCTGAGTCACATATTTTTTGACCATTAATAAATCTTTGCTTTACCTAAATCTTGTATTTTAATACTTAAAGAAAGAGTAGATGTATTTATTAGATGTGAGATTGCATTTTTAAAAATCTTGCAACTCACCATTGGCTATGCTATTTGCCTAATATATTTAATACATTCCCTTTGAACGGAGCTCTCAAACTTTGTAGCCTTGTTTAGTTTGAGTAACTACATAGGTGGTCTTAAAAATTAATCTAGATTTTAATATATGCCATTCTTTTAAAGAACAAGCTTCACATTTCCACCAAAGTATCTTTCTATTAGTTCATTAGGCATTACTGTTAAACTTGTATTAGGCTGTTCTCGAATTGCAATAAAAAAAGTAACTGAGACTAGGTAATGTATAAAGAAAAGAGGTTAAATTGGCTTCTGGTTCTGCAGGCTTTACAGGAAGTATAGTGCTGGCATCAAGCTTGCCTTCCAGGGAGAACTCAAGAAGCTTTCAATCATGGTGGAAGGTGAAAGGGGAGCAGGCATGTTACATGGCAAAAGCAGAAGCAAGTGGCATTGGGTGCGGGGGAGACACACTGTTATATGACCAGATCTTGGGAGAACTTACAAAGACAGCATCAAGCATTGAGGGATATGACCCCATGACTCAAACACCTCCCACCAGGCCCTACCTCCAGCATCGCGGATTACAATTCAACATAAGATTTCAGCAGGGACAGAGATCCAAATGATATCGGAAGTCTTTGCCAGTTTTCTCCTTGTCAAATCATAATCATTAATTTCTCACCCTAAAAATACAGCAGTTGGCAGGCATCTTTAGCTTTGATTAATACTCAGCCAGTTTTTGTAATCTCCGTCTTGTATAAAAATGTGCATAAGATACTTCGTAGTTTGTATTGATTTTGAATCTGTGGACATGAACTAAAAATGAGCTACAATGACTGAGCTCATCAAGGAACTCCTGTTATCTCTAGAATTTTCCAGAAACTTCATTAAAGCCAGTACAGTATAGTGACAGTGTCCTGACAGATCAGATAACACAGTGAAGAGTGTCACATTGGGGGGAATTTTTGAATATTTTTCTGTCAGATTTTTATCTTAATAATTTATAGTCATTTTTCAATTAACTGAACTAAATGTTTTTCCCCTTGCCATTGAGAATAGAAATAGTAATTTTCTACAAAGGTGGTTTAAGTACCATAAAGTAGGCAGATTCTTATTTGGAAAATTGGTCATATTTTCTAATTATTGCACCAAATGCTCTAAAATAATAAAAGCTCTGAATCATACATTGTACTAAAACCCTCAAAGGTTTAGTACAGTGGTCTAATCTAAATTGTATCATGTGTACAATGGTACAGATAGTCTTTTGATTTTTCTAGGAATAGCAATTCTAGGATTTAGGTAGTGAAGGGAATGTGGCACAGTCTGTTTAAATAAGTTGCCAAGTTACTTGGCTACCAAGTACCAGAGCCAGGATCAAAATCCAGGTAGTCCTTGAACCTGAGTGTTTAACCTTCTACTTTGTAAACTATCTCTATAATACCCTAATGATCACATCTATTCACTCCTGGCTTTGATTACATGAAGCTTCTGTTTTAAATGGACTTACAATAGGAGATAATGATGAAGATTGGAGACAGCAGAAGTGCTCACCATAGGGAGCAATTCTCATACTGTGGAGCTGGCTGTGTAGATGCTGTTTGGTTAAGGACACATGCTTTTCTGGAAAATACGTGTAGGATTAATGGATTTTTCTTCCATATTTATTGTCTTTTGGATGCAATTTCAGTGGTCAATATGTTCATCAAGTATTACAATTTCCCTAGTAATCTTATTTATATTCTGTATTTAGAAGCGTTGCTGTGACTTTGCTCTTCACTATCTCAGACCATGGGTACTTCAGGGTTGGTCAGGGACCCTTAAAGGTTCAGATCTGTTATTTTCTCTAAAGTTTTCATTAGTCCTTCATAGTAGGGATGATCCTGCACAGTCCTGCCTCTTTGCAAAAAACAAAATTTCAACAAATTGAGTTTAAGAATATAATTGTCTTTTATTAGTGACTCATAAATCGAGGAACACTCTATCTATAAAATATTGAAAGGTGCACCATTAGGAATAGTAGAACAGTCAGTTTTTATAAGATAACTTGAGCAGGAACAAGGAAACAATGTAATATAAAAAAAAGATGACTGGTTAACATCAGGGTGCCTTAGGTTACTTGCCTTGTAAGTGTTAAAGCAGAGGCGATTTCTTTATCATGCTGGCTAAAACTGGTCTGTTTGGGGATTTGGCTATCATCTCTCTCCTGATTTCTCAGAAGGTCAGATAAACAACTTAATTTCAGTTTGATGACATGGAACTTTTAGCATGAGTGACTAATTTTGGTTTGGTCTTTTGGAGTCTAATGCAGATGCTCAGTCTAAATTGACAATGACCTTCCATAAATTGTATTTACTATTCTCATAGAACTACTGGTCAAATTGAATTTTAATTATTTAGTTAGATATCTATCTCTGGTCTTGTTGGAACCAACTTGAATATCCCTGTCCCCACTTCCAAGTCACTTTTATGTACACAATGACTTCAATTAAGTGACAAAACCAATTATTCCAATTCTTATCTATGTCCTGTTTTTCTCTCCCGTTCTCAAAAGACTGTCTCCACCATGCAGAAGAAAGAGTCATATACTCTGTTAAACAATGCATCAACTTCAGATGTGGTCCATATAAACAAGCTAAAGGTTGTCTTATCTTGGAGATATTTGCCCCGGAAAAATGAGGAAGTCTAAAAACCTTTCCAATGACAAACTCAAATTACATTTATTTTCTGATAGGAGATGGTTGAGTAGATAGAATCAACAAACACTTTCATGAAGAGATAAAGGGACCTAAGATATCATCATTGAATGTTGACTTGGTAGAAACATTAAAAAACAGTTACAGAACAACTTCAATACATTGTGTATTTTTAAATAATAATTTAGTGATAGTACTTTATGTTAATGAAATTTTCCATCTCATTCATATATAGCACACAAAATTAATTCGTTACACATAGAAGACACTTCCTAAATTTTGTGAAATGAAGAGTTTTACTTCCAGAAAACTATATACAAAAATGCTTTGTTTGTCATAAAATATGTACTCAAAAAAAAAAAAAAAAACCACAAAAACGAAACAGTTTGTAAGTCAAATGAGTGTAACCCTTCTTGGTTTAAGGAATTCTATGGAACCCATTTATAAGACTGAATATGAATGATTTTTGTTTTGCAAATACTACTATTATTCCTCTTAGTGTCTTTGTTAAAATTATCCTATTCTTAAAATGCTCATGAACTACAGATGGGAGTAGGAAGGTTCAGAGCATTTTTTTATGAAAAAGTGCCCATTTTCTACAAGCTTTCAGAGTGGTATTATTTTCCAAAGCTATCTCCCCTAATGCATTTAAAATTATGTGCTTGATTTTAAAAATCCAATTTATATAATTTTTCTAAATTTACATTTCATGCACAAAGCAAGCACTAAATATTTTAGTGTTATTTGTTACTATTTTATTTTTACCGGGTTTTTCCACCTGCTTATATGAATATATTTTTCATTATTCATTGACCTTCAGTTTCTCCATAACCTTTAATGGATTGCCTATGACACAGAAAAGCCTCAGATTATTATTTTATCTAATATTGAGGGGAATGAATAGGACTATCTGTCTTTCACTCTTTCAATTACAATATTTGATATATTACAAAAAGCACCTAAATAGCCCAATAATGATACTTACTGGGTTCATGAAAGCCTAATAGCTATGGTTCATGCACTTTCAATTTTCAATTTTTGCTGAGAAATTGAGGTTTGCTCAATGGTGTATATTGAATTGAATCTTTTCTCTGTTTGCTATCAAGTATGTCTAATTTTTGTTTTTAAAAGATGGCTCTTGGTTAGGTGATTATTAAACGTAAGTGTATATGCTGAGAGATCTATTTGAACATTTAAAATAAGGATCCTTTATAAGTCACATTTATAAGAAAAATAAAGGCTTGCTTTTTCTTCTAAGTGTTGATTTTCTGGTTTGCCTTTTAAGGCAATTCAACTTTATGATTTGTTTACCACAAGCTAGAGAATATGGTTACACAATTATTTATTAAAACTGGAGAAAACACTAGTATCTGGGCTGCATGCTAATGATCCCATAACCAGAGTTTCTCATTAGTACCTGTGTTTTACTTTTAAGATCAAAATTAGAAAGTGTGAGCGTATTTGCTCATTTTCTACCTTTTAAAATCACTTCAGAAAAATACAGCTACCAGTAAATCACAGCGTCTGATTTAACATTACTTCAGTATCAGAGGATAATTTAATTTTTATATTATTTGCACAGTTGAAACTCATTCTTTATGTTAATCCAATTTGATTTTTATCTTAAAATATTTTGATGTAAAGATGCCTATATGATTCAATGATAATCAACATTAGAACTACAGATTCCAGGTTATGACCATTGTTCTTTGCAATTGTACCATTTTATTTGTGCCATTGGATTTTATATCAGGCTAATTTTTGAGGCATTTATTACTTCTTATATCTATCATCTTCTCATTAAATAATTTCTTAATTGTTTTTAATGGAAGACAGCTACATCTAAGAAAAGATTATGAGAGATATTTATAGCAAGGTTTCTTATTTGGGGGCTTTCATCAATGTAATTGAGGCAGTCTGTGAATCCTCCAAAATCGTCTGCAAATTTTCATGTGCATATACGTTTTTCTGGGGAAAGAACCCAGTTACCCAAAATGTTAATAACACCATTCTCTACATTGCTGAGTACTAAAGCCATAAAAGAAAATAAGAGATTTAGGAAACTAGAGAAGTAATGTAAATATATGTATAATAATATATAAACATATATATTCTAAAATATATATAATATATATAATCTAAACATATATGTGTTTAGATTGATAGTAAATAAGACTTGGTTAAATCATTTCCTGGAAAAGACATGTTGAAACTGAAGAAAAGCGGAGTATTTTAATAAGAAACTGTAATCTGATGAACTGAAAGTTCCATGCCTAAATGTAATAAGCATTCGAAAATAGTAAACGCTACATTTTCTTTAGTAGAGACTGTTTCAGTTGATCTAGGAAACTGCAAAATCTTGCTTTTTCTGCTTCCACTATTGTTTATTCTTTACACGGTAGCAGGATAGAGTTTGTAAAAACTTTGTTAAGATTATAGTCCTACCCTACTTAAAGCCCACTAGTTGCTTTCCATTCCAATTAGAATAAAATCAAAACCCTGAAGTGTGTCTTACAAAGTTGTTTGTGATCCCTGCCATTTTCTCTAATTTCATCTTGTACAGATCATCCTGTCATCCTTAATGGTTCTGTCACAGGTGCCTTTGCCGGTGACCAGAGTTTGTTCTCACTCTGGATACTTTGCATCAGCTATCTCTTCTGCCTCAGACTCTCCTTCTCTAGATCTGTGCAGGATTTATACTCTCTCACCATCCAGTTTTTTCTTTGAATGTCATTTCATCTCATACAAGGGGATTTTCTCAACTATCAAATATAAAGCTAGTCTTTTCTATCACCTCATTTTGATCCATTTTCTTCTATCACTTATGATTGGTCAAAACCAGCTTTACGTTTGTTCTCTTGCTCACAGTCTGCTTGTGGGCTACTGAATGTAAGCTTCATGAGAGCAGCAGTGCTCCCTTTCCTGTTCACTATTGTGTATCTTCTGTGTTTGGGAATGTACCTGAGACATGGAGGAAACTCAATACATATTTGTTAAATGAATGAAGTGTCATTGAAGAATTGATTATGTTTACCTCCTAATTGGTATGGATAAAAAAAGTTGATGACAGGGAATAAGAAATAGTTAAGCCTTTGACAATGATGTGCTTAGCTACAGTCATATCAGAGGGATATTTATTAGATGAGCTCTGCTCTGCAGTTATTGTTTCTATCCTACCTCAAAGGAAATAGCAAACTATCTACTTTTCTCTGAATGACCTTGAAATGGCACTGATATTTGACCCTTCTAAATCTTTTCTTTCATTTTCTCTCTTTCTTTCTGTTTGTGGGGGTGTACCTGGTTTTCCAGTTTGATATTTTATTAATAATTAAAAGTCTTGTAATTTCACTGATGAAAACTAATACTTGTCCAGATTTGAGCATTCATAGTTTTGCAATTCTTGTGAAACTTTTAAACAATATTTCAAACTATTAAGGAAATAGATCATCAATTTTTCCTGGGCACGGTCGCTCACACCTGTAATCTCAGCACGTTGTGAGGCCGAGGTGGGCAGATCACTTGAGGCCAGGAGTTCGAGACCAGCCTGGCCAGTATGGTGAAACCCTGTCTCTACTAAAAATACACAAATTAGCTGGATGTGGTAGTGCATGCCTGAAATCCCAGCTACTCAGGAGGCTGAGGCATGAGAATTGCTTGAACCCGGAAGACAGAGTTTGCAGTGAGCCTAGATCACGTCACTGTACTCCAGCCTGGGTGACCGAGTGAGACTTAGTCCGAAAAACAAAACAAAACAAAACAAAAAAAAAAACAAACAAAAAAACCCCTCAATTCCTATGAATATACTGATTTAAGGGAGGGAAGACTTTCCCCTATCCTTTAGGGTGCATAACTGAGTCCATGAAATAAACTGACAACAGGCAGATTAATGGGAGAAATTTATACAAATTTATTACTTGCAAGGGGGCATCACAGGAAAGAAAGGTGAATATCCCAAAGCCCAGTGATATCCAGAAGCTCATATGCCCTCTTCATAAGGAAGGGGGAAGAGGGGACTGTGTAAGCAACTTAAGGGAAGGTAAATAATGTTTTGGAAAGATAAATAGGTCCTTAGGAGAAAAGATGATTTTTTGTGACAGTCTTTCTGGCCGGGGTGTCAATTTCTCCTCTCCTCTCCTGTGATATGAGTCTCCTGGTTGATGAAACTCCTGGGGAGGAGACTGATGACAATTGAGTTATTTTTGCAGGATCTTTATTCAGATAAGGAGAGCTCAGAGAAAGCCTCACACTGCATCTGCTGTGCCCCAAGTGCCCTCTGGTTAAGTAATCTGTATACAAAAGTAGCATATTTTGAGGTAGCATTTCCTACACTCCTTCATTGTCAAAACATATGTTTTCATTCTGGCCACAGCGAGTAAGTTATCTCCTTCCCAAGAAGGCACATTTTAGTTTCTCAACAGCTTTAGTTTTTTCACAGTTTCTTCCAATACTGGGAATACAGCAGCTTTTCACTAGATTTGATTAATTGAAAATTCATGTGAAGTTCCTACTAAACTGTAAATGGTTTAAATACTGGGTTTACAATTTTTATTCTTTCACTTAGCAAATATTCATTGAGCCCTTTATTTGTGGTGATAAGGAAGTGGTGATAGTATTTTTAAAAACTGATGGTATTCTTGTTGTCAAGGAACCTATGCCCTAATAATATCAGATACATAAATTTACCTTTAAGTTAACTAGAGTTTTACTGCCTGTAATAGCAAATTATTTAATCAATAAATCTTTCACTATTGAAAACTTTAAAACATAGAAGAAATAATTGTATTAAAAACATTAAAGAGCTAATAAGAAAGACAAGCATCATTTGGTGAAAGTTCAGGAGTAGGTAAAAATCCAGTGAGACAGACATGGCATTTGACAGGACTTTTGCCTTGGGATAATTTGCTGACCTACATCTTGGGGCCTTAGCATAGATTTGAAATCCTTGTCAGTCTAAGTAAACAAAAGTTGGATTCCAAGTTTCACCGAGAGTAGGAGTCATGTTTAATTACTCCTATTTGGGCTGTCACTTAGAAGCCTAATCTTTTGGAATAGCACAGGACATGTGTAGTAATCACAGAGACTGCAGCACTTCCTGGTTTTGTGTTGTCTGGTGGCCCAGAATATTGCCCGACCTATATCTGGTAGTGCCTTCAGGCGATAGACAGAAACAAAAATTATCTTTGGAGAAAATAACCCCATTCTAGTTCTCAAATTATTTTTATAAGTGTTTCTATGTGTCTGTGTGTGCAAATACCTATATGCCAGCACACAATGTTAAACAGACAACATTAAAAAAAAAACATAAAAGATAAACATCAGACAATAGCAAAACTCTAATTAGGTCTTCAGATATTTGAATTATCAAAATAGACTCTGAAACAACTATCTCTTGACTTCAAGTAGGTAAAAGGCATTCCAAAAAGTTGAAGTGGAGAACTAGAATCCATAAAAAATCACATGGCAGGTTAGGAAAAAAAATCAAGCAGAAATTCTAGAACTACCAATTAAAGTGACTGATATTAGGAATTAACAGAATGGACTCCAGAGCAGATTAGAGATAAGTATGCAACACCAACTTTAGTAAACAACTCCAAACCATTTTCCAGGGTGGTTGTACCATGTCACGCTGCTAACAGCAGTGTGGCGAGGTTTATATGCACAGAAATGTGCCCATGTATGTGTCCTAGAAGACATAGAAGAATGTTTATAAGCAGTGTCATTTGTCATAGCTAAGAATTGTAAAAAAAAAAAAAATGCAAATGTTAATTAAGATCAGAGATTTTCATATGTGATATCATCATTACAATATGTTAGATAATGGCAGTGCACAAACTATAGTGTACACAAAGTGGATAAACATTACAAACATAATTTTAAGTGAAAGACACCAGACATAAAAAAAATACAGTATAATTTAAAAAGCAGGCAGAACTTAACTAGTGTGTTTTGGAATACATATTTCCAGGAAAACTATGAAGAAAAATAAGAAACTATTCACCATAAATGTCAATACAGTGGTTAACTCTAAGGTAAAGGAAGGTCATTTTGATTTTGTAGGCACATGGAAGGGTGTCCTGGGGTGGGAATGAGTGGGAACCATATTCTATTCCTTAAACTTGGTTGTAGTTACAGAGATATCAACTATATACTAACTTATTAATTTGTTCATTTATGTATTATATTATTTTCTTTTTGTCTTTGGCATGTCAAAATGTAAAATACCTAATTCTAACCACTAAGTAATTAATATAATATGATATATGTACCGTAATATAAATGTTTAACGGTACCTACTACATAAATATCCCTTGATATATACTTGGACAGAATAAAAGCATAATATTTTTATATATTCTGTATTATCTCTATATTAAAATATTTGAATATTTTTATGATATCCTCCTGAATACCTTCTCTTCTCTTCTGAAGATCGTGGGAAAGTTTTTCATATCCCAAGATTACTGGTGAATAATGCTGTCCATTTGCTACTATGACTAATGAGTCAAAATTTCTGATAAGGTTATTTAACATTCAAAAAAGAGTTATTCATGAAGTGCCTTATTATTCTTATCGCCCCCAAAAAACTTGGACATGCTCCAAGATTTTTATTAGCTGTTGTAACAGTGACCCCAAAATATTGTCTTTACTATGTGATATCTAGGATTATGGGACAGATATCCCCCAAATTACCAAGACACCAAATTTCTCTTCTTTTATGGCTTACTGTTCTTCCAGTTGTTGTCCTTGGCTGAATGTTTAAAGGTTGGTTACTGCCATATTTGTGTTACAGTTAATGGAAAGAAGATAAGAGGAAGTCCAGATTATTCTGTTCTGAATTAATATGAGCCAAATTCTAATCTCAGAATTTTATAATGTTTAGATTGCTGAATGGATAAAAGTGCTCAAAACAAAATTATTTTTTCCAGGATTTTCATTCACTAGCTGACTCACCCAACCACTTCCTAAGTCCAAGCTGCCATTTATTAAGCTCCACACATATTTACAGGTTGCAAATCAGCCTTCTGAGAGACCTATTAAGAAAATATGCAAAAACAACTGGATAAACCTCTATAACTGATAGTTAGCTAGATGCTTAGATGTATTTATTTATGGTAACATCAGATTGTCAAATCAGGAGAGAAATTATACATCCTTAATGTAAAACTTAAAATTATTTTAATACATTCAGAAAAAATACGTAACAAGTTAGATTTCTATCTTATACCAAACCAAGTCTAGACATGCTAAAGGTCAAAACGATATGTATGTTATGTATGTTCACTTTTGTGTGTGTCTATGTATATTTACACTTGCACACAATTTAGTATAATTGTAGGTAGAAAAGGTTTTCCTCAGAACAACACACACACACACACACACACACATAGACACACACATCCTAACCCAGAAACTATATAGATAGAAATAATATAGACATTTATGACAACTGCTCTAAAATTAAAAACACCACAAATCACCTGAAAGGACAAGCTATAGGCTTTGGAAAAAATGTAAAACACATATGACAAATATTCCATGGAAAATATTTCAGAAGGGCATGGGAATTGTGGGAGAAATCAAAGAGTAGAGAGTTGACAAATAGTCTTAAACATTTTACACTCTCTCTCTCTCTCATCTTTCTGTCTTAATTATTAGAAGACTGCTGGTTTTATTTACAGCTTAATGAATCGAATTCAATTTCCTATAATAAGCATATTTTATAGCCTAATGAACAAATATGGTTTCTCACAAAACAACATAATTTACAAGTCTCTTTATTAAGATTAAATTCTTAATTTATTTTTAGCGAAACATTACTTTATTTGAAGATTATTGGTTAGAGTACACCAGCTGATGTAAAAATGTATTCATATATTCAGTAATTTAAAGCAATAGAATTTTATTTTACCCTAGGAAAAAAGTTCAGCATGGATATTCCTTGGTTGTGTGACTTTTTTTTTTTTTGCATGGTAATTCAGAGAGCAAGACTCTTTCCAAGTTGCAACTTTGTCATCCTAAAGGGATGTAAATTTATGACGAGTAATTTGCTTTGTTTAACACAAGAGAATACCATTTAAAAGAGGAATTCTAGTCATGGTAGCAGGAAGCAGAGTTTCTACGGATTTAGGCTTGAGTAAAAGCTTGGGTTCACTTGAGCTCTAGCTGCATATTATCTATCTATCTACCATCTTCTGTTCTCACTAGAATGTAAATGTCTTCTCAATATCTCTTCCTTTTATTTTAGAAGAGAAATTTAACAAGAGCTGTTAAGTGAGCTATGTGTGTGTGTGGTGTTTATATATATATATGTGTGTGTGTATAACATACATTTATATGTCAACATTATTAGTCTATGATTTTTATACGATTGAAACATATTTATCTAAACTCATAATTTCTAATTACATGAAAAATAAAGCAAAACAATAGATTAAGAATAGGAACATAAGGATGTAAGTGTACTGACTCCAACCAAATTTATTCTATCATTATAAGTCAACTATAAAAATATTACTAATTTTTCAGCGGGCAAGTGGGGAAGGTTGCTTTTGAGCAAATCTTTATTTTCTTACAAAAAAACTCCAGTAGCTCTCTTTGTTATACAAGTGTAAACATAGTAGATATCTATAGTCCTGGACAAATACACCTTTTGTCTTGTGGAACTATGCAGAGCTGAGGTTTGTCTTGCTCTATAGGGATCTGGAAAAGGGAACAGACTGATTTGTAACTGAGTGCTTGTTTGTGTACTAGTTAAGCACGTGGTTTCCAAAGTCAAGAGCTTAGCTAATTCTTGATTCTGTCTCTTACTAGCTGTGTGAATTGGAGTCAAATTTTCCATGCCTCAGTTTCTTCATTTGAAAATAAATAAACTAACAAATGAGTCAATACCTATAAAATACTAAGAATAAGATCTGGTATATAGTAGTGCTCAATAAATTTTGGCTCTGTTATGCTGTTATTTTATAGAAGTCTAGGATTTTCTCTTGTGGCATGACTTTTTTTGAAAGATAGGCCACAAATTCTTGTTTTATAATAGGTCACATTAGGAGGATATGTTAGAATGAATAATGATGGTTTGATCAATGTCTAGTGATAAGGGCAATAAAACCTCAGAAGAAAGGGTGAGTCTAGTCTGTGGCACTGGTTTAAAACAAAGACATAAGAGTTTATTTATATCATAGGGTTGCCCTCATACAGAGTAGATACTGGAATCTCCATGCCAAACGAACTTGCCACAGTGGGACACCATACAGGCAGGCATATGTGAAATAAAAACTGTTTTAAACTTGTCCGTCAACATGGGGCACTGCTGCAACCTGGGTAGGGAGGGAGCTAGATATGCAGCTAAACATATACTTGTTTGTAAATCTAGGATTGACCATATAGCAGTAAGAAAGAAGATCACCAGCCCTCATGAAAACAAAAGGCTGCAACTTACTCTCTCTTCTATTTACAAACAAATTTAACTGCAATTGGGTCTAGTAAGCCCGTTAATATGATATGACTGAGACATCAAAAAGTGATACAAGATTTCTAGCTAGCACACTTGAAACACAAACAATGCTATATGTGTAATAATAAACTATATAATTATATGAAGAAACATCTATATTATATTAAATAATATAAAATTATATGAAAATAGAAATGTATATTATATAAAATATAATAAATTACATATACTATATTTCAGATTTGTACTGTGAGTTAATAAACAGGCTTATCAATTATGTATCTCATTATGCAAATATCAAGAATTATTTATAAAGTAGCCATTCAATAATAAGAATAATATGGATAACATTACATCAGAGGGTCAAGTGCAGGGAGTAAAAGGATATTGAGCCATCCTACTTGGAATGACAGTATTTGTAAGACAATATATTAACCAATATGTGTTATGGAAAGAGTAACAGTAAATTCCTAATATTTCTAAAACACCGGACACTAAGCAGTAAGTAAGTAAATGTCCAAGCACAGGAAGTAAAGGAAGTGTAAAAGAACAGATAAAGCAAGATGACAGAAATAAGACACACTGTTTATTATAAAAGTTAATGCTTATATTATTAGAAAGGGCAAGTAGATAAGAACAAAGAAAAAAGCAAATGCATATTTTTTAAAAAACTGAATATTCAGCTAAAGTTGCTAAAGTATAACAAAATATGTAAAAAGAAACAGGAGAAATAAGCTGATAAAAATGAATTAATGAATTAGAAATTATTATAGCATAAATTTGATAAATTCAAATAGTAGTATATAAATCATTTAAAATAGCCAAGTTACTGTTAAATTTATTTAAAGAGAAAGGAAACACTTAGGTATCATTAAGTTGATAATACCATAATTATGGATGAGGTAAAAACTAATAAACTATGTGCCACATATAAGCTCTGAAGATAAAATGATTATCAAAATGTAGTGTATATCTTACACTCAGGTAATTTAGAATTTATAAAAAGAAGAAAATAATAACAAAAATATTAATTGTACATATTGCAAATTATGAAAAGTACCCTAAAAATAGAATCCTCTCATGAAGAGTATTAGGCTGTATCAGATTTACACAGGTAGTAAATGCAAGGCTATCTGAGGAGGAAATATTTAACCTAATACCTAAAAGGTGAAGAAGGAGATTAAGATCACAGACAAAGGCCCTGAAATTGGCAGAAAATTGTAATGTTTAGGAAACATGAAGGTCAATGTGGCAGAAGCATAGGCCATGCTTGTTTCTTTAATGAATTTGAACAGATTCAAGATCATTTTTATAATAATATCATTATCCACAGATTTTGATACTAGCATATTTCTCATGTGTATGAAAAACAAAAATTTACACTAGAGATTACATATGATTAGGGTATCCCCACTGGGGTTTATTTTGCATGTGAACTTCATCTATCATACGTGTTTTAGCAATAAAAAAGTAGGGAGTAGAAAACCATTGCTCCAGTTACGTCTTCCATTTTCTGCCCATACTTTTAAAGCAGAGAGTTCTAACATTTTGTCTCAGTACTCCTTTATACTCTTAACAAATTATACTGAGAATCACTGAATATGTCTTCTATAATTATTTCTATGTCAAGTCCACTTTTCTACATAGAATGCAGTTTTTTTCTGCAACTGGGTATTTTAATATTTTTCTCTGGAATTTCAGTTTAAAGCCCTGCTGATCAAGTCAAAATCTCTTTTATAGTAAAAATTTCCTATACCTTTTTCTGATGGGCACTGTTTTTTATTTTTTGCCATCAAATTCAGTTATTTTTTTAATTTAAAATTTTATTTTTATTTTTATTTTACTTTATTTTATTTTTGAGATGGAGTCTTGCTCTTGTAGCTTAGGCTGGAGTGCAGTGACATGATCTCGGCTCACGGCAACCTCTGCCTCCTGGGTTCAAGCGATTCTCCTGCCTCAACCTCCCCAGTAGCTGGGATTACAGGCGCCCACCACCACGCCCGGCTAATTGTGTTTTTAGTAGAGACGGGGTTTCGCCATGTTGGCCAGGCTGGTCTTTAACTCCTGACCTCAGGTGATCCACCCTCCTCGGACCCCCAGAGTGTTGGGATTACAGGCGTGAGCCACTGCACTCAGCACAAATACAGTTATTTTATTCCACTGGATAACCTACTGTTTATTATCCACTTATCATGGTACTCAGTTGCAAGGAAAAATGAACTCTTAGCCTAAATTTCAGTTTAGTGTATATAAAATTCTACTTACTTGAAAGGGATACTATGGTTATTCTGTCTCTGGTCACTTGTTACCAAGTAAATCAACAGAATTGGTATCACAGTTTTTATGAGTCTCAGAAGGGTCTCCATTACTTTGAGACACACATGAGGAAAATCGTTTGTTACAGATAGATGTCATGTACTCACATGGCTGCCTTTGTACTTCAGAACAGGGAGTCACCGATTACCACTGATATTTGGGGTTAGAAATCAAATATCTGCAATCAGCTCTTTTCCTTGAATTTATATACAGCTTTATAGAACACTTTGTATTGCTTCTTCCCATGACTCAGAGTTACTTTTCATGGAGTAAGTGTTAAAACCATTGTCTTAATTCAAGAGTTTAGGATTTTCTTTTTCTTGTTTCCTCATCTGGGCTAATTTTTTTCTCTGGTCTGAACTTTTCTGGCTTCATTTCTAGGTAATGTCTTGCATTATATTTGACAACCACATTTTAGAGCTGTGCTCCTTGAATCTTTTCACTAATTCTAGTAGGAAAACTACTTTACAATTACAGTCCATGTACTTACTGACTTGCTTAAGAAGGAAGCCAAGCATGTTTGTGACCAGCAAGGCACTGGGAGAATTCCAAATAATATGAGCAGAGCAGCTGTTAGTGCTCATTTGAAATAGATCTATCCATGCATCTAATAAGAAATTCTTCTATATGTTTTCATTAACCAAAACCATTTTCTGCCTTTCCATAGACATGATGCTTTTCTAAATGAACTATTTCTACTAATACCACAAATGTGAATAAATCACAGTCATTTGTCTCAGTGATTTTTCAACGTAAACTCATTTTAGTAAAAAATATAATATTGAAAGACCCTTGACCTCATTCTCAATGTGCCATTCATGTCTTTATTTTTTTCCAACCATAATAGAGAAGTATATTTTAAATATGTTCATATCTGTATAACTCACATTACATAATAATAGTATTTTCCATATATAAAATAGAACCTGCAGAGTTCCACAGGACATTTGTAATAAAATTATTTTTACATCTGAGTTATTATTAGTAATTAGCCATTAGTCATATAAATGTTTATATGTCTTTTATCTATACTTATGTCTTTTTCATGGGTTTATCTTTATAGGGTAGCTTGTACTTGTGACTGAAGGGAAATAAGGAATGCTTAATCTTGTAGTACTTTTAGTATTTGTTGAACCAGATAGTAATTATGATATAGTGGACAGAACATGACATTTGAGGTTATCAAAGTTGGACTCGAACCCTGGTTTTCTCCTTTATAAATATCTTAGTGATGTGTTTTTTATTATATGATGTACTATTTTAATTGGCTTTTGAAGTTTTGAGTATTTATCACTTTGATAAAACATATTTTTTTATTTTAAGAAAGTATGTTTTTATGTTCTAGAGGCATATATATTCTTTTCATAAATTGTTGCAATGATAACCATCAAACAAAGCAACTATAACTTATTTCCTTAATCATGGATTTGCTTGCTCTTGGTTTATATGTATGTACATAAACATTTTTTATATATTTATAATTTTAGGTATTTTTCCTATGGACAAATGCATAATCTTAAAGTATACACATTTATGAGTACTGAAATATGTATACATCTGTGTAACCATCACACAAATGAAATTATAGAACATTTTAATCATGCCTTAAAATTTTATTTTTCCTCTCTTAACTGAAAAAGACTATGTTAGAGAAGTATTTTTTTAATCAAGAAATACTATGGAATCTTATGCAGTTCATCAAGACCTTTAACAATAGTTCAGGTGTGCCTTTTCACCATTGTTTTTCAGTCTTTTCTTCCATATGCCATAATCCTATTGAAAGAGACAAATGTAATCTACCCTTAAATTTACTTCCTTTTCTTAATGCTGTTCACTTTTTTTCAAAACACTAATTTTTTTCTGCTCTCATTTCTGCCAATCAAAATAATATTATTATTTCAAGACTTATCTCAAACTTCAGTTCCTACATAAAGACTTTCTGGATCCTTGATTGGCTTCTTCTATGAATGCCTGTAGACCTCATCCAAGACACTCTATTTCAAGTATAAAAAACAAAGTTATTAAAATGTCAATAAGTTTCTTCATTGGTGTTCTTCTGCCCAACCTGTACTTGTGGTTTTACAAGTGTCTTTCTGTTTTTTCTAAATTTGAGGCATTTCTTATGTCATTCTTGCCACCTGAAATTCTTGTTATTCCTCGTTGCCTTCGTCTAGCATTTCCAACTCATCCTTAAACATCCCTTTCCCTGGGAAAGACTTCTATGGCCCTCGATGGACCTAGACTGGTTTTTAGGTGTTCTTCCTATCATTCACTTAGCTCTTTCTGCTTACTTAGAATAAAGAACTTCATCTGAGCATTTGCCACATTACTTTGTACTTTCTGATTTATCTGGCTGTCTCCTCTACCATAATACAAGCTTTTCTAGGAAAAAAACATTGTCCAACTTACTGTTGATGCTTCAGAACCTGGTATAATTCTGGGTGCATTGCGTACACTATACATACATTGCATGTTGTATATGCACTCAGTGTGCATTTTTAAATAAAAGATTAATTACTATTTAATAAAGTGAGGATATGTTTGTATTCTTATTTGAGGCATATCTTTATTTGCTATATTGTATGTTCCTTGAAGTTAAGAATTTTCTTGTAATCTTAATTTATTATTAAGTTAACAGTACCTAACCTAGTGTTCAATTTATGTTTTTTGAATTTAATTTGTGTTCAAGGTACTTATTTAATGATAGTTGAAATGAAATTTAATGTATGGCAAATTATCTATCAAATAT
Source organism: Homo sapiens (assembly GCF_000001405.40). Classification (NCBI taxonomy): domain Eukaryota; kingdom Metazoa; phylum Chordata; class Mammalia; order Primates; family Hominidae; genus Homo; species Homo sapiens. The sequence continues at coordinate 41,439,765 of NC_000014.9, read as the reverse complement.
GCCTATTAATTTATTTATTCTTATTTAGTTTTTTACCACCCTCTTCACATATCCTGGACAGAATGTCAGATTAAATTAGTTTATCACTCACAGAATATAAAAGCTTTAATAAATCGTATATCCTGAAATCTACTTACTAATTAAACCATTCTAGAGTTTCAAAGTATCTGTATAATGATTCCATAGCAGAAATATCCAATGCATGGTGAGTGTGTTTATGTAAGTGTGTGTATGTGTGGATGGATGGATCGATAGATGATAGATATATAGATAGATAGATAGATAGATAGATATGTACACAGACGCACTATAAAAATTAGAACTACAAAACTCTATTATCATCATGAAACAGTAAGAGAAAAATGATTCTAGGAGAAAAATCCTCTGAAAAGAAATTACATAACAGCAATGCCACTCCTGAGAATCTTACAAATTCTAACAGTTATCATGTTCATTTTTGCTAGTGCCATCAACTAACAATGTAAAGCAAAAATATTCAGCCTTATTTCAACTTCTGGAAGAAAAGAAAAGCAAAAATCTTGATGCTAATATATTCCATAAGAACTTTTATCAAACAAGATCTTTTATGAAGATGGCAACTGTGCATCTATATTTATATATTATAAAAGATTTTACAAGCTATAGATAAATATATGTTTCGGTCGATAGGTAAGAACAGATAATTCCTGTTCACAGTCATGTATTAATCTTTCTCTGCAACTAGAAAACAATCTAGTAAAATATACATTCTGTGTTAACTTCCTCTGTTGAAAACCATCAACAATCTCCAAAATTGTTGTGATAGGATTCCTCTGGAAAGGTTTCTGCTGAGTGACTTGGTTTTTCATTTGGAAAAATAATAATCCACAAACTTTAAGCAAGGCTGCGTCACAATGCATTTGGTAAGTAACATGATCAAAATATTTGCCCTAGTAAGAGGCGTTTCTTTTTTGCCTCCCAGAACTGAGTCAGGGATCAGCGAACTCTATGATCGCTCCAGTATATTTAAAGCTGTTCTATCAAAAGAATAAGTAGCAAAGGTTGCTTAAAGGATCAGTATGGCTGCCTAGAATTCGATTGTGACATGTAAGAAGCCTTAACATGGCTTTTTTGCCACACTGAAATTATTTTCAATACCATTAAATGATGAATCTAACAAACAATGATAGAATTATCGGATTATTATATTGGTGAGTCATATGAATAATTGAAACCCTCAAACCTGATATAGATGTTTAGCTTTTTTTCTTGACTAATGGGAAATATTAGAGATGAAGTGAGTGTTGGGGCACGCAAGTGGACACATAAATTGATTATTAAATAAATTGGAATTTTTTATTGAGGTATGTTAAAAACACAGTTAAATTCATAGATTTTAAGTGCATAGTTTGATCAGCTTTCACAAATATAAACAGCCATGTAACCATAATCCAAAGTTCAAGACATAGAACATTTCTCTTATCTTGATATTCTCCTGTCTTGTTCTGGTGACCATTACACTCCAAGGACCCAAGCCATTATTTTCAGGACAATGAATTTCTTAAACTACATGTAAATTGAATCATACTAAATACTTGTGTGTGTGCCTGACTTATGTTGCACAACACAATGTTTTGAGATTTATACATTGTATTAGTCTGTTTTCATACTGCTATGAAGAACTCCCTGAAATTGGGTAATGTATAAACAAAAGAGGTTTAATTGACTCACCGTTATGCATGGCTGGGGGGCCTCAGGAAACTTTCAATCACGGTATAAGGCAAATGAAAAGCAAGGCATGTTTAACATGGCGGCAATAGAGAGAGCAAGTGGGTAAGTGCCACACTTTAAAACCCTCAGATCTCATGAGAACTCACACACTGTCATGAGAACAGCATGGGAACAACCCCCCCTGCCATGATCCAATCACCTCCCACCAGGTCCCTCCCTAACGTGGGGATTACAGTTTGAGATGAGATTTGGGTGGGGACACAGAGCCACGCTATATCATACGTATTGTTGCCGTATCAGAAATTTTATCTTTGTATGGAGAATATTATCCTATTATGTAAAGATAAAACCCTTTATTTAATCATTCTCTTTATTGTTATTTGGATTGGTTCTAGTTTTGGCTAATACAAATAATAATGATTTCAATGCTCTTATACAGATGTGTTTGTGGGAATGCTTTCATTTTCACTTAGTAAATAACTATGAGGAGAGTTTCTGGACAAATGAAGTAATCTGGAATTCAATTAGATTTTCTTAAAGTGTCACATACATTGAAACTCTTTAAGTAACCAGCTTTGTTATATGTTAATGTCTATATTGGAATCTGAGAGAATCACATATTTGTTGACGTTACTGAGGTAGTTTTATGGGGAAGCTTCTTCAGAGTGATTATAATTTAGAAATATTAGATAAAATTATAGCTCATGTCAATGATCAGAGAGTTGACTTTGGGTAAAGCCAAGTATTTATTTATAATAACATACAATTTGTTTCCAGATAGTGGTAGGTTAACATACTTAATATATACTATTTAGAAGCTCTGTGACATTGCTCAATCCACTTCGACTCTCTAAGCTTCAGTTTCATTTTTTTAAAAAAAATAATGATAACATCTACAGTGCAAGGTTATTATAGCATATGTAATGAGTATGCTATTTTCTCCTTTTCCAAGTTATAAGTTGTATTCTGGTGAAAAGGAATGACAGGGACAGCCCCTTTTAAACAAACTGCATGAAAGTTTATCAAATGACTTAAAAAGACAGGTGTGTCGTCAGTCACATTCCTCATGAAGGCTTGTGAGCCTGTTCTTCTGCATAACTTCAAAGTAACAGATCAAGTAATTTTACTTGGGAAGACAAGCAATAATATCTAATCCAATGGTCCAACTGAATGTTTGCTAATCACGTGCTATACCGAATATAGGGAAAAAGCACAGAGATATAAACTCTGTACTACAACAAAGCTATGATACACAGGTAATTACAGGTGCATATGAAATCATTTAAGCTTTGCAATTAAGTGCAAAGATTTAAGTACAGTTCATTTAAAGTGTAAATAATTAAAAAAAAAAAACACTAGGTTGGCTTTACTTAACTATAGAGGTTTATCCTGCTCTTAAATAAAAGTTTTATTTTGATAACGACTTAAATCTTTTTCCAATAGTCTTCTAATGAGAATGCTGTGCTGAAAGTACATGAATTTGAAATAGAAATTTTTATTTTATAAATTATACAGCTGGACTTATATATTGTTATTTACTTTAATACATGTTAAAAATAAAAATTGTTCCTTTTATTTCTTATTACCAGAAACTCCTTATGGGATTAGCAATTCCACAACTGCCTATATTTTTATTTAAAACCAGATATATAACAATAGTAAGAAATTCATACAGTGAGACAAAAATAAAAATTGATCTTATTTATTTTTTTTTTATTGTAAGGCGATTTTACTCTTTTGAGGTTACAAATCCAGCTTTCTGATTCCTTGCTCAAATTAATCTGATAGGAAAAAAAGCTATGCCGTGAAGATAACCTAGATATCATCACTCATGGTAGCTCTACCTGACTTCCGGGAGCTCTACCTGACTTCTGGGAGCTCAGAAAATCCTGTTAGCAAATGTATGCTTCAAATATTTTCTGTTTCCTCTTTCTAAATGAGGACTCGGAAACATTATGCCACTGGGGTGTTGAGACAATGTTTCCAATGCATTTTAGAGTCTTAAATCTGAAAACTTCATAGACAGAAAAATGATTTTGTATAACCACAGCTTTAATGCTTTTATTTCTAGGAGAAAGCACCAAATTATTATTCTTTCACCAATAACTAAATATTTTCTTTTACATTTTCAATGCATGGTGTCTGAGGACAAAGACGATTGAACACAATTAAAAAGGAAGCAGACTTTTCTGTTGGCAACCAAAAAGAATGGGTTCTTTTTCCTATTTATTTTTATTTAATCTATGAGACTGATGGCTCCCTAGTGAGATGATAATATGAAGTCAGCAATCAGGTCAATATTTTAATATCCCTTACATGTCATATTAGATTCCTACATGGCATTCCCTTGTGTCAGGTTGAAGACAAAATGACGAAAAGTCTTTTGGAGCATAATTTTTGAATGTTGATTCATTAATTCAGACATATCAGAGGCTCCAAGATGATTCAAAAATACAATCAACAAGAAAATATGTTTTCTAGAGATGTTAAGTGATACTACCTGGCACTGTGTTGGATATAGAATTATACAGCTATGTTTATTGCATTTGGTGATTATAGATATTACCAAAGGAACTTTCAGATGTTTGTCCAATATGACCAACTCGAACGTGGACAATAAACTTAATAAAAGGCTAGAAGATTTCTGATTCTCAACTTGCTTTGTTTTCATGAATGTTATCCTAATTTTATTCATGATTAATTACCATCAGCAACTTTTAGTGAACTAATGGCATTACAGGACCAGCCTTTGATGTGTCATTTTCATGTGCTTTTTTCCACTGTAACTGTCTAAGTTTCATCTTTCCAGGCAACTTAGCAAAACAAGTTGTTGATCTTTATGCATTATGAAATTGGATGATAAAAATGCCTAAATACAGGAGAATCTGATAGAATGTACTGCTTTATCATTGTTTTTGTGTTCTTCTTCTTTCAGGTGTTGATGACAACGTAAACCTTTGCCCTGTTACTAATCCAAGATTTAGAGTCAGCATGTAAAATTCAAAATAATTACAGTGATACATTTTTGATGTGAGTAGTATGTAATCTTTTACTCATGCTTGATTGTATTAAATCTTACAATGCATGCAGTCAAGAATGGCGTTGTGTAAGATACAGATTGTTGGCCATGATAAAAAATAAAATATTGTATTCCACTTTTTAAAAACGTGATTGCTTTCCAAAATTATCTAAGACTTAATCAAGAAGAGCTTAAAAATATTATATAAAATTTCCAATGCAAATAAGGTAATAGATATTATGGTGTTATTAAAGGAGGAATGTCTATAAAGTCCAAAAATCAAATTAGAATGTATTAATAATTACATATAGGAAAAAGAAGAATTCGTTATATTCTACAAAATACTTATAAGTACATAAAACTCTAGGTTAAGAAAAAATTAGATAAATTCATAGCTCTTTTAGTTTTATTATATTGAATAAATTGCATAGCAGACACTTTACTAAAAGGGAATGATATAGCAGTGTTTGAGTAAAACTGTTTGCATCATTGAATTATTGAATTATTGTTTAAGACAGAAATCACAGTGAAGGAAAGATGAAAATGGAGAAGATAAAAGATTTCTAGCGGGATTATCTGTTGATCAGTACACAAAAGAGAGAGCTGCTAGCACTATTTTATTTGAATGGGGTGTCATGATATGAAATGTGTATAGCTGAGATAATTTGGCAAATGTTACAATAAAACTTTGCAGCTGACTCTGATTTTACTGTAATAACATCAAACTTTATATTCTAACCATTTGCAAGGGCACATAATTTTTACAAATTATTACAAACTTAGCTGTTCATCTCTAAAGTCTAGATATCTCATGTGAGCAGTAGATGCAATGCTAATTTGTGGGACTGTTTAAAATCATACATTTATTGGTAAAGATTGTTCCTCTCTGAACAGCAATTAGATTGAGTAAAGAGTTAATGACCAAGCTACCATGATTTTATGGTATGTACATTTATTGTAGAAATAAGGAAATTTTAAAGTAAATTTCAAAAGATGTTGAATTCATTAGTAGATATATAAAATTAGACTTTAGGGATAGTATATCTAATTGACTATTTTTGAACTTTTAACACAATATTTTTAAAGTAGTCTTTTTTTATTTTAAAAGAAATTTTAAAGAGTGTAATTGGATTGTTAATTATTTCTTTAACTGAAAAAAATAGTAACTTTCTGCAACCCAAATTCAATCAAGCCTTTTATTTAAATAAAGTTATATTAATGTATAAAACTCAAATGCCCAAATCTTATCAGTCTATTACATGAAACCACTGTTTCACTGGCTTTTACTTAAAGCTATCATACTGCTTAGCTGCTAAAAATCGTCTTTTTTCCAAATTCATATTCTTTTTGGGAAGATTTCTGGGGCAATGTTTCTGAAATTTAGCATTCATCCACATCACCCGAAGAATGAAATTGCTGGATCCCATCCCCAGACTTTCAGTTTAGTAGGGGTGGGTTGGGTTCAAGAATTTATATTTCTAATGTTCCAAGTTGATGTTGATGCTGTTATTTCTGAGCCCATAGTTTGAAAACTATTACTTTTAGGGGTGCCTATAAACTCCACGACCATTTTGTCCTTTGCTCACTACATTGGCCAGCCAGCTGATTATAGTATTCTGAATTCAGTTCCATTCTTAGTTGACTGTTTCCGAGCAAAGGAACACTTAACCGAAGACTCTGCATCTGCGTCCCTTGAGCTGATGCTGCTAAACCCAGTACCACTTTGTCCTACTTACAAATGTACGTTCATTTTCTTAATTTTCCCCAACACAACTAAGGGCATCTCCAAATATAGCTTAAACTGAAAGCTTTATTGTCATGGGACAATACCTTCCTATCAGTTCATTGGCTACTAGAGAGAGTCAAGGACTACCTAAATTCGACACAGATTTCTCTGTCTCTTTGTGCGTATTTGTTGCACACAGAGGCTCAGATGTTCTCTACCTATGTACTATACCTAACTTTTGAAGTTACTCTTTGACCAAGGGAACTAATCTCTTCATATCTGTTATCACTAAACACCAATTCAGAATTCCTTTTTCTTTTCAGACGTAGACTCAGCACCAATCATAGTTATCACTTGAGTTATTTTAACCAGAAGCAACTTGCCTCCATATAAATAATTTGAAATCAATAGAGACAATGCATTAATAGGGCAGTCAACAAACTCATCTAACTAGTCCTCACTTTGCCTTAGCACTGACACTTTAAATTTTAAAATATTTATTACCATTTATAGGAGGGAATCATAAAAATCATGACTTGTTCAAAATAACATTTACTGCAGCAGGAAAAGCTAGTACAACATTTAATTTCAGGATCTATTTTATAGGTCAAAGTAATAGGTGTAATAAAAATATACAAATTGAAATATTACTAACTTTTTTTCAAAGTGATAATGCACTCTATCGCCACGGGAACTTGGTAATGATGATTATGACATAAAAGATCACTCTATTCTGCTTAATTTGGGATAACTAGTGCTAAATTTAGTGATCTGGTAGTTATATTAAATATTAGCCTGAGTATCCATTAAATAACAAAATTATTGAAATATGGAGAAATAAATCACTTGAAAGGAATCTAAAATTTCTCTGTAGAGAAAAACCTGTTTTTCTCTACACAGAAATGAAAATATATGGCAAAACTTGTGAAGAAATACTACAGATAATTCCCAACTAAAGACACAAATGTTCTTTATCTTCACAGATAAAAGTACTACAGATCTTAACAAGCCTAAAGCTTCTTTCCTGAGATACCTATTAACTGGTAGAAAATAGGCCTCTTCAAATAAATTCTGGTGATTATTTTAACACCAGCACTTCTTACTGTTTAAGTTAGAGAACTGCCTTTTACTGCTTTTTAAATTTTTGAAATAAATTTCCTAACATGATCACTGTCCAAGGAAATACTACATGCAGTGCAGTCCTGAGGTGCGTAAGAGACTGGGTAGGAAAGGACCTGAGAGAAGGCCAGAGGGCCGGAACGGGTTAAGGTGTGAAGTATAGCTTGAAATACATTGGGGATGTAAGAACAGCACCATTATGAAAAGTACTGTAAATAAATAAGGAGTTTTAGGTTATTTTAAGTACAATGGGAAGTTATTAGAGAGTAAAAGCATTAATCCAGGTATATATAATTTTTTAAAGTGACTCTAATGGCTTTCTAAATTAAATTAGAGCAGAAAGGCAATATTTATTTCACTCAAAATTATGTCCATTAAACAATTTCATTGCAGCTTTCGTGATGCATGACTCTAGGCACGTAAATTTTCTTTCCTATAAATGGTAATGAATATTTAAAGAAATACATTTTCTTGTGCCAGAGTCATGCATCAGGAAAGCTCTGATGAAACTGTTTAATGGACATAATTTTGAGTGAAATAAATATTGGACAAGAGAAAATACTTAATTATTGAAATTACTGCATTCAAATTTATTTCTAAAACATATATTTTATTATAACAAACATGGAAATATTTGAATATATCAGTATAAAATGTTCATGAATTATTGTCAATTATATTTGGGCCCATTAAACATTATATTACCTAATTAATCTAAAATAAAGAAAACAAAACCTGACATTTTTCTTTTCTCTTTTTAAAAATTGTATTTTATTTTAGATTCGAAGGTACATATGCAAGTATGTTACATGGTGGATATATTGCATAATGTTGGGGCTAGGGCTTCCAGTGTACGCATCATCCAAATACGAAAATTGTACCCAACAGGTAAGTTCCCAGCCCTTACTCCTTCCCACCTTCCCCGCTTTTGGAACCTCCAATATCTATTATTTCCATGTTTATGTCCATATGTACCCATTGTTTAGCTCCCACTTATAAGTGAGAATATGTAGTATTTGATTATCTGTTTCTTAGTTACTTAGGATAATGGCCTCCAGCTCCATCCATGTTGCTGCAAAGGAAATTATTTCATTCTTTTTCATGGCTACATAGTATTCTATGTCGTATATATACCAGGTTTTCTTTATCCAATCAATCACTGATGGACACTTAGGTTGTTTCCATGACTTTGCTATTGTGAATAGTGCTGCAATAAACATACAAGTGCAGGTGTCTTTTTATATATAATGATTTATTGTGGGGGGTAGATACTCAGTAGTGGAATTGCTAGTCCTATTTTGAGTTTTTTTGAGAAATCTCCATACTGTTTTCCAAACGGGTTAAACTAATTTACATTCCCACCAACTGTGTATAAGTGTTCCCTTTTCTTTGCATCCACACCAATATCTGTTGTTTTTTGACTTTTTAATAATAGTCATCTGACTTGTGTAAGATGATATGTCATTGTGTTACCAGCGGTGAATTGGGGCACGTCTGCAGCAACTTCAATTTTTACCTCCTCAGAAGAAAGAATTCGACTGAGGGGCATAAGGTAAAAGTAGACATTGAGGCAAGTTTTAGAGCAGGAGTGAAAACGTGTTAAAAAGCTTTAGAGGAGGAACAAAAGGAACGAAGGAAGGAAGGAACAAAAGGAACGTTAGGAAGAAGGCTAAGTAGGTGACTTGAAAGCCAAGTGCAGTGTTTGACCTTTTGACTTGGGGTTTTATGTGTTGGCATACTTCCAGGGAATTGCATCCCTTCTCCCCTGATTCTTCTCTTGGGGTGGGCTGTCCGCATGTGCAGTGGCCTGCCAGCACTTGGGAGTGGCTGCATGTACACTGTTTACTGGAGTTGTAAGCATGCTTACTTGAGGCATTCTTCCCTTACCAGCCAAATAGCCCTAGAAAATCATATACCAGTTAAAATCTACCATTTTGCCTCTTAGTGCACATGTGTGAGCCCACTCACCCAAATCCTGAGATCTTATCTGGAAAGTGCTGATCACAAGCTTCAGGTGTTTCTGTTTTTTGGGAGACTGCCTTTCCCTGGTGCTGGCTGTGACCAATTATTATTTCAAAGAGATAGTTAACAACTGCCTATCACCTGATGGTCGCCTAATATTCCCAATGTAGAGGGGGTTAGGGGGTGAGGGGAGCCCTCTACTGCTCTGCTCATGTCAGACTAGCTATCTATTGTAACAATTGCGGTTTTAATTTTGATGTATCTGATGATTAGTGATGTTGAGTATCTTTTCATATGTTTGTGGGCAGCTCATGTGTCTTCTTTTGAAAAAATATCTTTTTATGTCCTTTGCCCACTTCTTGATGGTTGTGTTTTTTCTTGTCGAGATATCTGAGTTTCTTGTAGATTTGGATATTATTAGTTCTTTGTCAAAGGCATAATTTGCAAATATTTTCTCCTATTCTTTAGGTTGTCTGTTGACTCTGTTATTTCTTTTGTTGTGTGGAAGGTTTTTAGGTAAATTAAGTCTCATTTGTCTATTTTTGTTTTAATTGCATTTGCTTTTGGGGTCTTAGTTCTAAGCTCTTTGCCTAGGTCAATACTCAGAAGAGTTTTCCTAGGTTTTCTTCTAGGATTTTAATAGTTTCAGGTTTTATGTTTAAGTCTTTAATCCATCTTCAGTTAATTTTTGTACATGATGAGAGACTGGAGTCCAGTTTCATTCTTCCGTGTAAAGAATTGGTTAGCCAACTTTCTCAGCACCATTTATTAAATAGGGTGTCCTTTTTACATTGTTAACTTTTGTTGACTTTGTCAAAGGTCAGTGGCTTGTGGGTATGTGACTTTACTTCACATTGACCTGTGTGTCTATTTTGGTAACAGTACCATGCTGTTTTATTTACTGTACCCTGTAGTATAATTTGAAGTCAGGTAATGTGATGCCTTCAGGTGTGCTCTTTTTGCTTAAGATTGCTTGGCTATTTGGGCTCTTTTTTGGTTCCATATAAACTTTAGGATTTTTTTTTCCAACTCTGTAAAAAATGACATTGATAATTTGATAAGAATTGTGTTAAATCTGTACATTGCTTTGGACAGTATGGTTATTTTAACTGTGAACCCCAAAAAATCTGAGTCAGATCTCAGTCAATTTAGGAAGTTTATTTTGCCAAAGTTAAGGATGTGTGCCCGTGACATGGATCAGGAGGTCCTGATGACATGTGCCTAAGGTGGTCAGAGAATAGCTCGGTTTTGTACATTTTAGGGAGACATGAGAAAGCAATCAACATATGTAAGATGAACATTGGTTTAGTCTGGAAAGGCAGGACAACTTGAAGCAAAGCCTGGACAACTCAAAGCGGGGAAGGGGGCTTCCAGGTCATAGGTAGATAAGACAAATGGTTATATTCCTTTGAGTTTCTGATTAGCCTCTTCAAAGGAGACAATCAGATATGCATTTATCTCAGGGAGCAGAGGGATGACTTTGAATAGAATGGAAGGCAGTTTTGCCCTAAAAGTTCCCACCTTGACTTTTCCCTTTAGCTTAGTGATTTGGGGGCTCCAACGTTTATTTTCCTTTCACTTAACTATAGTGATTATTTCTGTCTATGAGTATGGGATGTTTTTCCATTTCTTTGTGTCATCTATGATTTCTTTCATCAGTTTTTTTAACTCCACCACGTGGAGATCTTTTACCTCCTTGGTTAAATGTTCTGCTAGGTGTTTTGTTTTTTTGCGTAGCTGTCATAAATGAGATTGAGTTCTTGATTTGGTTCTCATCTTGCATATTATTGGTGTATTGGCTACTGATTTTTTTACATTGATTTTGTATTCTGAAACTTCACTGAAGTCGTTTATTAAGTCTAGAAATCTTCTGGAGGAATCTTTAGGGTTTTCTAGGCATGTAATCATGTCATCAGCGAACAAAGATAATTTGACTTCCTAGTTTCCAATTTGGATGCCTTTTATTTCTTTCTTTTGCCTGATTGGTCTGGCTAGGACTTCATTGCTATGTTAAATAGGAGTGGTGAGAATGACATCCTTGTCCTGTTCACATACTTAAGGGGAATGCTTTCAATTTTTTCCATTTATCCTGACTTTTTTTCTTTATTAACTTCTCTACACCTCCTTCAAATATCTAATAACTATTTATCTCTATCTATTTTTAAAATATCACTGCTAAAATCTAATGTGGAATAAATGAATTAATTTACCAATTCAAAAAACTATTATTGAACACATAGCTTATTTAATAGTCTCTGGAGGCCTTTGTAGACAAGAAAATCTGGAGAAGGACTTGTGGCTTTTATTTCATTTGGTCAAGGCTGATATCCTCATTCAGTCCACATACTCCATTTGAGGATGTGTTGTTCTGCTTTTCTGGGAAAACATTTTTAACACATAAATTGTATCCTCCTAAAATGTGACCAGTCAGAAATATCTCGTGCATGAGAAAGAAGGGCTTAAGGTCTAGTTATAAATTATAAAATCTATCTGTAGAGAATATTATTCAATCTCAAGCAGCAACCAAATAATGAAATAAAATCTTAAACATTATTTGACTTTTACTGTTTTTCCCACAAGAAGACCCTAGAACAAAGATTTACTTATTTATTTTGAGAAGGAGTTTCTGTCACCCAGGCTGGAGTGCATGTGGCAAAATCTCGGCTCACTGCAATCTCCAACTCTTGGATTCAAGAGCTTCTCATGCCTCCACTTCCGTAGTAGCTGGGATTACAGTTGCCTGCCACCAAGCCCAGCTAATTTTTGTATTTTTATTAGAGACAAGGTTTCACCATGTTGGTCAGGCTGGCCTCGAACTCCTGCACTGCCTTGGCTGCCCAAAGTGCTCAGATTACAGGCATGAGCCACCGTGCCTGGCCTGAAACAAGAATTTAGATGGAGGTAGATTATTTGACATCATTCCATCAAGCACTGGTAGTTGAACAAGATGTGAGATTAAGGAAGTACAATACAAGGCATGTTACTAAGCAGGCAGCCAGTATGTCCAACTTGGGTTAAATTCCACTGGGGCATGTGGGAGATACTTGTCCCACTGGTAAGCAAATATTCTGCTGTATTTATCCATCAATTTCTATTCATCATTGATTGAAGGATACTCCTGAAAGTGTTAATTCCTGGCAATTCCAGCCTGCTCTGTGTGAAAGTAAGCATGCTCTTGAAACTGCCTTTGCAAAATTATAACTGAGGAAATTATGTCAGTGAAAGACATCAGACCTAACCAACCCCATCTTTCTTCTAATCTCTAAACTGTCTTTGTTCATTCCTGGGTGTAGGCCAAACTAGCGAACTAGCATTGGGAAGGAATTTAGTTTATAGTTTAAACTCTGAAACAAAATGGATAATAGCTCTTTCCTGAACAACCCCTTCTTATCTTGGAACCAGTCTGCCTTTGTAAGACTAACAAATTATGGTTTAGGAGCCATGCAGGCTCTGGCTGCAAGAGTCTGATCCTCCCCAAATTTCTTCCGGGAATAACATCACTATTGTAAAACCTATGATCAGTGCTTGAGATATTTTGCAGACCCTGCATTCCAATGCAGCAGATGACACCACTGGCTCAACCAGTTCTGCAATCCCACCTGGGAACAGAAGTCAGCAAGAAGAACTCACTTCGATCCCTTATGATTTCATCTTCAACCCGACCAATCAGCACTCCCCACTTTCCGAACCCATATCTGCCAAATTATCCTTAAAAACTCTGATCCCTGAGGCCAGGTACCGTGGCTCACGCCCATAATCCCAGCACTTTGGGAGGTCGATGGGGGCAGATCATGAGATCAGGAGTTCTAGACCAGTCTGGCCAACATAGTGAAAACCCGTCTCTACAGGAAATACAAAAAATTAGCCAGGTGTGGTGGTGTACGCCTGTAATCCTAGCTACTCGGGATGCTAAGGCAGGAGAATCACGTGAACTCAGGAGGCAGAGGTTGTAGTGAGCCGAGATCGCACCATTGCACCACTCTAGCTGGGCATCAGTGTGAGACTCCATCTCAAAAAACAAACAAACAAACAAACAAAAAAAACCTCTGATCCCTGCATGCATGCTCAGGGAGACTGATTTGAGTAATAATAAAATTCCGGTCTCCTGCACAGTGGGCTCTGTGTGAATTACTCTTTCGCCATTGCAATTCCAGTTTTGATATATCAGTTCTGTCTAGACAGCCAGCAAGGTGAACCCATTGGGCGGTTACACTCTTGTGACCAGTGAAAACCCTTAGGCAGAGACAAGCAGGCTTATAGCAACATTGAGTGCTGAGAAGAAAATATCTGGGTCCCACAGAGCACCTACTATTATGTTATTTTAAAAAATAACATATTTACCTCAGGAGCTACAAGAAACTTACCATACCTTGGGTAAACTGAGGTCTAAGTCCTGTGTTACCTGGAGCTGTGCATCATAACTGTTAGAAAGCATGAGGAAGGAGAATACAGACACCAGGTGTCTATATACAAAGTGAGGGTAGAATTTGTAACTGAAGGCAGTTAAACTTCCAGTGCTTTACATCTTCATCTGCAAAATGGGGACAAGGTGTCTGTCACATAAGTGTTGGGAGAAATAAATGGAGATCATGGCTGGCATACAGCAAATTCTTATTTGTTAAGTTTTTTTTTTTTTGTAGAAAGAATAAAATTTATAAAAGTACTTAAGAAAACTGACTAAAAAATTTCTTATTTCTGAAAAGCATGTTATTTTATAATATACATGTCTCATGTCTCTCTATTCTCTCTGATCTAGAGAATTTTAAGGGTTCAATCTGAAATCTTTCCATCATTCTTTTAATACAAAAAGTATAAAAAGTAGTTTAGATACTGAGCTGTAAAATCCAAATTAATGTACTCTGATGAGTTTCTATTGTGCATACTGAAAAAATTTTGGAAGAATTAGTCATACAAAACTGTAAAGGCAAAATTATTTTGTCTAATTTCTTCATTTAAAGAGGAGGAATCTAAAGCCCAGAAGAGTTTAGACGTTACTTCAGGTAATATAGAAATTGAAATGGAGATATTATTTGTCTATTTTTAATTATTTTCTACTGTTGTTGATAATTTAGCAAAAAATAGGTTGCTATTATTAACACCTATTAAGATTTGGGTTCTAATGTTAGGAAAATTTAAGCCAGGCCCACCGAACTCCGTATATTCCTTTTGAGATCATATTTTGCTCAAGTTCTATACTCTTTAGGAGTGTAGCTCCTAGAGAGCAAAATTTTTAGACTTTATCCTAAGTGACAGTCAAGAAGAATTTCATCATATGTTATTTTCCTGCTTACCTTAGGCCCTGCAGAATCCCCATTCCCCTAGACATCCAGTACTCACTTATTCCCATATTTCTCTTTTATCTGCTGATCTGATTCAGTCACTCACCAAGCTGTCCCCTCCTCTGGTAAATGCCTCTTATTGTGCCTGTCAGACCTAGTAATATGTACAAAAATTTTCCCATACCCTTACTTCTTCTCTGAATGTTTGCTTATCCCTTTTCTCTAAATGAAGCCTAGATCTCCTCTGGAAACACTTCTTGCTCATTCAGTCATCTCACATAGCAATAGTTTTAACAAATTTTTCTCATGATCAATATACACAGGATCTTGAGGTGACTATAAGTGCCTCTCATGATTATTGTAGATCATTCTCTACTCACCTTTCTCAAAATCCTCTATTCTTTTAAAGTACCCTTGTGTATAACTTAGAAAGAAACAACCAACAATGAGCGAAACTCAGGAGAAACAACAGTGCAACAATAACAAAAACAGCAAAAACACAACAAATTTAGTACCTCTAATAACTTAAGAAAATAGAATTATCAGAAATGTATTATATTACATAAGATGTTCAAAAAGGTAAGGGGTAAACCTAGTAACAGTGAGCAGAAAACTAGTGTTTCTCCACATTGCTAGGATAATTTGGAAAAAAATTAAAAAGAGAAAACTAAACTTCTAAAGCTAAATAATTTAGAAAGTAAAATTAGACAGTACAGTGAATGGGCTAATTGATTGATTATGAATAGATAAACATATCATGTGGAAGCTTGAAGAAATAACTCCATGAAGAATCTCCTTGGAATGCAGAACAGAGAGAAAATCAAATCCAAAATATGGCAAGGAGCTTAATGGATTTGGTGGACAGAGTTAAATAGCCATTTTTCAAAAATAGAAAATACAGAGAATGGTTAAGGACATTCCAGAATTGATAAAATATGTGAATTCAATAATCAAGAGAGGATCAGCAGATCATTTTCCAAGAATAGAAAATTATACTGGAGGAAGACTTCTCAAGTGAAATAATAGAAGACATAAAAGTAATGGAATATCCTAAAAGTACAGATGGAAAATTCAACTTTGAATCAAGTCCCAAGCTATCTATCTTTCTCAAGCCAGATCAATGTTTTCCGAAATAAAAATTGAGTGTACTGTCCACAGATGCACAGCAAAAAGGTTTAAAGAATGTACTTCGGTAAGAAAGGAAATGAATCATAAGATACAGCTGAGGTCAAGAAGGAATGATAAACTGATTTCCTTTCTTTTCGCTATATACCCAGCAGTGGAATTGCTGGTTCATATGGTAGGTCAATATTTAGTTTCTTGAGGAACCTCCAAACTATTATCCATAGTGGTTGTACTAATTTACATTCCCAGCAACAATGTACCAGAGTACCCTTTTCTCCACATCCTCACCAGCATTTGTTATTGCCTGTCTTTTGGATCTAAGCCATTTTAACAAATAAGGAAAGAAATACAAACAAATTGAAATAAATATCAAGTTATAAAGCAATATTAAGAAATCTATTTTGTGGGCGTAATAAAACAAGGCACCAAAAAATATATTGAAGTGAAGTTAAAGATAACCACACCCTCCAATAAAGGATGAAGTTGATTAGATTTCACCTGTTTTAAGTAACTTTTGGAGAGGGGTGTGAGGCTAGTAACTGAAAATAAAGTTTGTTTAGTATTATTAGAAATTATGTTTGGCTTCTGGTAACAGAAATCCAAAATGACTGTCTTAAACATGTTAGAGATTTATTTTTTATCATAAGATAAAACAGGACGGCAGTCTAGGGCAAAGACGGCAGCTCCATGTTGTCATCAGAAATGTAGACTCTTTCTCTTGTTATATTTTGCACTAATTGTAAGTCAGTGATTGCACCGTCTCCCATCATGGCCAATTGCAAGACATCAAGACAATTAAGTAAGCTACTAAGAAGTGTCAAGGGCAAAATAGCCTTCCAGTTAACTCAGACCGCTTTGTAAAGAAAGCTTTTACAGAAGTCCTGACCCAGGCTGGATGTGGTGGCTCATGACTGTAATCCTAGCACTTTGGAGGCCAAGGCTGGTGGATCACTTGAGGTCAGGAGTTTGAGTACAACCTGGCCAACATAGTGAAGCCCCATCTCTACCAAAAATACAAAAAGTAGCCGGGTGCGGTGGCACATGCCTGTAATCCCAACTACTTGGGAGGGTGAGGCATGAGAATTGCTTGAACCCGGGAGGTAGAGGTAGCAGTGAGTAGAGACTGTGCCATTGCACTCCAGCCTGGGTGACAGAGCGAGACGCTGTCTCCAAAAAAGAAAAGAAAAGTCTTGACCTAGTATTTCCTCTTACATTCTATTGAATACATACTTAGGCTCAGTTGCTAAACTTTCACAGGAAATTGTAGAGTGGAATTCTCAATCAAATCAAAGATTTTTGAAACAGAGAATTTAAAAAAAAGAGTATTCAAAATTTATTAGGATCTGTTTCTGGTAAATAATAATAAAATATAAAAGACCATCACTAAAATATAGAATATAAGACACTAATTCTAAACCAGAAGAGGTGGAGAAAGGCACTTTATTGAAAACGTTATTCTTCCTTCGATGAATTACTTTCAAAATTTGGTTGAAAGTCAATTGACCAAAAATGTAAAGATTTAATTCAGGAGTGCCAATTTTATTCCATTGACCTGTGTATCTATTCTTACTCCAGTACCATACTATCCTGGTTAATGTAGATTCCCAGTAATTTTTGAAAATAAGGAGTGAAAGTCCTCCAACTTTATCCTTTTTTCAAGGTTGTTTTGACTTTTCTGAGTCCTTTGCTTCTCCATATACATTCTAGAATCAGATTGTCAATTTTGGAGAAAAACATCTGCAATGAATCTTTTGGGGAGAATTTTTATTGTAATAAAACGGAGTCTTCCAATTCATGAACATGGAATAATTCTCCTTTCCTTTAGATCCTTTTTATTTTTTCTAAGCAAAGTTTTTTTAGTTTTCAGGGTGAAAATGTTCATTTATTTTGTATATGGATCTTGTTTCCTACAGTCTTCCTAAGCATATTTATTAGCTCTAGTATGGGAGTATTTCCTACACCCAGGTTCATGTCATGTGAGAATAAAAATAATTTTAATTGGCCAGGCGCGGTGGCTCACACCTATATTCCCAGCACTATGGGAGGCTGAAGTAGGCAAATCACGAGGTCAGGAGTTCGAGACCAGCCTGACCAACACGGTGAAATCCTGTTTCTACTAAAAACAAAAAAATTAGCTGTGTGTGGTAGAGCGCGCCTGTAGCCCCAGCTACTCGGGAAGCTGAGGCAGGAGAATTGCTTGAACCTGGGAGGCGGAGGTTGCAGTGAGCCGAGATAGTGCCACTGCACTCCAGCTTGGGTGACAGAGGAGACTCTGTCTCAAAAATAAATAAATAAATAAATAAATAAATAAATAAATAAATAAATAAATAAATAAATAATTTTTTTAAAAAAATTTAATCCAGTCTGCATAACTTTTATTTGTTTTCTTGTCTGATAGCTCTGGAAAGAGTCCGCAGTACAATGCAGAATAAAAGTGGTAAAAGGGACATTCTTGCCTTGTTCTCAGTTTTAGGGAGGGCCCATTGATTGTTTCAGCATTAAACATGATGTAATATGTAGTTTTTGTAGATATCTTTTATCATAATGAAGAAATTCTTTTCTATTTCTAGTTTGTTGAGTCTCCTACTCCTGCCCACCCCCAACTAAAAGAAATTAAGAATGGGTAGGGCTCTGCTTCTCTGATCATATTATGACTGATATAAGCAGAAACCATCTTTTCCTACTTTTTTGTCTTTTAAGAGTGAGTAAAACTTCCCAGGAGCCACCAGGTACACTTTTCATGGTAATATCTCAAGATACTGGTTACAACTAATTGAGATCCACTCTCTGGGATGGATCAGTTTGGTTTGAAGCACATAGTCTCATGGATTAGTAAGGGTAAATAAACTCTCACCCAGGCCACTGTGACCTCAGGTTCTCTTTGTTTGTTTGCTGTCCTTATTTTCAGTTTTGTCCTAAATCTAATTTTACTTTGTAGTAACTTCCTTTTTTTAATGTTCCACTGTTGAGAGAGGAAAAAGAGAGAAAGGAGATGGAAAAGGACAGATAAAATAATAGGCATAGAGTGAGAAAAATAGGGTTATATATATATATATATATATATATATATATATATATATATTTTTTTTTTTTTTTTTTTTTTTTTTTTTTTTTTTTTTTGAGACGGAGTCTCGCTCTGTCGCCCAGGCTGGAGTGCAGTGGCGGGATCTCGGCTCACTGCAAGCTCCGCCTCCCGGGTTCACGCCATTCTCCTGCCTCAGCCTCCCAAGTAGCTGGGACTACAGGCGCCCGCCACTACGCCCGGCTAATTTTTTGTATTTTTAGTAGAGACGGGGTTTCACCGTTTTAGCCGGGATGGTCTCGATCTCCTGACCTCGTGATCCACCCGCCTCGGCCTCCCAAAGTGCTGGGATTACAGGCGTGAGCCACCGCGCCCGGCCGGGTTATATATATATTTTTAAATAAACAGCTTGCTACTTAAACAATTTTTGTTCTTGCAATTTACCTGCAAATACAGATATAATTGGGTGGAAGAAAGGAGTAGACAGAGAAGGTGTTCCTGATATTTGGCTTTTGATTTTTTGTCAAGTAAGTGGTAAAAATGTGGAGAATTAGGCTGAGTGAATGGAGGAACGACCTTTGAGAAACTGTAAAATAGTTTGGAAATAGGAGAGGAAACTTCACAAAATTATGGCTTGAAGAATACTTTGATAAACAAGTGAAATAATAAACCTGCTAAATTGTTGCCAAGTTCTTTGAGAATGTTCTAATATCCTGATAGAATTTTTCAAACTAATTTCTACAATTCCATTGATTTTAAAGGAGTATTCTGACCTAGAATCTTGTCTATTTCAGTTTTAGGATCAGTACCACAGACTGCTTGTTGAAAATAGTTGCTGTGAGTAATGTGGTGTCGAACATGATAAGGTTTCTGAAATTGCTAGATTCTATCGAGTTTTGTGCCCTAAGGCTAAGGACCGAAACCTTAAATTATTTTCAGAATTTGATCGGTATCAGTACAGGGCAGAAAGTACTGATGTGATGTGACCTCAGTGTTCTTGTCCTCAGAAAGAATTATAATTGCCATAGAAACTTCTGCTTGTGGTAGAATTGGAAGTTCATGCAGTAATCTAAACTACAGGCAGGCAAGGGTAAGTGAATCCGTTAAAAACTTAAATTATAATAGGAGTTAACAATGAACACTTTAAACCAGAGGTTAGAGATGAGCTTCCTTTTATTTATTTATTTGTATTTTTTTATTAAGCACTATTTTGACATAAGAATTGGAAAGAAATAAATCTTTGAGGGCACACGAATGTGCATCACCTTGACCATCTGTGCACTGTTTTTCTCAATCAAGGGTGAGGAAATACTTCCTGTCAGAATTTCAAATTCTGTTCTCTAGTCAATTAACAAGACTTCGGATTTTTATTATAATCGGGGTATGAGCCAGCTGGATTTCAGTGAGACTGTTGAAATGAAACCATTTAAAGACTGGATGTGGAGAAGCTATGCCAGTCAGCGAGGGATCTTTTCAATTTAGGTGACTTTGGCAAAAGCAACCTGAGTAGAATGCTGACATTTCTAAGGAAAATCACTTACAGTCTCTTCAAAAACTTACATTTGTGAATTTCCACTTTAGCACACATATAACTGTGAAATCATGTTAAAATAAGCTGTGCCATGATGCAGGTATTTTAATGGGATACCCAATGGAAGAATAAGATTTCTCTGTTTTTTTGTCATGACTTTTGATTAGCACGACTATAGATTAGGCAGAGCTCAAACATCCCACGTTACCACAACGGAAGAATCAGTATGTGCTTGGCTGCATTTAACCATGATACTCCCCTTTCAGAGGCATCTTGCTTTAAAACTAAGTGAGTTTCGTTACTGTTGCACTTTCTTGTTCTGGTTATACCCCTTCTTTTCTAAGTATTTTTCCGCAGTCAAGAAGAAACCCTAATGCTCTTTTTCTCTCTTGTGCTTTCACAAAGGCAAAGAACTTTTTAAAATAATGCCATGTTTCCTGGGACTACACAACTTCAAAGGACCAGTTACCGGTCTTTTCAAATTTTACTAAAATTCCATCACTATTATTGAGCAACTTTTGCAGTGGTGATAACACTCCACAAATTTATTTTATTGAATGACTATATATGTTTTTGAATGCCATAAATCTGGGCAGTATTGAGAATTTGCTATTCTATTTTTAGTTTCTTTTTTAAATTTTCTAAATAAGGACCATTTTAGGCCCCTTTTTTATATTCAAAGCATTATCAAGTGCTTTCTTTTCACCTGTAAAAACACAATTTTATTTTTACTTTTATGAGTTATTGCCTATGTAAATACAAGAAGAAAACTGGATTGAAAGCTGGATGCTAGGTGGTAGGGTAGGCTTCCTCTCTAGCTGTGGACGTTCTTTAGCCTCTCTCAGCCTAATGACATATATTTCAGCAGTTTCAGCAATATCATGGACTTTTGGAGTGGTTTTCAATTTCAGAATTTACCAGTTCACCAAAAGTGAAGTATAAATTTGTCATTTAAATTTTAATTTGAAAAAAGGGCAAAGTTAGTATCATTTACACAATTTATTATATTCATGAGATAAAAACAAACTTCTGAGAAGATTTTTAATATCATTAGGCACCATGATCATTTCTCTTGGGAGAAATGAATGTATAGTATGATATAACATAATGAATTTAAAAACTCAATAATATCTTTCTCGATAATATCTTTATAATGTACAATAAAAAGCTCATAGGACTATTTATTACAAGAATCCTTAATATAAATAGATGTTATTACTAAAAAGGGTAATTAAAGAAAATTACATTTTTCAAGGGTCCAACAACATGCAGTGTAGATAACTATATATGTTTTTTGCTTTTTATAGGAAGGAGAAAAAATGGATTTTTCTCTGACACTCTAGTCAATGTTCAATCTTTTCCTTTCAGTATGATATAGCTACCATTAGTCTAGAAACAACTAATTTGGTCTTAACATGCTCAATATAAAATGATAATATAGACGAGGGATCACCAAACTTTTTTTGTAAATGGCCAGATGGTAAATAGTTTAAGCTCTGCAGGCCATATTGTCTCTGTTATAACTATTTAATAGCCACTCAAGGGTGAAAGCAGCCAGAGACAAAATGAATGGGCATGGCTATGTTCCAATAAAGCTGTACTTACACACACACATACAAACACACACACACACACACACAATACAACAAGTCAGATTTGTCCTTGGGGCATAGTTTGCCCATCCCCAAATGCATGAATACACAAAATAATCATGATATTCTCATTTGGGAAAAAGTATAATGAGAAACATATAGTACTTACATGTCTATAGTAATGATCAAATCTTACCATATATGAATTATAAAGTACAAATTATTTGGCTAGCTTACCTGGCAAACCATAACTCCCTGGGAAGTTCTTCCTTATTGATTTTTCATGGTCATATCTTAAGTTAACTGTGTTATGAATGCTCTTTATGGGGACTGCCAAATTCCTAACCAGCATCCTGCTGATGCAATTGTTGTGGATATGGTGGTAGAGTGGGGCTGGGGGGACTGGGAGTGTTATTCTTGGTAACTTTAGGGACTAAACAACGACTGGCTTTTGCAAGCCAAGAAGGATTTTCTGTGAAAGTGATTCTTTGACAACTTAGTTTTGGGTTTATATATAACTAATAAAAGCTACAGATCTTGCCTAGATATAGGTTGAGTCTGAAGACTGTGGTTCTTTCCTTACGGACCATGCTCAGCTCCATCCCAGTCCCTCATCTCCTCTAAATTATTGGAATATCTTTGGAAACCATATGATTAAAGAGGCTCAGATGAGATGGCAACATCTTATTCCTGTCGTTGACTGCAGGCTTGTGTCCTTGTATGCCAAGATAACTGTCCTCTTCTTTCTTTTCTTAAATTTTATTTTATTTTTCCATAAGTTATTGGGGAACCAGTGGTATTTGGTTACATGAGTAAGTTCTTTAGTGGTGATTTGTGAGATCCTGGTGCACCCATCACCTGAGCAGTATACACTACACCACATTTATTGTATTTTTCCTTTGCCCCGCAACTCTTCCCCCCAAGTCCCCAAAGTCCACTGTATCATTCTTAAGCCTTTACATGCTCATAGCTTAGCTCCCACATATCAGTGAGAACATACAATGTTTGGCTTTCGATTCCTGAGTTACTTTACTTAGAATAATAATCTGCAATCTCATCCAGGTTATTGCAAATGCTGTTCATTCATTATTTTTTATGGCTGAGTAGTATTCCATCATATATATCTCACAATTTCTTTATTCACTCATTGATTGATGGACATTTGGGTTGACTCCACGATTTTGCAATTGTGAATTGTGCTACTATAAAGATGCATGTGCAAGTATCTTTTTTGAATAATGACTTCTTTTTCTCTGGGTAGATACTGTGGAGGAAAAGTTAAACATTAAATTTGAACTCAATTGAACATGGACACAAACAATGGTTACCAAGTCCTGGAACAGGTTGTGTGAGCCCCTTGAGGCTTCATCCAGCTCTGTTTCCAAGAAATCTCTACTTCAATCTATTCCTATACGTTAGTTATTGAAAAACAATAGAGAATCACAAAAAACAAGTTGACCTTTTTGTGTTCCTTGAGCTCAGTGGGGAAGGGCCCTCGTGACTGGGCCTCATGCCAAAAAACTTGTTACAAAAAGAGCTAGGGTCCCAGACTGTGCCAAAGCTTCATGAGACCTCTCCTCATCTCTGCACAGACGAGTGGCCGACTGTGGAGCCCAGGCTGTTCCTTCTGATTCTGGAGCCTAGGCTGTTGCTTCCCAATCTGGTGGTGAATCCTCCATAGTCTGGTGAGTGTAAATATCTTTTCCCTTCTCCCCTTCCTATTATAATTTGCTTATTATATCAGTCTGCTTATTGTATTAATCTGCTTATTATATCATCTGCTGATTATATCATTTTCTTATTATATCTGCTTTGCCATTACATGGGATAAAGGTTGTTTACCCTTAAACGAATTGTGTGTGCACCTTTTCCTCGCCCCACGCACATTTCTCACATGGAACAGATACCCAGTAGTAGGATTGCTGGATCAAATTGTAGTTGTATTTTTACTTCTTTAAGGACTCTCAACACTGTTTTCCATAGCAGCTGTACTAGTTTACATTCCCACCAGCAGTGTAGAAGTGTTCTATGATCGCTGCATCCATGCCAACATCTACTTTTTTTTTATTCTTTGATTATAGCCATTCTTGCAGGAGTAAGGTGGTATCACATTGTAGTTTTGATTTGCGTTTCCCTGATCATTAGCGATGTTGAGAATTTTTTCACATATTTGTTGGCCATTTGTATATCTTCTTTGGAGAACTGTCTATTCATGTCCTTAACCCTGTTCTATTCTTTCAAGGCTGCCATTAAGAAGCCTCTATCACACAGGCACATCTAGAGCTAAAGGAATAAGAAATATAATATTTATCCTTGGGAGTGATGTGTCCAGATAATAATCAGGGGTGTTTTGTTTTTTCTTTTTCTTTTTTGTTGTGGTGAATGGGTAGAATGATTAGCAGAGAATAAGTAGTCTCTGTCACAGTGTCTTAGTCTTTGTGAGTATGGCTTGATCTAGGAAGTATTTTAGAATACCAAAAAGACAGTTGTGATACATGTATTTTATATAATAGGAATAATGAAGAATAAAAAATAATAATACTTTTATTAACTGAAATTTGATTTGATTTTTGGTAGCTCAAAATCATACTCACTAATAGATACGTGGAAATAATTATTCCATGCTACCAGTTGCACAGACACGTACACTTGAACAAGCAATCAAACCGAAAGTAGGTTGGCTATCATGATATTTATTTATTTTTGTATACATTTAAGGCATACAAGCATAGTTTTATTACATGGATATATTGGGGTTTTAGTGTATGGGCTTTTAATGTAATCAGCACCTGGATAGTGTACGTTACATGCATTATGTAATTTCTCATCCCTCACCCCCTTTTTATCCTCCCACAGAATCTCCAACGACTGCTACTCCACACTATTTTGTTTTGTTTTTAAGTTAAGACAAGGTGCTGTGCCATGCTAGGATATGTACCACAATGGAAGTGTTTCTTCTTTCAGTCTGAGGTGAGCTTAGTACACAGGTATAAAACAAGCTTTGATTATTTGTAGATGATTGTTTTGACTCTGTTCCCATATAAAAAGGAATGCACAATTGACACTCAAGTTCTTTCCACTCAACATTGCTGAAATTGTTTTACTCAGAAAGATTTTTAAGTCAGGGATAATCCAATGTTGTCTCAGCTTAAACAAAATATGCATAATATATTCATGTAGAGAGTGTATCACTTTGGGCAACATTATTTTACAACAATTCTGGATATACTTTTGGGAAATATACACCAAGGAATGTAAATAAGATGTCTTATTATAAATAAACACACTACTTAATAAACTTATGAAATATTTAAAAATATGTAACAAGATGTATTTTGGTTTGGAATAGTTGATGTGTAGCCCTTCTCTCCCAATTGTCAGAAAACTAAAACGTTAGCTTTCTGTTCAGCTTAAACCTGCTTCTAGAAAACAATATATCATTATTTCAAAGTTTGCCAGACTTTGAGGTAAGCAGACAGTTCTGCAGACAACCAAGTCTGCCCTCAGTTTCAATAATTCACACTAAAGACTCACAGATCTCACAGAAAACTGTTATATTTATGGCCATGTTTATTATAGGAAAAGATACATTAAAATTAGCCAAGGGAAGAAACACAGAGCACAGAGTCTGGGAAAGTTCCAAACAGAAAGCTTTCTTTTTCTTCAGGACACGTTATGCTCCAGTATTAGTATGTGACAATTAGCATAGTACATTGCCAATCCAGGAAGCTCATACAAGCTTCAGTCTTCAGAGTTTCTATTGTGACTTCATTACTTAAGTATGATTGATTGATTATATTGTTCACATGATTGAACTCAGTCTCCCTATCCCTCCCTTCCCAGAGGTGGAATGATATAGCATGACCAAAAAGCCCAATCTAATTCTTTCCTTTGGTTAGTCTTTCTGGCATGGCCAGTCCCTACTCTAAGACTATCATGTGTGGCCAGCCCCACCCTGAGTCACTTTGTTAACATCAACTATTAGGTATAGTGTGAGCAACTCATCAGAAATAATATGGAAACTCTTAGCACTGGGGAAATTCCAATGCTTTAGACTTTACCTCCTGGGAGCCAGAAAAAAATGTCAGATGTCTCTTTGAGTGAGGCCAAATTTCTTTCGATACAATTATCAATACATAATGACCTGCATGCAAATGACTTATGCTGATTTGTTATTTAAAAACAAATAGATAACAAAAACAAATATTTGTTTTCTCTATTAACAAAGACTCATACAAATTGGTTTCAATATGGTTATAAATAACGTTTAAGAAATAAGGATGATGAGAATCTGTTTTACACCTTTTGAAATTTCTCACTGCTTCATTTAAGCAATGTTCCTGCCATGTTTGATACTACACTACAGCTAGAAGATGCAGTTTCTGAGTGCTGACAGTAATCATAGTCTTTATTGAACTTGTGTAGCTTGGGCTATAAATATTATTTCTAGCCACAGTGGCCAAGGTCCAGACAGTTTTGGTATAATGATAAAAAAATAAGCAATTTTTCCTCAGGGAGTTTATAATAAAGTATTGCAATCATCTGTGTGGAAAAAAATGGTAACTAAAAACATCCTGGTCCTCAGAGTATTTAATCAGTAATAGTGGGTTACTACTTGTCCAAGAAAATAGCAGGCATTCTATTTGGATAGTATATGCAGGAAAGAAAGAAATTGATGTTTTTAAGGAATAGGAGGTCACCATTTCAGAGTTGGTCAAAATTATTGGGGATATGTATGAAGAGCATGCTATCAATAATTGGAGATTGCCTTATAGGACTTCTTAGGATACTTTCATAGATTTAAGTTTTTAAGTCACTGAATATTAAGAATGTTAATGTCTCACAGTCAAATATGTATTGAAAATTACAGCAATTAAACCATTTTCTAAATATATTGGAAGAGACCCTTTTAGTAGTCAGCGTAGATCTAGGCCTCTGAAACTTCACTTGTCAGATTTGTGCTTCAAACAATAGATATTTCAAAATCTCCCTTCTGTGCCAAAACTGACAATATGCCCAAATTTCCCCTTCCCATGAAACTTTTTATTATATTTTAAAAGTTTTTCCAAATAGAATTTGTAAATGTCCTTAAAATTTAACATACAATGTTAAAAGTATTTCAAATATTTTAAAACTAGAGAAAGGAGATTATACTTTCTCTATAATTGATAAGACAATTATACTTATCAGAGATTATAGAGACAGCATTTTGCAATAATTGTTTGAAATTTTTTTTTCTGTTAACAAATGAAATGTTGCAGATAAATCTAAGACCCACGTAAACATCCTTTTTACCTCCTTCCTTGCTAGACTTAAGCACTATCCTGAAGTTTTTGGATATCATTCCATTCATATATTTGCATTCTAGTGTTATTAAATATAGCCAATCCTTATTATTTTCACAGATTACATATTTGTGAATTTGTCCTCTTGCTGAAATGTATTTGTAATGTCACAATCGATACACACTAGACCTTCATGGTCACTCATAGAATTGCACAGAAGTACAAGAAATTTTAATTACCCAATGTGTCTGTTTCTAGTTGAGGCTGAACAAGGTGACACTCATTCTACTTTCTTTATTTGGTTCTCATACTATAAATATGTGTCATTTTTACAGTTTATTTGTTAGCACATTTTTTTGCATTTTTGGTCTTTTTTTTTTTTTGATGGAGTCTTGCTCAGTCACTCAGGCTGGAGTGTAGTGGCGCAATCTTGGCTCACTGCAACCTCTACCCCACCGGGTTCAAGCGATTCTCCTGTCTCAGCCTCCCGAGTAGCTGGGACTACAGGCATGTGCCACCAGGCCCGGCTAATTTTTGTACTTTTAGTAGAGACAGGGTTTCACCATGTTGGACAGAATGGTCTTGATCTCTTGACTTCGTGATCCACCCACCTCAGCCTCCCCAAATCCTGGGATTACAGGTGTGAGCCACCGTGCCTGGTCGAAAATGGCTCTTAAGCATAGTACTGGACAGACTGGCTGTCTAGTTTATTTTAAGCACAAGAAGGCTGTGATGTGCCTTATAAAGAAAACACATGTTTTACATAAGCTTTGTTCAGGCATGAGCTGAACAAAGTGCAGTTGGCCATGAGTTCAATATTAATGATTCAAAAATATGCTATATCCAGACAAAGGAAGAGGAAACTCATTGACTATACAGGAGACCACATCAGAAATTGCTCAGATAACATTTACAGCATGTCATAAAGTTACGGAAATACTAAAATGTGGCTAGATTTATGAATTCATGAGATAACAATCAATTGTTAAAAGTATAGTTGACAGCATTGACTTATGAGGCTGAAAGACAAAAAAAAAAAAAAAAAAAAAAGTATGGTCACATTACCCAGAGTCAAGACAATGTTAAAACCTTCTAAGTTAACGCTGGGTGGCTCACTCATTTCAAAAGACGACATGGCCTAAAAGATGTGAAACATGCAGGTGAGGCAGTTTCTGCAGTACAGGTAGTACTGCCATGAACATAATTTTACATATCTCCTTACACACATGTATGAGAAATTGTCCAGGATAGACATTGTTAAAGCAAACTAAATATGGCTTGAGAAGAACTTCGTACTTCTATATTTGAGTCTTTGTGGATGAACTGTAACCTGGCTTAACAGTCAGACAACATTGACAACCTAACTTAGGAGTATGCACCTGTAACAATAGCTAAGTCTTGGCCAATCCCAGTGGCCATACTTCAACCGTTCATACACTGCTGAGTGTTCAAACTGTGTTCCAATAAGTCATATGCTGAGCTGTAGCCAACCCTGTCATTCTGTATTTCACTTCCAATTTCTGTATGTCATTTCCCTTTTTTTGTCTATAAATCTTCTGCACTGGAGTCTATGTTAATCTGCTGTGATTATGGGGGCTACCTAATTCGCTAATTGTTCACTGCTTAATTAAACTCCTTTAAATTTAATTCAGCTGAAGTTTTTCTTTTATCAAAATACATCAAATTCCTGGGTCATAGAATACAACCATGCTCCACTTAAGAAGTTGTATCAATCATCCATTACCATAATAATGATATATAACAAATCACTGCAAAGTTTAGTGGCATGTAGGAGAAGACATTTGCTTTCCACTTATATGTCTGCAACTTGGTTGATGTTCAGGTAATCATTTGGCTGGGCTTTGCTTTAAACTGCTGATTGGGTCAAAGTTATCCTCATGTGTCTTTTATCCTTGTTGAATCAGCAGCTACCTAAGGCATGTTCTTCTTATGATAAAAGGAAGGAACACTAGAGGGAAGCACATTGAAAGTCTCTGCTCATGTCTCATTTTGTCTCATTTGCTAACATCTTATTGACTACAGAAATTCACTGGTCAAGCTCAATACCAAATTCATCGTGAAAGATACTCTTTCTATGGAGGTTAGAAGGAAAGGGGGAAATAATATTTGCTGAAGAATAATCAAAGCTAACACATTACTTAGCCCCATGTTTCTATTCGAGTGTTTTAACAACTTATATTTTTAATATATAATTTATAACATAAAGCATATGAATTCCTTTTTATTATGTCTGTGCAAATGATAAACATCAGTGTTTTTAGTTTTTACTCACATTTTATTATTTGTATGTTATTTTAGACTTGCATATTTTCATGCAAAGTGTGAGAGTGCTTCCTTGGCAGCATTGCAAAAGACTTCTCTCCTACATCTGGATAGCAGACAGAGCTGAATATTAATTTTAGGAGTGGCAGAATTTCAAAGAAACCTTATTATTTAGCCCAAGAAAGTCAGAGACCTGACAGGGGAGTAGTCAGATGTGAGATTTGGGGTAGGGATACTAGGTATATGTACTTCAGAAACTTTAACCTCCAGGTTCCTAGAGTTAGGGGAAATCTCAGCATAATTGCATAATTTAACTAGAGGATTTCTGTTCCTATTAAAGGTAGAAAAGGGAAATATACTAAAGAAACTGTAGGTACTAGCTAACATTACCAGCAGAAACTGGGAGAACAAGCCCGGTAATATATCTCAAGTGGCCTGGATCAAACAAACAAAAAACACTTCCTCCTAGATGAGAGAAAATTTGTTCCCCATTTGAGTTATGTTGAGATTTTTTCCTATATTGTGAGTTAAACATACGAGGGCTCCTTTCTGTGACATAGTATTTAACAGCTCGGCAAAGGACCCGGGAGAATGTTGTAATACACTAACTGGATGGATCCTGGAGGCTGTATAAAAGTGACAGCACATATTAAACGATGCCTGATCTGCTATGCCCTTTGGAGAAAGAGAAAAAGCTCAGAGAAGTCTGTGTGCTAGAATAGGTGTACTCTATAGGACCAAAATATCCCAAGCTCATTATATTCTATAGGAAAGCTGGAGTGCATTCCATTTACCAAGTCAGTGAGAAATGCCCTTATAAGAGAGGCACAAGCATTATTGAGAAGCTAAGAGGTTGTCATCTTCTGTAGGCTGTGGTAATGAAAAGAAATGCTGTAAAACAGTTGGGCATTCTAGTAACAACAGAGATAACAGGATTTCAGAATTACTGAGCCAAGTAGAAGCATTTAACTGTCAGAACAATGTGGATGTAATTATAAGTAGCATATATGAATGGCAGCAAGGAAGCCCTGACTTACAGGGATCTTTGGAACTTACATAGAGAATATAATATTCATAGAGCCAAAGTATTTTGGAAGCCAGCAATAATATCTGTATCAATATATCTCAATCTAGCTATATCATCTATATCTATATATTTGTACCTTTCTACATCTCTATATATTTATCTATCTTCAGACATACACATATATATATATGTACACAAATATGTTCTTGATCTTTTCTATATAGGTACATAGGAATATGTACCTGTATACCTTCATATGCCTAGAACACATGTACATTTAAACGTGTGTATATGCACACAAGCACATACAGAAACACAAGGCTTATCTCAGCCTTCTGCTCATCTATTATTGATCATTTCTATATATCTAGATTATGTATTTTCTATATATATTGATTCTGTATATATATTCTATATATACAGAAAATATCAAGAATGGATGAGCAAAAGGTTGAGCCAAGCCTTCCCAAGCTAACTCACATTTCACATGTCCCTTACCCACTTTTCTGAACTGAACCTGTTCTCAGAAACCAGTGACTGAAGGAGAGGTTGAGACCTCAGGCGGAAAGACCATGGGGCACCACGGGGAGCATTTGCAGTAGTGAGTCCCCGACTTCCTGCAAAGGGCCATGTGATTATTCTATTGGTTAGTCATATGCTTTTAAAAAAGGGAAAACATGTAGGTTTGTGAAGGCTATTTGATTCAAGGTGTCTTAGTCTGTTCCAGCTGCTGAAACAAAATACCAGAGACTAGGTGGCTTATAAACAACATAAATTTATTTCTCACAGTTTTAGGGGTGAAAAGTCTAAGATCAACCAGCCAGAAGATATGTCGTCTGCTAAGGGACCACTTCCTCATAGACAGCCCTCTCTTCACTGTAATCTTCCATGGCAATTGGGTCATGGGCCTCTCTGAGGCCTCTTTTACAAGGGCACTAATCCTGCCCATGAGAGTTTCACCCTCATGATGTAATCACTCCACCTCCTAACATCATCACTTTGGGGGGTGGGAATAGCTTATGAATTTGGGGTGGGGGGACACAAACATTCAATATATAGCATAAAATTTGATTTGATGTAGATACACAGATAATTAAAGTATAATCATAGCTCCATGTTAAGCTGGGGGTGTTTAGGGGCCAGGTAATATTCAGAATCCTAAATGAGGTCCATCTCAAAAGATGCTTGGCTTCTTTGGCACCTATAGTAAATTCTTTTATGTTGTCTCTGCATCCATTTTTTAATACAAGTTCAAAAGTGCTTCTCATATCAGAAGCAGGGCTCAGTCACCCTTGACAGTTTATAGTTCTACACCCCACCCATGGTTCAAGCCAGTGGCCAGAGATAAGAACTTAGGGGCATCTGTCTCACCTAGCAGACTGAGCAATCGGATTTCCATTTCCTTTAAAAGGACTTTAAGTTTCGGGCATTTGCCCACAAATTTAAAGTGACCACTGCCTTATTCCCTTATGTATACTGCTAGTTGCTATGTGCATGTGCTCATGAGTGCTCTCTCTCTCTCCTTCTGCCTGCTGACTCTTCATTCCTGCTTTGATGACCCAGAAATGGAGGACTGCCCTCCCAGCTAATTATACCCTCCTTCCTGAGGATCTGTAAGTAAACAACTCTGAACTTATTTCCTTTAGTGGTGATGTATTAAATTTGCTCCTTCCATCTGAACTACGTGCTACCCCAGGCCAGGTTTCCCAGAATTCTCCCCCTGTCCTTTGTTACTGAGAACACCAAGGAGAACATTGTACCCTCGCAGCAACAAAGCAATGGTCATGCAGGTATAAACTGAACATGGGTGAGATAAGAACTGCAAGGGCATCTATCAGTATAAACACATTTTCTGCATGAGGGATCCCCTGGTCTCATATAGGACATCTAGGAATTAGGATATGCACTAGGTAAAAGAAGTATTCCATGAAAGGCACACTATAAACACCCATGCCCAGTTCCCCTTTGTTTTCTGTTAGGGCAGGTTGCTACCTGCTCTGGTACTGGAACCTTAATTTACCTGCAGGCTCTCCATATAGTACCCCAGTTGTCATTCCCCACTGTCAACGTGGTGTAATTATAATGGACATAGCATTTGACAGAACCTTCACATTGGTTCTTCAGCCTTTAGGGTAAGTACTATTTAATAGAAAGGGTCAAGTAGAAACCCTGATGCTTCCCACTATAGCAGCAGTGGACCCCTTGCCATGGGAAGCATTGGTCCTACCATATACTGCATCATTCTGAAATTGCCATCAAATAGAGAATTAGAGCAGCATCTTTTAGGTGTAGTCTAGGTACCAGTTTGGAGATGACACCCTCTGAGAATGGGCTATTATCCTTCAGGGTACAGTATCCATCTTAAATGATGCTCACTATATGCTGTTGTGTTACTAAGTAGAATATATGGATCTTAAAATGAGATCATAGAAGTAGAAGTACCTCTAGTCACCATTGCTTTCAGAAACCAAAAGAAGTGATTTATACTCCTACTCCTTAGGATCAATGGCCATAGTGATGCTGGCTCTCAAACGGATAACACTTTTCCCGGGGAAAGTGAGGAAAAGTAAGAATCCTGCATAACATAGAGCTCAAGCTTCCATCTGTTCATGTGGGTCTAGAACAATAAACACAGAAAGGAGCTACTACACTGTGGAAGTAATTGACTTTAGTCATGATGAGAAGTAAGCTCAGGTAATTTATGGGGTCTTATTTTTGTAGCTTCTTTCTCCACTTATCTGTAAATGGACAAATGTGGGAAAATGATTTGATAGGGGCATGGTACCCAGGAACTCAGACCTTTGAGTTATAAGAGACTGGGTCACTCCTTAGGAAATATCACATACAGATATAGCACAAGGTACTAAGAGAAGACAGAAGGAATCTAGAATGGTTGGTAGAAGAAGGTGATGACAAGTACCACTTATGGCCTCAGAATCAACTGCAGCATTAGGGGTCTAAAGTTTTTGTCTCCCTAACCTTCCTCTTATGAGGAAAAAAATCAACACCATGGATTTTGAATTCCTGGTTGAGATATTTAATTTAATCTCAAGTGTAGGACAGGGAAAAACAAGCTAGAGCCCATGAGCCAAATCCCACCCAACATCTGCTTTTGTAAATATAGGCTTATTGGGACATAGCCACACCCATATTTACCTGTTGTCTTTGGCTGCCTTTGCACTGAAATGATAGAGTTAAGAAGTCAGGACAGAGACCTTACCACTTATAAAGCCCTTTACAAAAAAATGTTGGCTGACTAGGTTAGTACAGAAAAGCACTCTTTCCTGGACAGATTTCCACAATTTTGTCTAATCCATATTGTATCTTTTTTTTTTTTTTTTTTTTTTTTTTACCAATTATTCCTCCCCTTGAGGGTTCCAGTTAATAGTTTTCTTATGAAGTTCAAGAATTTATCCATGTTTTCTGTACTGGCATTAAAGTCTAAGATCTCCATCTTCTGCAAAGAAAGAGGTGGATGGAAGAGTTGGAAAGCAAGACTTTTAGTTAATGGAGATGATATAACCTCTCCTCTCCCACCCACTTTCTGTCCTCTAGCAGCAATAGGTTCATTACTGCTCTAATGGCAGTTTGTTCTTGGTTTTGCACACCAGGACATTTTCTTTATTATGGGCTCAAGCACACACAGAGACATACATACAGACACACACACACACACACACACACACACAGAGACATACACATACCAGTGTGCATAGGCATGCATATACATTTCCCTCAGCATTTCTGTGTGATGCTAATGTAATATTTACTGTGATCCTAATTCACCAGTAACAAAACGACAGCTTTGTGATTTATAGTTCAAAGGTTGTCACATATCAATTTTGTGATAACTCACAAAATCTACCATATCTTTTTTTTTTGATACCTGATCTTCCAAGTAAATGGAGATTGTATGTGTTCTTAAAATTCACAATTAATACTGGTATTATTTTTGATCTATTGGCAATTAATAACATGTTCTGATAGATACCTGTAACAGGATTTTCAGTAGTCTTCATGAGGCAATAATTGAGTTTGAATGTACCTCAGTATAATTAACCTTTCACAATTCCCTGTGTGTGTGTGTGTTTTTTTTAACAGTACTGTAGTCTGGAACATGTTCTTGGATGAAATATCTAGAGCCATGATTTTTCATCCAATCCGGGACATGGATTCCAAGAATGGTAGGTGGCTAGACATAAGGAAGAGATGGAAGGGAAACATTCAAAATGCTAATCTAGAGTACTGGCACCCAGTATGGATTGAGGATTGGCTTCAACAAAAATTTGCCAAATAACAAATGCCATCAAGTTCTATTCCTAGGCAAGTTTCTTCAGTATTTATATTATAGATAAATATATTTATTTGTGAGGGCCAAGCAAACTTTTCATTATTAATAATTTCAGTTGGCATTTAAATAAATAACAAATATTAAGTTCTTCAATAGAAGACCTAGAATTAATGTCTTCTAAATTTTCACAAAGATGAGCCCATGTGTGTGTCTAAACAAAATAAATACAACTTAAAGAAGAAAACACACATAGTACGTCAACCAAATCTACCTTTGCTAGAGCTCTGATCCTAAACAAAAGAGAA
Organism: Homo sapiens; assembly: GCF_000001405.40. NCBI lineage: Eukaryota > Metazoa > Chordata > Mammalia > Primates > Hominidae > Homo > Homo sapiens. The sequence continues at coordinate 41,404,489 of NC_000014.9, read as the reverse complement.
GAGATCCTTGTCTGAGGAGAGGAGCAGGCTAAGAGAGATAAAGGAAGTCCATAGAAATTGAATTCAGACAATGTTTTTTCCTGATTGCCAGAGAGCTTGTACTCCTAAATTCCTTAAGATAGGGAGATGAATGCTCTAAAATGCAAGGATTTTTTGGCAGGCACATACTGTTCATCATCTCAGGAATGTCTATGCATCACAGACTTCATATTTAGAGCTTGACTGCTAAACTCTGTAGAATACTTTCTTAGAAGTCTTTATGAGGCAATGCTTGTAATGTATTAATAGTACCTAAAGTTTTGTTAGCTCTTTGATCTCTTTTTTTTCTACACCTCAAATTTTTTCTTTACTAAATAGAGAACAATTAATACCTTATTTGCTCAGAGAGGAAGAGAGAAAGAAAGGAGATAACATCCTGAAACTCATAATTCAGATGAATTGCTATGGATTGATGGGAAAATATAATTTAAAATAACACATTCTCCCAGCCTAGAAATTCTCTCCACAAAGGTAAAAAGAAGGAAAATTCTTTCACTATGGAATAATATCAAATCAGAATGCGAAGCTCATCACAGGCAATCTGCTAAGAAATTGCAAAGACAGAAAGAAATCTCACCGTTTTATATAGCCAAGCAGATATATAACATCTTTCCAAGATAAGCAGTAACTAGTCCTCAAGTAAGAGGACTTGACAGCATCATTTGCTCACATAGTTCATCCTCACTTTACCTGGTAATTAGGGGGACCATCCATGCTAGCTAGTTACCTTTTTCTTCTGGAGAAACAATCTTCTCATTTCTTTATGACAGGAGGTAGTTTTAAAACTTGGAATAAAGGCACTGAAGTCAGGCTCTTGCCTTCCCACAGAAAGTTGGAGATTGGGCTGCTATCTTCCTTGATTTTTACATGTCAAAGAGATGGCTCTCAGATCTTTGAGAAAGACATCCCTGGGTCATAAAGCTGACAAATGACCTATCTAGTTTTGAAAAGGATTTATATACATTTCAAAGAGAAAAGAAAGTAAAGGTTCTAACAAAAAAAAAAAAAAAAAAAAAAAAAGGTCTTCTCTTACTATTATCTGGAAGCTGGAAGAATGAAGCTTTTTCTTTTTAATTTTTATTTGTCCTTAGAGGTTGACACAAAGTTTTTATACAAAACAAAATAAACTATTGAACATTTTCCTTCCCACCTTCCTTCCTCCCTTGTTTTCTTCGTTGTTTTCTAAATTTCTGTTTTAGTTGATAAAATTGAGTCTCTTGTTTTTGCAATCTACCATTTAAAATATTTTTCTTACTCAAAATTTGATAACATTTCTTTTAGATAATGTGAAAAGTATAAGGAAAAGGTACAAAAATAAAATCACATAGTGCACTTTTTTTTACATTATTTTATTATAGACATTTCCCTAACATATTATAGTATTTTATTTTTCCCCATCTTTGATTTAGAAGGTATATATTCTATTTTTATCTATTAGTAATTACTTATAATTAATAAGAACATATTTAGACTTAAATTTTTTAATTACCTATATACAATTGAAACCATATTTATTCTCCAAAAAGTGTAGCATACTTATTCCTTTCTCATTTACTTCTTCCATTTAACTTTCCTATTAAATCTAAATTCAATTATTAGATGTAGAATAATTTTATTAATTTGACTGCAGTTTTTCTCAAAGAAGTTGCTCTGATATTTACATTAAATTTTAGCAATGATTAATTTAGAATTTGCATTAGTCTTGCAATTTTTGTAATAGATTTTTTTTCTTAATCACTGCCATTATTAAATCCTGATTTCTCCATTCCTGAACACTTACCATGATTAATAGCCTGCATTTTTTTAATCCAAAAGTCTGTGTGGGAAGTTTAATTCTGAAATATGGTAGTATGTAAATATATTTTTCTGTGCTTGAACTGGAAGAACAATTTACTGAAGTTTGAATTTTTGATTCTCACATGAAACTCTGAGAAAGGCAGTAGTCAACAATCCAGACTTTGAAGACAGAGAACGTAATCTGAACTCTGCCATTGACAAACTATAACTTTAGAAAACAGGCGGGGGCGTGGTGGCTCATGCCTCTGACCCCAGCACTTTGGGAGGCTGAGGTGGGTGGATCACCTGAGGTCAGGAGTTTGAGACCAGCCTGGCCAACATGTCCAAACTCTATCTCTACTAAAAATACAAAAATTAGCCAGGCATGATGGTGCATGCCTGTAATCTCAACTACTGGGGAGGCTGAGGCAGGAGAATCTCTTGAACCTGGCGGGGAGGGGGTTGCAGTGAGTCGAGATCGCGCCACTGCAATCCAGCCTGGGTGACAGAGCGAGACTCCATCTCAAAAGAAAAACGAAAACATACTCTACATTTGAACAGCAGTTATTCACGGGCTAAATGTTATTTTCATTATTATTCACTCCTCTTTGTTGTGACCTTTATACTTATTGAGAAGCAGCATGGCAAAATGCTTTTATGTTTCGATTGGTTGCTCTCGCTCTTTATGGAATAATTTCTTAATCCTTAAAATTCAAAATTCACACCAGGATTTGCTGAGATATCAATTAGTTTTATACTATTTTACTATTCATAGTTTACCAATAAATATTTTCAATATGCAAAACAATTTTTCTTGCTTTAATAATTATTTTCAGAATAACTTGAAACTTCCAAGTCTAGTAGCATAGAAGACATGCCCTCTTATCTTGTTGTGATCACAAGTCAAATGTTTTATACAATCTTTTCCTACAAGTTTACATTAGGTTTATTACATAAGAAAGAGCTTTTTCTAATTATTCACGTAAACTTAAATTTACGTAGACTTTTCCTGTTGATCATTCTTATCAAGACTAGTCTTAGCCCGCACTGGGACAAGAGTTTGTAAATTCTGATCAGTTCTTTTAAGCTTCATTGAAAGAGAAAAGGAGAGATCAGAGTTGTCATTATTTGAATTTGTTTGTTCAGTGTTAAGAGCAACCATAGCAGATAAGGAATGTGGCCTAAGCAAAGGCAGCCGTGGCACTTAGTTTGATACTGAAGTAAAAACAAAAATATTCTTCCCTAGTTTCAAGTGGTAGCCAGCAGCTATCTGGGGTGAGGTGCTGCTCCATTTTTTTTTTTTTTTTTTTTTTTGAGCCAGAATCTCACTCTGTCACCCAGGCTGGAGTGCAGTGGCACAATCTCAGCTCATTGCAGCCTCCACCTCCCGGGTTCAAGCGATTCTCCTGCCTCAGCCTCCCAAGTAGCTGGGATTACAGGCATGTGCCACCACGCCCAGCTAATTTTGTTTGTATTTTTAGTAGAGACGGGGTTTCTCCATGTTTGGTCATGCTGGTCTCGAACTTCCGACCTCAGGTAATCCACCCGCCTTGGCCTCCAAAAGTGTTGGGATTACAGGTGTGAGCCACCGTGCCTGGCCGGTGCTCCCTTTTGCCTGGCAGTTTCTTCTTCATCAGATGTGAGCAATAGTATTGACAGTGGCATGTCTGTCTAAACCAGAATAGGCCAAGGATAAAAAATGTAGTGGCCTTTAACCTAGTGCACTTTAGAAAGTTACTGGTTCTAAGCAGACGCATCTCCTGACTGTCCTACATTCTGTCTTGGCTTCTCAGGTTAGGGAAGATTACTGAAATTCTGTTTCTTTCATTTACACATAGACAAACTGTTCCTTCATAGGAAGTTTTGCTTAAGTCACCCTTTCTTCATTATGATCAATTCTGAGAAAAAAAAAATTAAATTAAAAAGTATATATTTATATATAAATTATAAATTATATATATAATTATATATATACACACACACATAATTATTTGATTTCTCCAGCAAAAGACTGCTACTTATCTCTGTTTTCCAGTATGGATGAACATATTTCCTAATTTTAATATGCAGTTGGTATCCCAGTAGGACTATTAGGGGAAGAGACTAATACATTTGTACAAATTACCATTATACTCAGAAATTCACTTCCAAAAATATCAGAATAAATGGTGGTTCTTTTTCTTTTATCTTTAAAAATGTCCTTGTGAAATTGCTTTATGCTAGGGAACACACATAACACATACCTGTGATAATTTTAGTTGAAGTAAAAGTCAGTAAGTAATTTCAACAATCAGCTAATTAACCCACAAAGTTGAACTTAAACCGTCAGCTAATTATCCTGTGGGCCTGAGCCATAGCCATTGAGAAAGGATCTGGAGGACACAGGTTGAAAGACAAGGCACTCTCCTGCTACAGTGAGCACTTTGGCTGGGTGTGGGGGTGGAGTCTGCTATTCTTTGAGTGATAAAAATACAGTTAAGCAACCTGAAGAATAATTGATAATTATGACTTTGCCTATAAATATATTTATTTAAAATCAGGTGTTATTATTTTCTATCGTCATGTCCTCTCTTATGAATCTCCTGTGCACATTCTTTACCATTTTTCCCCACTGGGTTTATTGTTACTTTTTTTTTTTCTTTTCTTTATTGATATCTAGGCATCCTGAAAATTGATCTCATTGCTAAGGGTTGCTAATATATTTTTTATACTGTTGCTTATCTGTTGACATTTTTATAGTCTTTTCTTTACAAAGGTTTTTAATTTTGTTGTAGCTGAATTTATCTATTGCCTCCATTATGGTGTGTGTGTGTGTGTGTGTGTGTGTGTGTGTGTGTGTGTTTTCTTTATTAGGAAAGACTTCTCTACCTCAGGGTCATAAAGTTGTTCTCCAAATATATATATTTTTAATTTTTTACAACATCTTGTTTTTCACATTTAGGTTTTTGACCCAACTGATATTTGTTGTGTGTAGGAGGTAGCAATCTAGACTTGTTTTTTTTTACCTAAGGAAAATTAACTTTTGAAAACATGATATCATATATATATATATATTTCCCCACAAATGATACCAGCCTGTCCTATACCAAGTAGCCATAAATACTAGGGTCTGTGTTAGAATTTGGTCAGTATCAAGGGTGAGGGATTTTTGCTAAATCGACCTAGCACTCTTGCTGAAACTGGACTAAGTGGGCTAAGGACAGAGCCCAAAGTCAAGGCCTCAAAAAGAACACTAAGGAGAGCCTGACTCTAATTTGGTCAAGAAGAGTCTTAGTTGCTAATTCTTATTTGGATCTCGAAACTTGAAAATTAATTTAACCTTTACATCGTTGAATCTTTCTATAAACACCATTACTTACAACATTTAAATTTATTCTCCTATATCTAAACATTAATTATTTCAACAAATATGTATTGCACATGTACTATTTTCTAGGCACAGTCTTTACTGTGGGAATAAAGATGTGAACAAAGACTGAAAGGTTTTTTTTTGTTTTTTTTTTGTCGAAAGTGAACAAGTAAACACATAAATACATAAAATGATTTTAAGTGATGAATTAGTGCTATCAATGTTTTAAAAAGTAAAGTAAAATGATAGAGTTCTTAGGGAAGATCTTTCCAAGAAATTGATACTTGATCAGAGTTCTGAATAAACTTGGAAAAGAAGATAATTCCATTAGTAGGAAAGAGCACAGTGGAAGACTTTGGGGCAAGAAAGGGACTGTCATGACTCAGAGACACAGAATGAGTGGTGAGGCTAAAGTTAGGAAGTGAGTGGGTAAGAGGGAGCATGGTAAAATATGTGTCAGGGAATCAGGGACTCGGGTGGAGGGTTGAGTTTGGATTTCGGCTAAACTGTCTTTTAGGGGAACTTGGGGAGTTTTGGATGGCAGAAGGGTAAGATCTATCTATTGTATTATTTATAAAAAGTGACTCTGGCTCTTTGGTGGGAAATAAATAACAGCTTGAAAAGGAGATAAAAAAAGTGATTTTCAAACAAAGGATGAATTATCACAAGCCAAAATATTTCATTTTCAATAGAAATTGTAAGTATTTTCTTAACATTTCTAAGCTTTGCCTGCACATGTTATATCATCAATCCATTAATTCTTTTACTTACTCATCCATTTATTTATCAAAAAATATCAAAGAGCTATTCTGGTTTTGCACTTCGCTGGATGCTAGAAAACCAACAGAAAGCGAGACATGTGATTTAGATGGAGAAAATATCAAATAAATAGCTATATTTAAAATGAAAAGAACCATAGTGATGGAAATCAGCAAATGGTACTGAACAAATGCTGAAAGAAAGTGTAGGTTACTAAACTTTTATTTTTACTAACTTCTGTGTATTCTCATCAAGCTCCTTCACACTCTCAGTTAGGATGTACCTTAATTTTTTTCCCATTCCATCTTTGGCCATCCAAATACCCTGGGCATGGTGCCTTTATTTCACATTGCCTGCTTTGTTGACTTCAATCTGTTTGGGCTTGCTCCAGCTGTTTGGGGGACTTTGGAACATTATTAAAGGGACTTAACTATCTGTTTGCAGTTTATTAGAGAGAAAGTGTTAATTTGCTTCTTAGCATTTTTAATTAGCTCTGGAAACCTCTAAGCATCTTTGCAGTAATTCCAGGGAAATTCAGGCTTTGTAGTGAGTAGAATGATCTTCTAATTACCCTTTCAGACATTCTGGCCTGATCTGCCTCTTATGGTAAAAAGAGAGAGAGAAAAAAAGAAATTGTGTTATCTGCTGCCTGTTTGCATTTACAGCTTTGTTTTACTCCACTCAGGAGTAAATTCCTTTGACAGTAAGTATTATGTCATCCCAACAGAGGCCTACATTCATCTGATCTTGAAGACTTGGCTTTGTAAAAAGTGATTGTTTTTGAAATACTGACCATTATTTATTAGTTACTTTATACATACTCCAAGTTTAAGAGCTTATTGTTTGTAAATTTGAGCAAAACAGAAGTTCTATAGCAGCAAATGAATTGTTAACTTAATCAAATCTTAAATATAGTAATTCTAATTTATAATCTTTATTTAGAGTCATTTATGTTAAAGAATAGCAATTTAGTGTATAATCATGATTCTAATACTTACATGTACTGAACACATGTGAAAGATTTTATTAAACTTACTTATTAAGAAGGAACCTGGTAATAGTTTTCAAGTAGTACAAAGGAGAATTCAAAGATTGGAGAGACATATTGGGAATAAGGAACTCTAAAATGCACTTACAGATAGATGCAAAACAAATATTTACAGGACAATAATCAGTTACATTCCACAGGATGCAATTAATTTGAATCTCTATAATCAAGAATAATTGGTATTACTATTCATTTGCTATCTGGAGTTTTAAAATAGCTTAAGACAATAAAATAAAGAGTTGAAAAAGTAAGCTGGACACTGTACAGATTATATTAGTCTTATTTTATACATTTCAAAGTCTTTCATAACCCACCTGTCCCCACCTTGTGATTATAATAATTCTATAGAAATACAACTCAATCACAAAAGGAGGTGTTTCACATTGGGCTTGGCCTGATTAATTTTATAAGTGTAGAAAGAGTATTACTTTACTATATGAAGCCTTCTTCAATTTGCTTTGAAAAATCTAGAGCCATACGGTATTGAACCTTTACCAAGATCACAAAACTAACTCCTGTCTGGAAATTTTCTTTTGGAATCTCAGGTAAGACTTTTAAAAGTCTGTATTATTTGATATCCAGAGACTATGAGACTAAGCCCAGGACTCTGCACAGCATTTCAACTGCTTATACATTTGGGGAAATTAGTCTCTTCTGGAGTCTATAAGTTAAGTCAACCAAGTAACTTAAAAGTGGCTTATCATACCTGATTAAAGGAGCATCATTTACAAATATGGCACACCAGGTCAAACCTATCTTGTATAGTGTATCAAATTATATTCTAGAGAAATGAAAACAGATTCTTACTGAAACTATATTAATAACAATATTGCATGAAAAGAAAAAACTGCTTAGGGATTTTATATATATATATATTTTTTATTATACTTTAAGTTCTAGGGGACATGTGCACAACGTGCAGGTTTGTTACATATGTATACATGTGCCATGTTGTTGTGCTGCACCCATTAACTCATCATTTACATTAGGTATATCTCCTAATGCTATCCCTCTCCCCTGCCCCCACCCCACAACAGGCCCTGGTGTGTGATGTTCCCCTTCCTGTGTCCAAGTGTTCTCACTGTTCAGTTCCCACCTATGAGTGAGAACATGCGGTGTTTGGTTTTTTGTCCTTGTGATAGTTTGCTGAGAATGATGGTTTCCAGCTTCATCCATGTCCCTACAAAGGACAGGAACTCATCATTTTTTATGGCTGCATAGTATTCCATGGTGTATATGTGCCACATTTTCTTAATCCAGTCTATCATTTTTGGACATTTGGGTTGGTTCCAAGTCTTTGCTATTTTGAGTAGTGCCACAATAAACATACTTTTATGCATGTGTCTTTATAGCAGCATGATTTATATTCCTTGGGTATATACCCAGTAATGGGATGGCTGGGTCAAATGGTATTTCTAGTTCTAGATCCCTGAGGAATCGCCACACTGTCTTCCACAATGGTTGAACTAGTTTACAGTCCCACCAACTGTGTAAAAGTGTTCCTATTTCTCCACATCCTCTCCAGCACCTGTTGTTTCCTGACTTTTTAATGATCACCATTCTAACTGGTGTGAGATGATATCTCATTGTGGTTTTGATTTGCATTTCTCTGATGGCCAGTGATGATGAGCATTTTTTCATGTGTCTGTTTGGTGCATAAATGTCTTCTTTTGAGAAGTGTCTGTTCATAATTGGGGGGAATCAGCGAGAATCAAATTTAGTTTTAAAATGTTTCATCATAGTTCATAAAAGCAGAATCTACTAAATTTTTGTAAATTAAAGAATAGCTTAAGAAGAAACAGAAAGGACTTCCTTAAATACCTGGAAAAGACAACACTAAAACCACATCAAAAAATTTCAAAGAAATTACAGTAAAATTTCCCTGATCAGTTCATTTAGTCCCATATAATTAGTTCATATTCCTCTTGATCTTTGATTAGCAATGGCATGAAACTTCCTGCTGTCTGAATTTTTTTAAAAATCTGGAAATCCTGACTTAACATACGGGTGTGTTCTGAATGTCATGTCATCTAAGCAAAGTCTGCTCAAAGACTGTGCCCAGGAATCTCTTTTTTGAAATGTCAATAGTTTAAAGTACTGTGTGAAATTATTTTCCATGAGGTTCCGAGATTGTTCTTTGTTGAAGAAACAAGCTCTCACCTATAGCAGAGTCTTTTAAAAAGCATTAGAATAAAATAAAAACTATTTTGGAGAACAGAAATATAATGATAATTGTTATTTTATTATTGAAAATTTTCAAATGTAAAAAATCTGTTGAAAGTTCATAATAAGAATAATGCAGCTGACACTGAAATTTTTCCCTCCAGTATAATACAAAACAAAGAGATAAAAAAGCCATTCAAATAAAATGTACCAAAAAGGTACATTTTCCAAAAATGTACTTAGAATAGCTGAATAGATTGGTAGATTGGTTTTAGTCAGCAAGGCACAATAATAAGATATTTGATTAGTATTATGCTTTATTATCTAAGTTGACATCAAATCATATCTGTGATGAGATATCCTAGATTTCATAATATATAAACTATATGCATATGTGTGTATATATTTTCAAAGTAAATCAACTTTCAAACCAGGTTTTAAAAATTAAAACCGATAGGGAAAATTGAATTTAAATGATTATAGTATAGCATACATGTTGATTAATCTTTGTTTTATGTAAGAAGACCTCTCAAATTCAGAAAGTGGAACAAAACATGAAAATGAAGGTGGTTACTACTTAATATAGTTACAGTGATATTTAATGTATTTACTTCTTCTATGGGCCTTTAGAAAAATATGTCAATATACTAAAGAAAATATTTTCAGCTAACCAATTGGGCAAACCTAGAAAACTTATTTCACTTCTTTAAACCTCAATTTCCTCAACTGTAAATGCAAAATTATTGCAATTATACATCTGCTATGAAGATTAAATAAATCACGCATTTAAAACTGTTAGCCCAGAACCTAGCAAGTGTAAGTACTCTCTAAATAGTATTTGTTTCTTTTCCTGTTGGTTGTTATATAATAAGTAGGTAACACAGACTCACTCTGATACTTTTCTGGCTATTTTTAAAACAGAAATGCTCAATTTGTACCAATTCAAATACATCATGTAAAAACAAAAAAAAAACTCCAGTGGTTGATAGTCACATATGGGAAATGATTGTCAAAGACATAACTGGTGGTCAAAAAAAGAGAATATTTGTTAACAATTATGATGATTACCACTGAGCCCATTTATTGAATATATGATTCTTAACTTTTCAATCTGGATTTTTTTTTTCAGAACTTCATGTTTCTATTTGAATTCAATAAATCAGTTGTTTTCACCAATTTGATTATGAGATTTTTGCAAGCCCAGATAAAAATAACTTGCCTAAACTTACATAGTTTTGCTAAGCTACCTCAGTCAAGACAAAACTTTAGAGATTATCTTTCAGTATTTTATATAGAGAAGAATTATCTCATGAAGCTTAAAAAAAGAAATACAAGAAAAAGCAATATTGAGAAAGGCTATCTTAAGAAATTTCCAGGGACAGAGGCCAGTATTTATCTGGACTGACTGCTGATATCACGTATCAAATTAGTTTCCTTGTTTGCTGGTGCACTGGAGTGCAGATATTGGAATATTTCCAAATTCCACACAAAATATATCCTTGTATGTATAACTACATTTAATAATGTTAGAGTACTTTTCCCAAATTTCCCATCTCATTTTATACTGAATTTGGTGCGATACAGTCTTTTGCGACATGTTTGTAACCTCTAGTTACTGCCTGAACTCTGCCTCCTGCCGGATCAGCAGCAGCATTAGATTCTCATAGAAGCTGGAACGCTATTGTGAACTGCGCATGTGAGGGATCTAGGTTGCATGTTCCTTATGAGAATCTAACTACCGCATGACAATCTGAGATGAAACAGTTTCATCCCCAAACCATCCCCCAACCACCCCATCTCATGGAAAAACTGTCTTTTACAAAATTGGTCCCTGGTGCCCAAAGACTGGGGACCACTGACCTAGAAGCTGGAAAAGCTGAGGACACCAATTCTTCCCTAGAGTCCCAACAAGGAACGCAGCCCTGCTGACACCTACTGAAACACATTTTGTACTTCTGATTTACAAAAGTATACAGTGATAAATTAGTGGTGTTTAAATCATGAAGTTTGTGGTAACTTATTACAATAGCCACTTATTACAATGACTGTAATTAACACAATTATTTGTTGCTTAAAGATGGGATACATTGTGAGAAATGCATTAGGCAATTTCATTGTTGTACAAACTTCATAGAGTACTTACACAAACCTAGATGGTAGTGCCTACTACCCACCTAGGCTATATAGTATTGCTTGTTGCTCCTAGGCTACAAACCTGTACAGCATATTACTACTAAATACTATAGGCAATTGTAATACAATGGTCAGTACTTCTATATCTAAACATATCTGCCATTAAAAGGGTACAATAAAAATATAATATTATAATCTTATGGTACCAACATTGTATATGCTGTCTGTTGTTGACTGAAATGTCCTTGTGCAGTGAATGGCTTTACAATCTTCTTCATAGAACTATTTACAGTTTCATTCTGCAAGTATTTAACGTGTTATTTCCACCCTTGTGTTTAATATAGTCTTTGCTATATTAAGAATTATGAATTTCCTACCAGTTAGTACTGAGCTATATTTGTTTCTCAATATATTATTGAGCTATATTTTTTCTTATCCTTTCCTATTTCTATATGGTAATTTAAGGCATTTTAAAAAATGAACACAATATTAGATTAATAAGGGAATCACTTTCTAATTGTATAAGAATCAGAATTATTTATATGCATTTTCTTTCTACATTTTGAGTAAAGCAGGGCCATTTTCACCTCAGGAGCCTGGGATTCGCGTCACGGCAGGGGTCATTTATGCTTTCCTTTGGGAATTTAGCTCTGCTCTTGATAAATTTACTTCTAAAGTATTGCCTTTACTTTGCAGTTTGTCTAGGATGCAGTGCAGGGAGAAAGCATGATGAAGTCATAGTAATAATAGCACCTTAACAATGTAAGAAGTTAACCATAGGGTAACCAGCAAGAAAAGACAAGCTGGCTGTGTTCTCAGGGGTCTCGTGAATGTCATCATCTTATTGAACTTCCTAAGATAAAGGGCTCTGGCCGTAATCATCGTCAGCTGAATAAATGTAGCTACTCTATATTTCTGTAAAGAAAGGACTTCAAGGAAGCAGTGCTTAGAGGATAGCTGGAATCTATGGTACTATCTTTAGGCTGAAATATATATGGCAAGATCACTGATTTTAATTAGATTTTATGGTTTTGGGGATGACTAGGATGAAAAATTCTGAAGACTAAGCAACAAACAAAAACAACCCCTCTTAAACTAAACCTAGATATAACCACAGATAAAACATCTTAAACTGTTAAGTTGAGAATGGGTTGTCTGCTTAGGTTTAGATTCAAATTTACCAGCCCCATACATCTGATTTTAAAACTAAATAACACATCTTTTGTTACCAAAGGTATACAGAACAGAGTTGTCTGGTTTCAGTAGAATCTTGATGTTTTGAGACCCTTCTGTCTTTTCAAGGTGACTTTGCCTTACCAGTTTTATGATAATTCTATGTTTTAACTCTCAGAGCAATTGGAGCAATTTTACTCCCCTTATTTTAATTTTTTTGAAGGAAATATGGTAGCTCCCATATAAAAATTGCAAGTTTCTTTTGGGACACTAACACAGTAGCGTAATGAGTCCAGTTATTTCTTTTCATCTAGTGTTTGAAACCAGCAGAAGTTCGCTTGACCACCAAATGACATTACATCTCAGGTATGTTTTTTTACCGAGGAATGGTTCAGGGAAGATTGGGTGGCAAGTAAATAAGATAGAATCTAAAAAGTAAGCTGCTGGTATTCAAATCTTATATATCCAATTACTGAGGAAATACCTCAGCACCTCTCCAAACTGTGCTTCTCTTTAATTCCCACACCATGACATGGTTCAGGCCTCATTATTTCTTATGTAGATTAATACATCAACCTTCTAATTGGCATTCCCTGTCATCAGTCTTATCCCTCCTCCAATCTACCTTCCTTATGGTTACCATAGTAATCTTTCCTCAGCAGAAAATGCAATGATATCACTTCTTTGCTAAAAATTCTCCAATGCCTCTCACAGCCTGCAATATAAAGTCCAGATTCTGAACCATGTTATATAATTCCTGTCTCACATAATAACCCTGATGGGTCACTGTATAACCTCATTATACATGATTCTTGAAATTATTTAACTACTCTCAGTTTCTGGAAAGTATATTGCTTTCTTTTGCTTATTTATTTGACCTTCATACTTTTTTCAGTCACTATCTGGAATGCCCCCTTTTTCCAAGCCCTCCAGACTCATCTGTAATAACACCTCTCCCTTGTTTACACCTTTATCTTCCCTTAGGTTTACTTTTTCTGTCATAGGCCTTATCGCATGTCGTGTATTTATATGTTTATTATTTTGTCTAGTCTTATTGCAACATCTTTTTAGTAGAAGCTTTACCTTCAGCTTCAAGAGGGTGCCAAGCTTATTTTCTTTATTTATTTTGGAATTAATGAAGAGACTCATGAATATACAAGATTCTAAAAAATTTATCAAAACCACAAAATCAAAGTGGCCTCCTATATTTTGGATACTTGTATTCTCAAAAACATTCTCCTTCCTTGAGGTCCCAACAAGATGGCAGACATTAGTTAGGAGAGACTGGACTCTAGAAAGAGATAAATCCCAGTATTTCACAAGCATAATACAATAGCGTAATTCTTGTTTATTGCCACAGTCTTAGTTGGGTGGTCAAGATAAAGACATGGCTCTCCTTCATGTAGTGATCTAGGAATTCAAGTTTCTTCCATTTTGTGGTATGCCTCTACTAGGAAAAGACAATTATTTGCCTGAAGCTAGTGGAAGGGGAATGAGATGAAGAAGAAATGTGTTTGGTTTCAATAGGCCAAAAATTGGGCTACATCACTGCTAGTCGCATTTCAGTTCCACTGTGTGGGAAAGAATTCCACACAGCTGTACTTAACTGCAAATGAGGCTGCTAAATTTCTAGCTTTATGCCCAGGGATAGGAGATCAATTTTGGTGCATGGTATAGCGTCTCTCACAAGAGGACACAGTTATTACCCATATACCCTACTCCCTTGCAGTTTCCTATCCCCCTTTCTTTTAAAGTGTGTATATCAAATAGCATGAGCTTCCAACCCATGTTCTTGATCAAAGCCCAGGTTTTCCCTAATGGTTCATAGAATTCACATATTCTTATTTTGTAAGTGTTTACACTTCTTGTTTGTCGCCTATCACATCTTATTCTGAAAGTTTGCCTCAGGTTCATTTATCAATGACTTTGGATTCTCTTGTGCTGTCTTGTACCCTTTATTTGAGTGAGAATAAGGAGTGTATGACATCTTCCAAGTGATCATTAAATATGTGATACATAGTACAAAATTTTCATATAATATTTGCTATAATGAAAGAAAATTATAGCAGAGAATAGTAACCAGTTTGAACAAACATCATCACCACTATCATCACTCCTAAAAATTGTTGAGCACATCCATCTTTACTGACAACCAATTATCTAGGTCACTACTACATTTTTGTGCCCTATGAGTACCTTTTTAAGTGCTTGCTTTTCCTTGAATCCCTTTATCCTTCTAGATTTTCAAGGCAACAAACTACAAAACATCGCCATAAAACTAGAATTTATTTTCTTTAATATATAAATCAATCCAACACAATTAAGCTGTCATGCTAAGATAAGTGTACCTTGAGACATAATTATCTTCTAATATAGAATGTTGAATGGGTACAGTGAGAATGTTGAATGGTTACTGAATGACTATGTGAGGGTTTGTTTGTTTTTACTTTTTATACTATTCTTACAGTGCTAGAAGTTGAGAAGTGTTGTTCAGTCAGCAATTTTATCCAAGTGATCTGCTCTTCCTCTCTAATTTCTTTGCATTTACATTATGAAAAGGAGACCTAAATTCATTTAATACGGTGTTAGCATGACTGATATGCTTCCATTTCTCAGAGTTCTCATTATTTATCTCAAAATTCAGGAATTTCTCTTGTTCCTTGCTTTTACTGTTTACTTTTCAGCTAGTGCAACATTCCCCACTACAGACATCTACAGCTTTTGTATTGGAAGGCTTCATCTTCAAAGCAAAAGACATGGTACAAAAAATGGAAAATTAACCAAAAATAAAGAGGAAACAATCAAAGCAACCAAAATAACAAAATTGTTGGAGCTACTGTCCTTAAAATTCTATATGGTAAGAATAGAAGATTTATGGTCCATCAGTATATTATGACACATTTAGAGAAATGATTTCAAGACTATACAACACAGACATTTTCTCTCTACCGTCTAATTCAATAATATTTGGGGTTGCTGTGAGCTCCAGGAAATGGATTATCATAGACACCTCACCTCTTTGAACATCAGGATTAATTGTGCTATTCTGATATGCCCTCTTGTATGGCATTGGAGGGAAGAATACTCCCTCAAGAATATAAAAGTAGGATTTCTATTCTTTATGTAGAAACATACATGTTAAGGGTATTGTGCACACTGTGAAGCAAGAGTTATTTTTCACAGTAGAAGAAGAGAACCTGAATCACAGTCATTAAATGGCCTTAGAAAAATATTGAAAAATAGTTCTAAGTTATTCTCCCACGTTCCCCTTTGCCATGCCTATCACATTCCTTTGCTTGTTTACTTATACTTGGAGGGATTTGTGCGTGTAAATGTATGTGCATGTGTCCAACATGGATATCTGTGGCAGGGTAGCTGCTGTGGCAGTTAATAGTCTTTTGTAATCTTAAGTATTCAGTTTTGTGAGAGAATACTTTGTGACACAGTAGTTTAAATATAGGCCCCTTTACCCTCTAATTTAGTCTAAATTTTTGATATTTTCCTTAAAAAAATTACATTTGTCATGTCCCCTATTTCCTGCAGACTTTTTCATGCCCTCTTTCTTTCTTCACTCTCTCTTTCTTTGACCATCCGTATTTCTCTCAATTTCTCTACCTTGACTTGAGAGAAGAAAGGGGATAATTATTAAGAGGGGCAAAATATGTAATTGGTTCAGTGATCATGATTCTCATAATTTTTTTATTTTTCTATTTCTTCCTTAATATTTTTTGACCCTTTGTCAAGTGGTAGAGATAAAATATGATTTCAATAAATTTCCTCAGACTGAGATGTTAAAGATGTCTATATTCATAAGTCTATAATTACATTTTTATGGTGATATTTCCATAAATCTAGAAAAACAAATATCTAGTATTAGTTAATATTTTTAACTTAATATTTGAAATAATTATCTCTTATTACCCAAATGTTATTTTTATAATACATTCTAATACTGAAGTATATTATAGTAAAAGTCATTTATGAAATTAGGAGCCAATTTCATGATTTATTATTTTACAGTAATACTTTTAACAACATTAGAAATAATTAGCGGCTTTTCTTAGAGATATAAAAGGAATGTATATCCTTTTCTTATATTCTTAGAGATATAAAGGGAATGTATATAGAGATATAAAAGGAATGTATACGGAAAAGGGAAGAAACTTTTTCTTTATATAATCTTATATACAAATATTGAACTCTTGGGATACTTCAAAGAGAATATTTAAAAAATTAAAAAATAAAAACATATGTAAGACTATATAAACTATAAACATATAAATTAAATTATTTATGTGTTATTAAGAAAACAACACAATTTTACTTTTAAACAAATACACAACAAAGAAAGGATGCTACATGTGTGGTGTGAGTTTGGTATATGTGTATGTGCATTTGTTTATGTGCCTAATATGTGTATGTCTGGCCAAGGTGTGTTAGAATGTATATGCACATGTCCTATATATAACCATACCCATTCTGTAGCATACGTAATATCCTTAGCTATTTGTCACTTTTGATAAAACATCACTGCCATATTTGCATGTCTGTGATGGGAAGAAAATACAATCACAGTCAGAGGAAGACTGGAACATTAGAGATAAAGATGAAACGTGAATAGTGCATCATTGCCTCTCTTACTGCCTGGTGAAATGACCTTTACCTGTGTCCTAATGTCCAGTCATGTCCTCAGACATTTTTGCACCTGCATGAACTGTACACTTTTTATTCTGTCCTGCCCAGCCACCTCTCTCAAATGCCTAGTTTTGCCTATAGGCAAGGTTGTACACCATATTAATAGAGGAGAATGAGCTAAGGTATAAAAAAGGCATTTAATACTTACAAGCACACAACTAACAGAAAGCTAGGAAGTACTGAATAAGTGTGATATAACATAAGAACAAGAGTTTGGGTGAGGAAACATGCGGGTAAATACCAGTCATTAAAGATAAAAATAAATTGTACTGATAGCAGGAAAAACATATTTCACACTACCTTCAAAAATAAACATGAATAAATAAGTTACTTGATGATTTTGGCATTATGTAACTGACCTAGTAAAATAGCTGGCTTAAAGTATCAACAGATTGAACTTTACAATGAGCTAATTATTAGTGAGAGGAAATAACAGCTGTGCAGTAACAACTTCCATAAAAGTTTTCCCCTCAAAAAGGATGGGGGAATTATGGTCTATCAAAGACAATTTAAGTTAACACATACACCATTTTTAAAGGTCTTGACTACAGGTATTTTTAAGTGAACCGTAATTTTTTCCAACATTCTAAAGCATCTTAATTTTCACTTAAGCAAAAAAAAAGCGGATTAATGGTTGAAATTTTCCATATAAAATGGTCTTGGCCTATCCTGGCTAACACGGTAAAACCCCGTCTCTACTAAAAATACAAAAAAAAAAAAAAAAAAAAAAAAAAAAAGCTGGGTGTGGTGGCGGGTGCCTGTAGTCCCAGCTACTTGGGAGGCTGAGGCAGGAGAATGGCGTGAACCCTGGAGGCGGAGCTTGCAGTGAGCTGAGATCACGCCACTGAACTCCAGCCTGGGTGACACAGTGAGACTCCGTCTCAAAAAAAAAAAAAAAAAGGTCTTGGCTTACTGGTGGTTACAGTAATAATTATGAACACCAAAAAATTTTAACATCACATAAAAGGTTTTTATTTGTTAGGAAGGGTAGTTAACATCCGGAATCTAATTCTGATTTTTATGAAAGAGTCCACTAGAGCTAAGTTAGGTATAGACATAAATATATATTTATTTCTCCTTGATTAATGATTCAGGGCAGTGAACATCAAATCAAGATTGTTAATGTCATAGACCTAAATTGTAAGGAATATTAATGTGTGTGAACAGGAGAAATAAACCATTTGGTGGAGAAAGAACCTTGAGGGCAGTTGAATCATCCTCCCTCCCAATCTTTTTAATGTGGAGGGAATACCTGCTATTAGTATTTCCAAGCTCTACCACTCTGAGTACAAATTAGGTCACATTTACAATACCTCACAGCTTGATACTCGGCATTAGACACTTTCACTGTTCACCCATGACTTTTCATTGCAGTTAAATGAAGCCACCTGACTAGAATTGGCAGAGATTTCTGAATGGAAATAATGTGTCATTCAGGGCCAAAGCCTTTGATTACTGGTGAGAGACCACCTAGCACTGCCTTTCTCTTCCAGGTGGACTGAGGAGACTGCAAACTTCAGGTGGAGCACCTATAAAGTAGTGGAAACTTCATTAGCATGGATTACTGAGTTGCTGCAAAAAGAATGCTTTCCCTGGAAAGCTGCTTAGTGCCTCAGACAACTTTATAGAAACTAAAAACAAGCTTTTACTGTATAACTACCAATGATTTTGTTGTTGTTTACTACCTCAGTATATCTTCTAGGTTTTCTTGACTAATATATATTCATATCGTCTATCTTGACCAGAAAAAAATTCAGGCATTTTCTAGAATTTCAAAGCATTTCTAGAGTATTATACTTCTTTTGAAATAGTTTTGATTTTTTCTAACCCCATACGGTGAGGTGGGAATCCTTGAGGGCAAATTCTGCAACTTGTGCCCTTCTGCCAACTTTGAGAATGAGTTTTCTCAATGTATTCAACTCCATCTGTTGATCTGGGTTTGTTAAGCATCCCTGATACCTGTCCTGACTAAGGCAGGAAGTTTGTTAAGATGTCACTGCTTCTTCTGCCACACCAAAAATTGGGAAAGATATCTGCCAAGGTGAATGCCTTACATCCCAAGATTTTATAGCTTAATTGAGAAGACAAATGAAAGGAAGTGATTTTGGTCAGTTTACTCATACTTGTCTTTAAGGTAAGTGTACATTTTAGGTAATTTATCTAGGCAGAAATGGTTCCATAAGATGAGAATGATCTCCTCACATCCTCCAATAATTAGTTGAGAAACGTACTATCACAAAGTGGCTTGTGGCCTGAAGTGCAGCAGCTACTAGTGGAAAGTTGTTGTAGAGTCTCCAGAATCTTACACGTCTGCAAAACATTTTCACTCAACTCCTTGAGCTGGTGCTTGAGTGCTTCCTATAGCAATCTTCTGCACCAATCACACCTCTTGTGGTTCTCTTACTAATAATAATGTTCTTTTGGGTGCTTCTCAAATGACTAGCTTGAGGCCTTCATTTTATAGCTTGCCAGATTAAATTATCTACAATTTACTTGGTCTCCTGGAACCTAAGGTATAATTATCATACATTTTGATGACCAGAACTTTTAGAAATCTGGCTCCAGGTCAAAAGCCTGTGTGTGATCTTTCAGGTCTGACTATAGGTAATTAAAAAGACCTTATCTGGAAAGCCTCATGAGGGACAGCTGCCATCCTCACACCAGGCTTGGTGCGCAGCCAGTGCACTGCACTCTCTGGAGAGAATTGCAGTCAAAGACTCAAGCTACCTGCCCACCTCAAGCCAGACACGCTTATACTATATATAGGCATTCCTACCTCAAGAACCTCACCCTGAGGCTTTTGTTTTTTTCACATGGACACCTCCACCGAGGCATTTTTCAGGCAACTTTGCCTACACTTTCTTACTGGGGGCATTTGACTGAGATACTGTCTGTCACACTAACTCAGTGTATTTCCAGTCCTAAGTCTCCCCCTCTCAGGATCCTCAGCCACCCAGGTCCAAAAAACTGCAAAAGGATTTTGTTCAGGGCTCCTCCACAGTGAGATATTTCTCACGCCTGAACTGCATGTCATCTGAGTGATCCGTGCCTGATATCATTCCTAAACGAAACATGACACATATTTTTATTTGCCTCTTGCCTCCACCATCACAGTAAATGAATAAAAATTTGATTGTTACTTTTACTTTACTTCACTGCTCTAATTAACCACCTTGACATCTGGCAGATCAGCAAACTTTTTCAGATGTTTTCTTCTAACTTTTCTCTTTTAGTGATACAAAACAAATAGGCTGGTTGGGTTTGGAAAGAGGAGGACTGAATGCTCCACCATTTTCAGTGTTTCTTTATCCTCTCCCTTACTGCTTCTGTAAGAAGACGACAAAACAATGGCAACAACAAAATCTCACATACGAATAGAAAGAGCCAGTAGTTACATTCCTCATGACCCAAACAGAAAATCTCTACAGAATAACAGAGTGCAGATAGCTATACTTATTATACATACAAAGACTTCTACATGCCAGTCAGAGCATCAATTTTGAAACTGGCATTTGCTGAGAATTCACTAGTGTTTGCTGTTTCTCTGTGAATCTCATCAGTTAACCATTTAAATATGGGTGCATATTTTTCAGCAAAAGACTCCGTTTCTAAAATTACTAGGGCAGAATTGTTTATCATACCTAGCTAAAATCAGCTTTACTCCTTTGGAACTCTCTAAGTAGATGCATACATTAACAAATGCAGGTGAAACTGAATGATAGATTACAGAGATATAAATGATAGCTTAAAGAAACATAAAACCTGTGAAGAAAGTGTACTGCAACCACAAATGTATTGGGTAGGTTTATATTCAAAGATAAAGGAGGTTCTTGGAAGTAGCAGGGTGAGATCTGTATGCATGTCTTTGGGAATGTTTTGTTCAGTTTCCATGTTGCTAATGTACCAACATGGACCAAACATGACTTACATTCAAGTAATATTTTTAAAATGAGTGGATGAAAGAAGGAAATTGATACATGTTGAAACTATAATAACCTAATATAAATATTTCTCTTAGAATTGACTTTTTTCTTGACATAAAAATCATTCCCTATTGTTCCTCTGAAATGATTATTAGAAAGTATTAAAATGTAAAACACCATTTCCGTATCAAGAAATGTGGCTTTATTATAGGATCTTACATTAAAAGAAAGGTCATAAAACATTATTTGGTATGAAATAATATTTGCAGAATTGGTTCAAAAAGGGCAGTACAATAACATTAAAGATGTGTGGAAAATACATATTGATGGCTAGAATTATACTCCATTTATCTCAATATTTTTAAAGAAATAAGATGATTAATACCAGAATAAATACTAAAAGTTTTCTCATATAGACATATTTAAATAGACTATCTACTTTCAAATGTCAGTTGTGATAGGAACCAAATCCTAAATAAATGAACAAACCCTTACATCCTTGAGCATAACTTTCTCTAAAGATACGTAACAACCCAAAATTCCTACTGAAGACTTACTCTAAAAACAACATGCTTAACTTCAATGTAGACATTTTGGAGGATCAACATACAGACCCAATAAATATTATATTGTGAAACGCTACATCTTGGTTTATTATTATACTATTATTATTTTGGAGACGGAGTCTTGCTCTGTTGCCCAAGCTGGAGTGCAGTGGCATGATCTCGGCTCACTGCAACCCCCACATCCCAGGTTCAAATGCTTCTCCTGCACTCCTCAGCCTCCTGAGTAGCTGGGACTACAGACGTGTGCCACCATCACTTGAACTCCTACCTCAGGTAATCCACCTACCTCGGCATCTCAAAGTGCTGGGATTACAGTCGTGAGGCACCATGCCTGGCCTCACAGCATCTTGGTTTTTTATTTTAAAAGAGAAATAAGAATATGGCTGAAACAAAAATGACTAGCAGAGTATAACAGCATCTCTAAAGTGCCTGAAAAGCAAAGATGAATAGGTCAAGTGAAAAATAAAAACAAAACAAAGGAAGAATAATTATATTTTTGAAAGTAATGGAAAAAAATGAGAACACTGAAGAAAGAAATTATACCAGCTAAATGAAATTATAAAGATCAAAATCACCTGATAAGGTTGATAGACCATGGAGACACACACACACACACACACACACACACACACGTCATATGAAAGCCACATAACAATAAAAATACTCACCAGTTTATGAAATAACTTTAATGCTGTGGCAAGTCTCTTTGAGAATGCTCAGTTGATTATTATTTTATTTATTTATTTATTTATTTTTTGAGACGGAGTCTCGCTCTGTCTCCCAGGCTGGAGTGCAATGGCGTGATCTCGGCTCACTGAAACCTCTGACTTTTGGATTCAAGCGATTATCCTGCCTCAGCGTCCCAAGCAGCTGGGACTACAGGCACGCACCACCACACCCAGATAATTTTTGTATTTTTAGTAGAGACGGGGTTTCACCACAGTGGCCAGGCTGGTCTCAAACTCCTGACCTCGTTATCCACGCACCTTGGCCTCCCAAAGTGTTGGGATTACAGGCATGGGCCACTGAGCCCAGCCTCTGTTGATTATTAAAGAAATAAATCAATCTTTTAAAAATTCACTCACAGTTCACACAGAAAAAATTGCAAATTTTGTGGAATTATATTTTATAAGCAATATACTTTTAGCCAAAAATTATAAATTTGATAAGGAATCACTTGATTGACACTATAATCTGAATACCTTGCCAGATAGATCATATTATTTTTTCATCCAAGCATCTGATACTTTACTGTGATAAATTTGTTTTTTTAACTTTTTGTATGAAAATTGAAAAATGCCAATTTTGTAACTGGAAAGCAAGCCTAGAAGCTGAGAGGTAGCATTCTCTTTGTTTAGCTGAGTGCTTCAACGTAAACTTTTCTGGTATCACATAACTCCTATGCTCCATTTCATGTACTTTTAATTTTACCTCTCTCCAGAACATTAGGTCACATGTTCTGACCTGGGTAATGACTGCAGCGAAAAATATGCATATGATCCAAATAACTATATGAAGGCACAATCCAGTAAGAACTCACCTCATAACGTAAGACACACTTATTTGCTTCCCACTCCCTGCTGATATTAAATGCTGGAATGCTGTGAAACCTATTGGTGTCGCCTACGTGCCAATCAGAATGTGCAAGGAAAATAATGTCCTATGGAGCAAACCACTGATCAATGGGAAATGAAACCTGGCAAATAAAAAAGTATTTTCCTCCTTCCTTGTAATAGACTGTCCTGAGAAGCATCCATTATATTGTCTAAAGGAAGATGATCCTGATGTTTTAGCAATTAGTTGTGTCAGGTTGGTGCAAAATTAATTGCGGTGTTTGCCATTAAATTTGGAAAAACTGCAATTACTTTTGCGCCAACCTGATACTTGACAAACCAGCTTGCTAAAACTCCCGTGTTATTTTTTCCTGTTTTACTTCATTTCTTCCCCATTTTCTGTTCTCCAGGACACACAACTCTATGAGGTAGGAGGAAAGCCTCCTTGGCCTCAGATGCTACTGACATAGAAAGTAAGGCCAAGGTAGTTGAAGCCAGGATTACTCTAGAAAGCAGCTGCTGTGGATAAGATCTGAAGCTAGATTATTATACACAGTGATATAATGGACATTGGCAAGGCATGGGGGGGAGTTGGGTGGAGATGAAGGAAGAAAAATTACTTATTGGATACAATGTACACTATTCAGGTGACAGGTACACTGAAAGTTCAGACTTCACCATTATATAATTCATCCATGTAACAAAAAAAGAAATTAATATTCAAACAAAATTATTTATGAGTATGGCAATTAGGACCCTATCCCTGGTAACAAGTGAGGTGGTGGTAATACTTTTCATGCAGCAATTTTAAAATTATCAAGGCTCTAAGTTGCAGTTGACTGAGACAGGATACAGATGCTAGGTATGGTATTAGGAAATGCTATGGGCATGGCAACTGGAAGGTATTGCAGCAATTATATAAAAGTATGAATCTGGGAGGTTGATGTTATAAATATTGGAAACTCTGGGAAGATTAAATGGAGGGCCCAGGATAACCAACTTTCAATGCTAAGAAATTATAAAACTGGGGACTACAGTGGAATATATGAAGGGCAGAATGTTCTGAAAAATTATTTTGATGATGTCATTGTAAATCAGGAAGAGACTAAATGCATATCTCTAAATCTGAAGAACATTTGGGTTTATAAGCCTGATAATCTAGTACCCTGAAACCTATGGGAAGAAAGAAGAAAAAAAAAAGAAATTATGATGTGAAGGGTCTTGAGGAAAATCATAAAATTGACCTTTTCTACACCAACCAATATATTAATCAGAAGCAGCATTGCTGTACATTAGATCCCCAGAACTTATTCACCTTAAAACTGAAAGTTTGTGTCCTTTGATCAACGTCTCTCCATTTAGTCCTTCCTTCAGCTCCTGATAACCACCATTCTACTCTCTGCTTCTATGAGCTCCACCATTTTAGATTTCACATATAAGTAAGATTATGTGGTATTTGTATTTGTCTTTCTCTGTCTGGCTTATTTCACTTACCATAATGCCCTGTGGATTCATCCATGTTACTGCAAATGGCAGGATTTTCTTTGTTTATGGCTGAATGAATACTATTCGAAAATAAAATATTAAAAAATAAACAGCATTGCCAAGAAGGAAAGAATTCAGAGATTAGTGCTACCAAGAAACTAAATAGATCTTGAATAATGAAGGTAGACTACCATATAAATAACCAGGTGATAGCCCTAATTACAGTTGCATTTTGAATCTTTATTGGAGCAGATAAAACACAAAACTTCTAGTTCTTCATATATGATCATTGATGTGGCAACTAATTTCTTCTCAAACCTAATCAGCAGAGAAGATCAAGTTTAGTTTGCATCTACATATTAAGGACAGTGATGTATAATCAATATTATGTGTAGATAATTTGCTTTTAAATTATCTAGTAAAGGACAGGGATTTTAATGAGTGCTAAGTGGAGTGAGAGTTGTATTGTTTTACTTTTAAATAAAACATTTTTTGTCTTTTCTAATTTTCTCATGGTGTCACGAAGGCCCCCTTTTTTATTATTTCTTTGATGAAAAGCAGTTTATTAGATTTCCATAGTACTTTCATAGTTGTAGCCACATGTAGGACCATTAGTAAAACTGAATTTTAATTTACGTCAAGAACTTCTGGGTTTAGTTTCCTTCGATAACTACTTCAATAGATTTTACCCCATTCTAAAACTTTTTTAAGAATTAAACAAAGATCTTTATGTATATTACTAACTATCACAGTAGTAATCATCCATTTTTATAAACAGTTACAACTATTGAAGGTATTGCCGTGAATATGTTGATAGGATTTTAAAGTTTTCTTTACCAGTCACAAAGGGAGTTCTTTGACATGAGACCAGAGATTCTAAAATAGCCTCATTAATACTATTGTTTAAACCATTTTCATATCCATTATTACTATCATAAAATTAGAAATCATGAGGCATGATGATATATACTTGTAAAATTAGCTTAATCCACCCATCAAGCTTGCATCATTTGAGGAAGATAAAACTAAAGCATGAGCAATGTAAATTATAGTCACAGTGTCACAGCACTAGTAAGAAAGCAGCAGAGCACAAAATTGATCTCAGGACAGTCTAATGTCAAGACTCAGCATGTTCAGGTCACCTAAAATATGAGCAGTGGAGACGGAATGACAGTGATTTTCCATCTCTGCCATAGAATATTCACTTGGCAAGTTGACTATGTTTCGTAGACTCCTCTTTCAGTTTTCTTAGAATATAATCTCTTAAGTATTTCTACCCCTCAGAGTTTGTTCATCTTGTCTATTTGCGGTTCATAAAGTAGTTAATTTTGCTCTGTCAATTT
This sequence comes from Homo sapiens, assembly GCF_000001405.40. Classification (NCBI taxonomy): domain Eukaryota; kingdom Metazoa; phylum Chordata; class Mammalia; order Primates; family Hominidae; genus Homo; species Homo sapiens. The sequence continues at coordinate 41,378,484 of NC_000014.9, read as the reverse complement.
CCCCATGAAATTATCAAAAAAAAATCCCTTTTCTCTGAAGTCATAAAAATCCCACTGGCTTTATGAAACTATAAAGCAACATTTAAATTCAGGTTTGAAGTTGACCCACATTTGTTCTACTCTCACTATTTATTGATGCTTTTGGATAATTCAGCAAATTTGCTTTTAAATGAGAGCTTCTTTTAAAAAGTAATTGCCTGTCATATATATCTTATTGCACATTATTAATCAGAACAGGCAAACCTATCTTTTTTATTTTTCTGATAAATGCAATTTTGAGCAGTGATGTTCAGTCATAGTAAGTGCTGATTATATAATCGTCTCACTGAGGTGACTGTAGGAAAGACATTCTTTCTGTGATATTGTGATAGATGTTGACAGAAAAATGATCATGAGCTGATGCAATGCAAGGTTCATCACAGTGCCCTTTTGAACTTGAAAAGAAGAGGACATGCTTTATAGTAGACGAGACAATAAAAATTGGGTATTGGCAATATGACATTGAAAGCTAAAATATGAATCAGTCTTTATTGTAACAAACAAAAAAATTATTAATTCTTTTCGGAAAGGAAAGTTAACCTAAGTCAGTCTACTTTAGCACTTTTGTTCAGGCAGATCATACACATGGAATGTATCTGACAGTTTTTAACTTTTAAAACACCGTATAAAAGTATTAATGTGAAATTTGCCAATCTTGATTTACCTAGTTCTATTTTGGTAAAATAAGCGTAGCAAATAAAAATGTTTGCTACGACTTAAAAATTCATTAATATCTTTGACTGTAGGAAAATCTACATGATCCTATGATCTCAAACTATACTCAATTCATTCAAATTGATATTTTAGTAAATTGACAAACTCGCATTGATTATTTAGTCCTACAAACATATTTCTTCCAAACACATTGAATTTTGTCTAGCTATTTTAGCTTCTCTCTGTTTAAATAACACTAAAAATGTTTTCTAGGAAAACAACTATTATTTTAGTTATTTTGGTAAAGATTTTTGTAACACGATTTTGTTAGAATAATATATAGGCAGGTTCTCCATTTCCACGTGTGGTTGGCATTACAGATAAACCAGGTTCTAATTAAAATATTGTCTCTGAAATTTTACCGCTTTGCCTCACCATTTAACTTAATTTTATTAACTAGATTAAATTTTCCAGAGTTTTTTTAATCCCCTTGCAGTTATAAAGATGCTAAAATCAGAAATTTTTAAATTATAGAGAATGAATGGACTGAGCTATTACTGTGACTCTCCGGAAGGACATGTAGAAGTGGCAGGGTCAAACAAGTTTCACTATTTCTTTTCATTAAAACCTATCATTATTCATTGAGTAATCCATAATACCATAATCTGTTCTAGACAGTCATTATTATACATTTGTGAAGGTTATTTTATAATACATTATCAACTTGCACTATATCTTCAGATGTGAAGGAAGTCATAATAAGGAAAAAAGGGATCAAAGTTTTCCTAATGTGTCAAAGACATTTTTAACTCAATATTAGGCCATCTTTTACAGAGAATGTCTTTTCAGTATTAACTTTAAGATTTTTAATTTGGCTTTTATTCAGTTAAATCTCATAATATATAATTTGCATGCAAGTACTTTAATATTGTACTGTAAAAGAGTACAGAAGAATATATATATATTACATAATTGAATTAGAGATATTTTAATATCCATTGTTTCTTTTCAATAGGTCAAAACATAATCTTAGTTAGCTGTCCGGTTGTGTTGTGCTGAAATATCCCTTATGCTGAGAGACTTTCTTGTTGTTTCTAATATTAAGTAACATGCAGTGGTTAAAAAAAAAAAGTAAATATAGCAACCAAAATTATTGGGAATTCATGATCCTGATTTTGAAATGCTTTCAAGAACACATGTAGAGTCAAAATTGAAAGAACTGAAGCTGTTTGCAACTCGAAGGAAAAGATCAAGTTGAAATACATAAATTGATATTACTTACATGCAGGCTAAACTATTTCAGGTAGGCGTATCTTCTGTGTTGTCTGCCCAGACAGGTTACATTAGAGGTGCTTCAGGACCCTGACTACTTGGTCCTTTTAGGCCTAGTAGCTCTGAGTACATCTGTTCTATTCTTAAACACTCAGAAATCATTCTGCTACTCTGTGTCATGCAGGGCACAGAGAATCTCCCTAACACTATCTGGGGCCCCAACTTTTAAACACATCAAGTAGCCTTGTTTGTTTCTGGGAAATTGCTGCTTCTTTACTACTCTAGGCAGTGAAGTCACTCTTTTTTTACATTGGCAATTTGTACAGAATATGTTTCTGCTTGAAAAAGGACAGGCAAATTTGAGAAAGTAATAGGTGAATATTGTTAAGAATTTAAAATATTCTCCTGCATTATGGTTATCCTCCTTAAGATACTGGTCCCCATTGCAGAGTGTAAAATGTTTTTCGTGATCTGATTCCTACCTACCTACCCACTCTCTTCTCATGCCTAAGCCGAGCTCAGTTTTTTACTGAAAACTCTCCTTTTGTTACAGTAGATATACACTTGAGTTCATTGATTAGGCTACATAGATATTTCTACCTTCAAAAGTAGTAGCCATTGCAAGCCAATTAGGACATCCTTAAGGGCAGTAAACTTGGCTTATTTCCAATGTCTACTAGACTTTTCAAATAGAGGGCACAAACCTTACTGAGTGCCCCTTGCCTGCCGTGGTGCTAATCTGCAATAGGAAAGAGCTGTTGCTCCACTCTCATGAACCTTCAGTGGTATGTTTTGAATAAATGAAAAAATGTGTACTCTATGTTGCCCAAATTCGCTATATAACCAAAGTGCCTTTTTTAAAAAAAATCTCTGATGCATTGGCCTTTCTGCAACTTTCATATCTGTTGACCATAATCTACTTCCTGGAGCTCTCTCTTCTCTTAGCTTCCCTAATGCTGTGTTCTCTTTTTTTCTGTGATTACTTCTGTATTTTCACTGATATCAACTACTCATTTTTATCTATACACAAATGCAGTCACTTTTGAGGAGTCTATCTCCAATGCACTTTCTCTAAAAACTGTCTCTAGAGGACTTTCTTCATTTATAAAACATTCATCATCAGCCTGAGTAGCTTCCTCATTTTTGTCCTTAGCATGACTTCTCCTTTGAATATTAGAACTGCTTTTTTAAATGCCTACAAATTTTTTTTCACAGAGATGTCTAACTGGTACCTTAAAAATGAGACAAAATGAATTAACCCTTTTTCCTATGGGTGTGTTATTTTCCTATTCAGCCACATTGCATAATTTAACACCATACTTTCTCTCTTTTTATTTTTTCTCACACTCCAATATTCATAGATCATTTTATAATGCATTTTATAAACCCCATGAGATCTTTTATCCATTTACATTTTCTTTTTATTTGATATCCTACTTTAGGTCATCAATTTCTTATGCTAATTTTTTATTCTAACTTCTCCCCATCTCTATTCTCTTCTATCTCTCTCTAATTTGTCTACCATAGAATGATACATTACTTTCTCCAAAGTACATTATCCATAAAATCACTCTTTTTCAGAAAACATTTGATGATTTTTCATTACCTACTGAGTAGAGCTCAAATTGCTTCACTAGTGTACTCTGCTATCATCTGACACCAAAAACCATTTCCTTTATTTTCTTTTCAATTTTTTTCCCATCACAAATATAAAGTAGTTCAACAAACATGGGCTTTTAATTCCTTTTGAAACAAGCAAAATACTTTTCCTAGAAACTTAAAAGTGAGAACTAAGCCAGAAATATGGACCTAGGAGTCATTTGAATGTAAATAAGAGTTTACATAATAAAATTTGATCAACAAAAAGCGGATGTAAGATAAGAACCCAAAGACAGACATTTGATTGGGCATGGGGGTATGGGGATGATAGCAGTGGTAATACTGAGAGAGAGGGAAGAAGTATGAAACTCAGAAAATAGTGTCATCCCAGAGGCCAAGTGAAATGAGAATATCAAAATATCAATATTTCAGAGATGTTTCTTGATAAGAACCTAATAAAGCATTGGATTCGGAAGTAGAGAAATATAGAAAAATTGTGCCAAACAATTTTAGTGTACTTCAAAAAAACATAAGCTGAGATTTTGTAGGATTGAGAGGGAGGTGATATATTGGATATGATATAGGAGCTTGTCTGCAAAAGGAGAGATGATATTACGTCATAGGGTGGATAGTAGAGGACAGAGTCACTGGAATGTTGTAGAGGACATGCGATATTTGCACATATTCTATTGGGAAATAAGTGAGTAGAGAGGGAAAAGTTACACATACAAGAGAAAGCATGGTGGGTGGCTAACGGCACAAGTACCTGTGATACAGGAGATTAGTATCAGAAACACAGGTGAAAGGATTAGCCTCAAACAGAAGACAGGATTCTTTGGTTTCCAGAGAAAGAAATAACGATGGACAGAGACGTAACTTTTTATGCAGAGTAAGAGATTAAGGAAATCCATGCTTTATAGTCTATTTGTTTTCAGTGAAATCTGAAATATGGTCTTTCACTAGAGAGTTTAGAAAGAGCTGGTGAAAAAGTTTTACTGTTTCAATCTTGCCCAAAGCTACAGTATAGCCCTGTTCATCAAGTCGTGAGGGTAGTCCAGAACCTACTCCTCAAATCCTGAGAAAAGTCAAACTAAAATATCATTATTTTTTGAAGGTTGAATAGAGAAATGAAGTATAAAAATGTTAAAATTCTAATCTGAATCAATACATAAACTATATTAATTTTATACAATTTAGTATTTAAAATAAAAGGGTAATAAATATAAAAAAATACATAGTGCAAAAATAAAAAAAAACACTATTACAGGAAGATGGAACCTTTGTGAACTTGGAAAGTCTCACATTATAAACAGTGAAAACAGAGAGAAATACAAGATTTTAAAAATGCATAATCATAGCAGATATGTTGATATGTATTTTTTAATAAAAGAAAGGATTAGGAAGACAAAAATTAATGAGGATATAGACTATGTTAAAAAGTTTTATCTAAAAGATGTATAAAGTACTCTGCTTGCAACAAATACAGAATAAAAATATATTTATTTTAAGTGTCCTTTTCAACATTTCCAAAATTTGACCATATTGTAGGTTTAAAGGCAGTTTTATCACATTTCCAAAAATTTATAACATTAATCCATATTTTTACCATAATATAAAAATATTTTAAAGGATTAAATCTTATGTATTTTTATACATAAATATATGTATTAACTCACATGAGTTAAGATAAAATTATGGTAGAAATAATTTAATATTTATGACTGATGAAAAGGAATTTACCATTTGTCAAAATTCTGAAATAGAATAAAATATATATTTATGGCATTAATGACTTAGCAAAAAAAGTTTGAAAATGAGTGAATTCAATTTACTAGAACCATTTTAACAGAGTTAGCCTAAAGAAATTAGGAGAAAGAAAAAGTTTAATTCTTAATAAGAGAGAAACTAGAAATCATTGAGAGGACAATCAAAATCAAAAGCTGCTTTTTAAGACAAACAGAAAGACACCTAATAAAATTGAGTTGCTTTTAGTAAAATTGCTCAAGACAAAATGAAAAAAATGAATAAATAATAATGAAAGAGAATATTAGACTTTTTAATCCTCCAAATGCAAGTCTTATTTAATATTGTAACTCAATCCCTGTAATTACCCATATTAAGAGACCATATGATCATCTTGTTACATGTAGAAAAAATGTTAGCTAACATCTAACATCTATTTCTCATAAATTCTTAGCACTTTTTAAAAAATAAATTGACAGGAAGGGATCCAGTTTCAGCTTTCTACATACGGCTAGCCAGTTTTCCCAGCACCATTTGTTAAATAGGGAATCCTTTCCCCGTTTCTTGTTTTTGTCAGGTTTGTCAAAGATCAGATAGTTGTAGATGTGTGGTATTACTTCTGAGGGCTCTGTTCTGTTCCATTGGTCTATATCTCTGTTTGGTACCAGTACCATGCTGTTTTGGTTACTGTAGTCTTGTAGTATAGTTTGAAGTCAGATAGTTGATGCTTCCAGCTTTGTTCTTTATACAAAAATTAATTCAAGATGGATTAAAGACTTAAATGTTAGATCTGAAAACATAAAAACCCTAGAAGAAAACCTAGGCAATACCATTCAGGACATAGGCATGGGCAAGGACTTCATGTCTAAAACACCAAAAGCAATGGCAACAAAATCCAAAATGGACAATTGGGATCTAATTAAACTAAAGAGCTTCTGCACAGCAAAAGAAACTACCATCAGAGCGAACAGGCAACCTACAGAATGGGAGAAAATTTTTGCAATCTACTCATCTGACAAAGGGCTAATATCCAGAATCTACAAAGAACTTAAACAAATTTACAAGAAAGAAACAAACAACCCCATCAACAAGTGGGTGAAGGATATGAACAGACACTTCTCAAAAGAAGACATTTATGCAGCCAACAGACACATGAAAAAATGTTCATCATCACTGGCCATCAGAGAAATGCAAATCAAAACCTCAATGAAATATCATCTCACACCAGTTAGAATGGCGATCATTAAAAAGTCAGGAAACAACAGGTGCTGGAGAGGATGTGGAGAAATAGGAACACTTTTACGTTGTTGGTGGGACTGTAAACTAGTTCAACCATTGTGGAAGACAGTGTGGCGATTCCTCAGGGATCTAGAACTAGAAATACCATTTGACCCAGCCATCCCATTACTGGGTATGTACCCAAAGGATTATAAATCATGCTGATATAAAGACACATGCACAAGTATGTTTATTGCAGCACTATTCACAATAGCAAAGACTTGGAACCAACCCAAATATCCAACAATGATAGACTGGATTAAGAAAATGTGGCACATATACACCATGGAATACTATGCAGCCATAAAAAAGATGAGTTCATGTCCTTTGTAGGGACATGGATGAAGCTGAAAACCATCATTCTCAGCAAACTATTGCAAGGACAAAAAACCAGACACCGCATGTTGTCACTCATAGGTGGGAATTGAACAACGAGAACACATTGACACAGGAAGGGGAACATCACACACCAGGGCCTGTTGTGGGGTGGGGGGAAGGGGGAGGGATAGCATTAGGAGATATACCTAATGTAAATGACGAGTTAATGGGTGCAGCACATCAACAAGGCACATGTATACATATGTAACAAACCCGCACATTGTGTACATGTACCCTAGAACTTAAAGTATAATAAAAAAATTAAAAAAAATTGACAGATAAAATTGTATGTATTTACTCTATATAGTGTAATGTTTTGAAGTATATATACATTGTGGAATAACTAAATCAGTTACCATGTGCATCATCTCACGTAGTGATCATTTTTGCGGTGAGAACATGTCACATTCACTCTCTAAGCATATTCTAAGAATTTAATATAGTATTAACTATAATCACCCTGTTTTATATAGATCTCCTTAACTTACTCTTTTGCTATTCAACAGAAATGTTGTCTTCTTTGACCAACATCTGCCCCAATCTCCACCCCTCAATCACTCCAGCTGTGGTAATCACCATTCTACTCCATTCTACTCTCTACTTCTAGGAGGTCAACATTTTTAGATTTGGCCTATGAGTGGGATTGTGTGATATAGGTCTTTCTGTGCCTGGCTTATTTCATTTAACATATATATATATATATATATATATATATATATATATATATATATCTCCAAAGAATATTAAATTTTAAAACATGGTATGATTGATCATGGGTGGGTCTTAAGAAAAATCAATCATAAGAAAATATAATTTCTGAATAAATTAGCAATCATAGAATAAATTAAATTATAAAATAAATCCAATTACTCCTGCCACCTGGTGTTACAGATGGGTTTACAAAACTGTTAAGGAAAAAATAACCTCAATGAAATGCAAACTTTTTCAGACACTGGCTTAAGAAGAAAGGTTATCTAACACAATACTTAAGTCAGAATAAGTATATACAATATAAGTATAAACTACAGTTCTGGAAGTCACAAAGTTGCCATGGGTCTCACTGGGCTAAACTCAAGGTGTTTCAGGGCTGCTCTCCTTTCTGGAGCCTCCAGGAGAGAATTTATCTCCTTGTCTTTTCTTGATTCTAGAAATCATTCACATTCCTTGGGTGGTAGCCCCATTCTTTTGTTTATAAAGCCAGCACATTTTCTTTCTATTATCCCACAGTAACATTTCCTTCTGACAAGAGCTGGACAAAGTTGTTCCCTGTTAAGGACATATGTAATTTGATTGGGCCCACCTGGGTAATCCAGAATAACCTCCCAATTTCAAGGTCCTTAACCAAATCACATCTGCAAAGTTCCCTTGGCATGAAAGCAACATATTAACAGGTTCTGACGATTAAGTCATGGATATCTTTGGTGGTGGGAGGGGAGTGGCAATAATTCTACCTAATATAATCTAATTTTTGAATGTTGGAATGCAAAAGTCCTTTAAAAATTTTATCAAGCCTTGTATATTGAAAGTAATGGCAAAAAAGTTAAAGTAATGGCAAAAAAGTAAAAGTAATGGCAAAAACCACAATTACTTTTGCACCAACATAACTGTGTGTGTCTTCGTGTGTATTATAAACCTATTGGTTTTAACCTAGTAATGCAAAGATGATATGACATGAGAAAACCTATCATTAAATTATACCACACTAATAGACTAAATGAAAAAGATGAATAATACTCCCAGTTGGCACAGAAAAAAAATTCTTAAAAAAAATCATTTTTTTAACAGAAAATTAATCTTAGCAAAACAAAAATAGAAGTAAATTTTCTTTATCTTATAAAGCATATCTATCAGAAATCTTGTTATAAATGTATTAGACATGTTGGGTACTCTGGCTTACATCCCCGTGGTTACAACCCTAATTTTATCTAGGGATAGGATAGACAGTTCTGCATTGGATTCGCCTCATTGTTCTCTGATAATGTCTTGCCTCAAGCACAATGCCTGATATCTCAATTTTCTGTCCATGCTTGCTCTGAAATTACAGATGCTTGTGTGAGTGTGTAAATCTCTTGCATAGGTCCAGATTAATGAAAGATATTACATCTTTGGGATAATCCTTGACCAATGGCAAATGAGAGTCAAATGATTATCACAGACATTCTGTAAAGTTCTAGTGGTCCAAGCAATGGATTTAAGAGCAAACAGACCAATTATTTGCACTTTTATTGTAAGTATTTCAACTTTTGTTTCAAATTGAACTGTAGTACTTAACCAAGCAAGTAAGAGGTCGAGAGTGAGAAAAAAGGGACCTAACCTCCTCATTTCAAATGATATGGAAACTTTTGTAGAAAAAAAAGAATGAAAAAAATAAAAAGTATTATTCAAGGATAATTATATTGCATAACAATATTTAAGCTAGTATATGAATGCTTCTATCTATCTATCTATACCTCAACCGATAAGTTATTTAAAAATACAATAATCATGTTCTTTTACAAAGCATTTTTTGTGCTACTAGTAGCCACAGATATTTGGGAGAAGCTAGACAGTAAGTCAAACTCAGAAATAATTTTTTTCCTCAGTGCTATAAATATTGGTTGACCTAGAATATATAAATCAACAAGATTCTCAGTAGATGTTTTGGTAAGCAGATAATTGATTAAGAGAGCAAAGAAAATGAATCATTAAGTTCTGGGGAATAACTTTAAACATTGTTGTAGAACTAAGACCAATAGACAATTATATAGATTTTGTTAAATTTTGTTTAAAAAATAAGTCCAAATGATTTTTAGTTATTGGGTGATTTCTTCTGTAGAGCTGAATTTTGATTTTGATAATTAATATAGAATGAAAGAAATATTATTACATTAATTTTTGATGCTTACAATTGCTATTCATAAAGCCAGTTAGAAAAGTTAACCAGATTTAATTTTGTAGAGTGTTGGATTTGTTAATTTAAGTCTAAAAGTAGCTCAAAGTACTTGGAAAATAGAGATGAGAGAGAGACAGTGTGAGAAAGAGAATGAGAGAGAGATGACGGGAGAGCAGAGGAGAAAGAGAGAGAGAAAGTGTGAGAGAGAGAGAGAGAGAGAGAGAGAGAGAGAGAGAGGCAGGGGTGGAGAGAATGATCTGTGGTTACATTCCCAGGAAGTCAGAATAAGCAAATAAATTATTTTGAAACAAAGGAAAGACAAAAGAAAGGAGAAAAATGGGGAAAATAGAAACAATGAGAAAAGAATCTTCAGGCATAGATTTCTGTTAATTTCAATAATTGTACTTGAAGGCTCAGTATACCACAGTGTGCTCACTACACTGGAAAAGGTTTTCTTCTCTATAATGCTTCCTTCACTAATTTCTCTCTTTCCATGCAGGAATTCAAGGAATGGTCCTTCAGTTGTGTACAGAGGATGACAGGGGCTTCACTGATACATTCTTCAGTGAACCAAGAGATTTTCATACTACCTCAGGTGAACAAACCTTCAAAAATCTACATATATAATATTATTTTCTGTGTCCCCTTATTAAGAAGGCTAAGTGCTAAGTGACTTGTGAAAGATTACAGATCTCTGCCCATGAATAAAATGACAGGGAATGAAATTTAAATGACTGTTTAAGAAACATAAGGCAATGAGGGTCTGCTCAAAGCTGAAACAGAGAACAAAGGCAAGCGAAATCTTGGGAGCAGATGTTATTATTGGAGTAAGATTGCTTTAAGGAGATGAACTAGAGAAAAGAAAACAAAAATATACCACAATCTATAATTTCTGTTTTTGGATACATAGGATTTTGGGTTTTCATATGATCGAAAATTTTAGACTCAATTAATGGATACTCTTATTAATTCTACAAATGTCTATTGAGTAACACACACTATTTAATGACATGAAAACTACAAAGATGAAGTAAACAGACAAGATCTGAGTGCTCATAGAGTTCAATTTGGCACCTTGCTTCATTCTTAATATGGAAAGGCAATCTAACATAGTAGTTACAATAACAAATCTGGCAATTATTTTTTTGAATAACAAATCTGGCAATTATTGGCTTTATGACCTTGAGCAAGTTACTCAACTTCTCTAAGCTTCGTCTTCTTATTTGTAAAACACGAATAATACTATTTAACTCACAGGATTGTTGTATTAAAATTGAATGAAGAATATATAGCATTTCACATACTGCCTGGAGCTTAATATTCATTACATGTTATTTTATTATTATTAAAAATTTTATTATTATGATTTAGTGCATATTGTGTTAACTGAACCTTATTGAACAAGAAATATTTAAGCATATTTCAAAGGTGGCTAATAGGACTTACATTAGTTGGAATTATGTGAAGAGAAGGACGTAGAGGGATAAAGGATGGGTTTATATAAGCCTAGAAAAGTAAGCAAAAGGTGTATCAATTGGGCTTTTGACGTTAAAGAAAAAGAGGTCATGACTTTTTTTAAAAAAAAAGGTATGGTCAAGCATCATCTCTGTATGAGCGTAGAAGGAATGATCAGCCTAATATATCAATATTTTGCTCATTTTTAGCAAAATATTATTTAATCAAATACCAAATTTTATATTTTGACTTATAGATTAACAAATTTAATTTGAACTACAATTTTGAGTTGTAAAAATAGAAAATAGCTTGTAGTTGACTGCAAATTTAGATTTATCCATAATTTATTTATATCAGTAATAATAAAGTCACTGACTTGCTATTACTAGTGGCATTTTTTTTTAATTTTTTAAAATACCAGATCTATATCAAGACTTCATGTACTATCCAATGTTATTTGACTTAATAGAAAATATTAGCAAGTTCAAAAGTATTCTTACAGAAATTAAACTTTGAGTTTAAAATTGCATTTATTACTTTCCATCCATAAAACAATAATGATCTAAAAATCCTTGAATGCTTCTTTGAGAATCTTGTACTTTTAAACCATTAACTTGAGATATAAGACATAATTTTCTCCCTCCCTAGTGAGACTGGTGCCTCAGGGTAAGTATACAAGCCTGAAGCACTAAATCAGCTTTATCTACAGATAAATTACAGTAACCACCTCCTTATGAGCTTTTATTTCATCCTTGCTTCTCAAAAACAACTGCATATTTTCAAAAATTTTTAGTTTATTTTTAAGCTTTGTTATCTGTACTTGTTTAACATGCATGTACAAATAACTTTAATAAATCAGTTTTTTAATGCCCAAAGAAGTTTTAGTCATTTCTGGAAATTCCACTATATATGATTTAAATTAAATATTTTAAGATATTTTTCTCTTCTAAATAAAAATCCAAGCCATATTCTAGAAAATTAGAGAAAAGTATTGAATAATTTTGATCTGCCCATTGCTGCTAAATATCTCAGAAGATTAAGCTGTGTGATGTTGCCTGTGTGAACCTCTGGGATAAGATGATAGAAGCAGCATTTATGGAATTGAATTATCATCATCAAACCAACTCTTTCACACTTAACTAATCCATTTGAAAACTGAGACAATATCATGCTATTTTAAATAGTCCTGGTGTTTGGAAAGAGAGAATAAACGTGACATAAATAATTGTTTATCTTCTCTTAGAAGAGTTGCCCCAGACTTTTTCATTACAATGGCTGGCATTAAGGGAATAGCTTTGGTGCTTCCAAAATATAAAATCTTCCTGGAGAGATTAGAGAAGCTTACATGTGGTGATTAGTATAAATAACGGAAGCAGAGTAGGTAACTAATTGTTGATTTGTCTAAGGAAAAACAAGAGTTTCAGGTTTTTTATTGTAGCAGGAATTTTATAAAAGCCAATTAAGAGAACTTAAAATCTGATGTGTTTAGTAGTGATGATAGATTCTTGCATGAGGTGATCGAAAAAGAGGGAACAGATTAGAATGTAAATGTAACTAAAAACATTTCTAGTGAGAAAAAGAACTATGTAGTCCAGAATTTCTGATAATTCCAACTCAACTAAAGTAGAATATAAGGGGGCTTCAAAAAGCTTGTGAAAAATTGAATTAAAAGATAAACATGAAAAATAGAAACTTTATTTCTAAATATTACCTCATCAAGTTGAAGACACTTTTATAAATGATGATACCAGCTATTTAGTCTATTTCTAAAGAACTGAGAGTCCTGGGAATTTAACCCTGTCAATGCAATCTTCTTACATTATTAACTAAAGAAAACTGGGTGACCTTAAAAAAATTAAATTAGGAAACAAAAAGAAGCCAGAAGAAGCGAAGTTAGAAATTTAAGGTGGATGCCTAATAATTTTTCACTGAAACTCTGGCAAAATTTCATTGTAATGGTGGAGAAGGACTCACTGGTGAAGCTTTCCTGGGTGTTTTTCAGCTAAACCCTTGGATCACTTTCTCAAAACTCTCATTATAAGCAGATGTTATTGTTCTTTAGCCTTCCAGAAAGTCAACAAGCAAAATGCCTTGAACATCCCCCAAAAAACTGTTGTCATGACCTTTGCACTTAATTGGTTCACTTTTGTTTTGATTGGACCACTTCCATCTCTTAGCATCCATTGCTTTGATTGTGCTTTGTCTTTAGGATTATACTGGTAAAGCCATGCTTCATCTCCTCTTATCATACTTCAAGAAAACGTTTCAGGATGTTGAGCCCACTTGTTTAAAATTTTCATTGAAAGCTCTGCTCTCATCTATGGCCAATGTGGGTGCAATGGTTCTGGCATCCATTGAGTGGAATTTGCTCAACTTTAATTTTTCAGTCAGAATTGTGTATGCTGAACCAATTGAAATGTCTATGGTGTTAGCTGTTTTAGCTGTTGATTCTCAGCCCCCTTCAGTTAGGGCCAACCCTAACTCTTCCATCCACACGTCACCATAAATTTGAGGTTTGTTCTTGCTTCTATTTTCTCAGAATTCATGTTGCTCTCATAGGGGTTCTTTCCAAACTAATGTTTTATCCTTAGTGCTTCAAACTAGATCCTGTTGGTTTATTTTGATGCAAAAATATTTTGAAATCCATCTATATATATTTTTCCTAATACACATTTTCCACGACTTTTCTGAAGACCGTTTTCATAATAGTCTGACTCTTGCCAACTACTTTTAGTCAATTATTAGAATACATTAATCATTGTTCTGCATTATATATATATATATACGTCATATGTATATATAATAAGGAATGTAAAGTGGGACAAAAAGCTATTGGAGAAGAGAAGGGCATTTACAAATGATGTTATATGTAAGTGCTGTGTTCTACTTGTAGCACAAATTCTAGTGGTGAACAAATTCTCTAAACTTTAATAGAGAAGATCCTTTTCTTTAACATCTAGAAAATTTCCAACTTAAATAAATTAATTACCATTAAAGTTCTAGCCTTGAAAATCCCACACAAAAATACACTTTTATCTTCACGTGGTCAGGGAATTTTGTATTTTCACTATTCACATAACAATAATTCTATACGTAAGTGATTTTTGTCAGCTTTTTCTCCATTATCTAACCTAGGTCATTATCAAGATATGTCCTCCCATTTCCAGAGTATACCAACTTACTATCAGGCTTTTTTCTACTAACCTCACATGTGCTGCCATCTTCCTCAACCTAACCAAAGCTGTTGTCAAATAAAAAATCTACTCTACCATTGCACTTTTCTTACCAGTATATTGGAAAATGTCTTATATGTTTTTATGTCATTGTCAAGGAACTGCAGTCAAACCTATTCCCAAATCATGTAATGGAAACATTTTATCTTTATTTATCTCTTAACTCTCCGAGTGAATAAATAGGAAAAATAACAGAAATATAACCTTTATTTTCTTTTTGGGGGGTTAATATTCTGTTTGCCTAAAGTCAGAAAAAATCTTTGTGGGCATCCTAGTGCAGAAATCATGTAAAACCTTCTCTTGGCTCTTCTGATTCACAGTAAATTTTGGGGGGATTATAATGGGTTGAATTAAGAAACCTTTGTGGGCATCCTAGTGCAGAAATCCTGTAAAACCTTCTCTTAGCTCTCCTGATTCACAGTAAATTTGCTGGGGATTATAATGGGTTGAAATGTGTCTCTCCACCACCGTCCCCCCAACCCCCGCCAAAAAAACATGTTGAAGTCCTAACTCCCAATACCTCAGAATGTGACTTATTTTAAAATAGGGTCATTGCATATGCAATTTGTTAAGATAAGTTCATACTGGAATATGATGGACCCTCCAATATGACTAGTTCCTTTTTAAGAAGAGGAGAGATATAGAGACACATAAACTCAAGGGGAGAACATCATATGCAAATGGAGGCAGAGGAGATTGCAAGTGGGAATTATAAAAATAAGAAAATAGTTATTAATTTCTAGGTATATCAAATGTTTTAAATAAATATTCTTAGTAAGATCATGTGCTCTAAAAATAACATGACCACTACAATTCCATTTATTTATAGTTATATGTAGTAGTAAGCTAAATAATTTTGAAATAAAATTCTTATTATCATTTTGTAACAGGTTAAATCATTGAAATGGAAATCTTAGTATTTTGTAAATCTTTGCATTATCTTGTAGATCAGGTTCACTGGCATAAATAAAAAGTTTCTATTTCATGAGTTAGTCATTTTATTTAATACTTCAAGAGAGATGAAACAATATAAAATACGGTTTCATTTTTAAAAAGTGATGAATGCTAATGAATGTGTATCTGGTAAATTAGAGGTTATTAATTTAATGTTAACTTTTATAGAAGTTTCTCTAAAGCTAGTTTTCCTAGTAGGGTATGCTTAAATATGATTAAACAAAGTATTTTTCTTCCAAAGTATTATACACTTCATTATAAAGCTGCAATGTTGAATCTTAATATGGTCTTCAATAAAATCATGTTTTAGGTTAGTAAAATTGAGAATGTTGGAAAGTTTTCTGAAGTCAGAATAGTAAAATAATGATAAATTTATAATACAAAATCATTTGTCAGCTTTTTGAATTTTAATACCTAATTCAAATTCTATCACTTAAAATATTAATGAGAAAAACAAAACCAGAATACTTCATATCCAATTGTACTATGTATATTTTGTAGATTATGTATGTGCATCAATACTATTTCTATATTTATACGATTCATCCAGGGAAAGCTAGCCGGCAGTTACACATTTGTTTTACTTTTTACAGTGTAGAATTGACGTTGTAAAGCAGCTACACAAACTTGGACTACATTTCCCAGATGCCCTTGCATCTAGCTGGGCCATGTGGATAGTTCCCATGAATGGAATATGAACAAGTCATGTGTCATTCCTTTACCAAAGTAGTTAATAAGCTAGTGTGCTTTAGCAATTTTTGCTTTCCTCCCCTCTAGCTAACTGAGACTCTAAACATAGTGGAGAGAAGCCACAAGATGAAAAGAGCTTGGATTCCTTAATTACCATG
This sequence comes from Homo sapiens, assembly GCF_000001405.40. NCBI lineage: Eukaryota > Metazoa > Chordata > Mammalia > Primates > Hominidae > Homo > Homo sapiens. The sequence goes on along the minus strand of NC_000014.9, from coordinate 41,362,159 downwards.
TGATAAAAGCTACCTGCAGACTAACAGCTGTGATGAATTGCTTGGTGAATGAAAAAAAAGTTCTAAATTTTGGAGCCACTTACATTTGAGGTTAACTTAAACCCACTTTCATTATTCTAACTAAAACAATAATTAAAATAAAATGTCACACATTAAAATATATCAGTTGATTAGTTAATTGCATTAACAAATATTAAAATCCTAAATTTTTTCTGATTATCCAAAGAAGATATGTTAAATTTGTTAGATATGTAGTTAAAATGGTAATTCCCTGTAGAGAGTTAAATACTGATCTTCACTTTTATTTTGGTTGGGAAAATATAAAGAGAATTACATTTATTTTACTTTATTTTATTATTTTATTTTTTATTTTTTTGAGACCGAGCCTCACTCTGTCACCCAGGCTGGAGTGGAGTAGCATAATCTCGGCTCACTGCAACCTCTGCCTCCTGAGTTCAAGCAGTTCTCCTGCCTCAGTCTTCTGATTACCTGGGATTACAGGCCCCTGCCACCACACCTGGCTAATTTTTTGTATCTTTTATAGAGACAGAGTTTCGCCATGTTGGCCATGCTGGTCTCGAACTCCTGACCTCAGGTGATCCACCCGCCTCGGCCTCCCAAAGTGCTGGGATTATAGGCGTGAGCCACTGTGCCCAGCACATTTATTTTAGACGTCTTCCCAGAAGTATAGTCTGAGATATATATTCATATAGATGAATTCATTTGAAAAAACAATAATTTATTCTAGTTATGTTAAGCAATATATGGATAACACATGACTATACAAAATTGTTTTGGGTCTAAGCACCACCAGTTAGCACATTTTTCTAATTCTTATATACTTGTATAAGACCTGACAATATCCTTTAGAAAAGCTCTAAAAGGCCTACTAATGTCAGCCACTCTGCTTTATCAAAATAGTCATTACCCTTCCCCTCATTTAGTTAGTGAGGAGAGTTAGACATTAATTGGATAAAAACAAAAAAAAATACTGAAAGCAATATTCTATGAAGGATAATTATAGAGCATGATGAGATGGCATAACCAAAACAGCTAAGTCAAAGGAAGGACTATTTGAGGAAGTACCTTTAAATGTAGACCAGAAAAATAACTAGTCATGATAGGAAGAAGATGTGAGGCAGAGGGACAACACTGAATGTAGACATTTGTTATTGAGTTTAAGGCAATGAAAGAGAGTCCATATATCAGAAACAGACTGGAGAGGGGAAAATGACAGGAGGTGTACACAGAGGATATATTTATTATATCTTAATACATATTTAGGATTTTGCTCTAAGTGAAATGAAATGCTAAAATATTTGGGTCATGCTAATGATGAATCAGTGTATGTTTTAAGAAGAATATTCTGAGTAGCCTTTAAATAACAGATATGGGGGACAATAGTGCATGTGGACAATAACGCCATGGCTTGAGAGTTGGAGTGGAAGGCAGTGGAAACTAAAAGAAGCAGAATTAAAAGTGGAATCAAGTAGGGATGTATTTCAGAGGATGCAAGAACTCTCCATCAAAAGGTTAAAATAAAGTAGACGTAAAAATAACAATTCATGTTTTTATAATGTTCATTTTACTAAAGTATTAATATCTACACTACCTTTTTTTCTGTACAGCTATCATCTGAGACTAGTATTCTTGCTATCTTTTTTTACATATGAAGAAACTAAAGGTTAGTTATGTGATGTCTTCAAGAAAGTTTTTCTGAACATTCGCTTTGGCCATATCTGTATTTTCATGCATTTATTCCTTTCTCCAAACACATTTGTGCACCACACCCTATACTGCATGCAGGATATACAAAGCCAGGCAGATCACAAAGTACACAAAGCCAAGGAGATTACTACCTAGAAGCGAGAGACAGACATCTAAACAAATACACATGTTGAACTACTTCAGTATAAGCAAATAGAGAGCATAGTAGGGACCAAGTTTTATGATGGAGAGTTAGATAATCTAATAGCAATGAATAATTTTGTTTTAATTTTCAAAGACATGATTTAATATATTGGTGTAGGATGGTCTGTAATGTACAGAATTAAATAGTCGTGGATGAAGTAAGAGCTCTCATTTTGAATAAAGAAAAAATAAGCCCTTATCTATGTCATGAGAATGAGGTCTTATCATTGATCTCTGTTTGATCTTCCTCATAAAATGGAAGCCATAAGTAGTTGTTTTAAAGGTGAATTTTTATAATCACCGGGAGTCTACTTTCAGTGCTGATTTGATCACCAGTTTGGGCGTTAGCTACCACACTAGCAATAAAGGGAAGTAATAGGTGGTTCAGGACTCAAATGTATAAAAGTCCAACCCCATAAATGCTGATGTGTGTTGGGGGTGGGATGGGAGCATTTGTGCATTTTAATATGAACGTTTGTGTGTGCGCTTGTTATGTCTGCTTGTGTACCTTTTTATTGAAATATTGGCAGGGGTGTGTTATTGGCTAAGCGCAAACTCTGTATTTAAGTGGGAAAAACACAAATATTGATATCAGTATCTAGATTCAAGTTTACACTATCAAGAAGACTTTGTGCAAACTGCTTAAAACTTCTGAATCCTGGGTTTCCTCTTTTCATGACAATAGTGTCCAAAGCACTATGACGTTAACTATCAAGTCAGATATAAAGCCCAATAACTAAAGGTAACAGGCTTTTTATTGTTTTTCATATGTTACTCTGTTTTCTGTATTAGTTAAAATTATCTTTTTTGCTGATAGAAGCCCTTTGCAAATGAGTCATTTAGAAAACCTTTAGGAAACATTGAACAAGAAAAGACTCAACACCATAAAATCAATTTTAGCAAAATCAATCTATAAGATATGAACTTTAAATTGAATATTGCTTTTAGACTATCTTGTATTAGTATGCATGCTGGACAATTAATTTTGCCTTTTTAAATCTTGGTTTTATCTTCAAAACTACAACGACATACATTTGTCCACTGATATTGGTGGGAGATTTGTTCCAGTACCTATCTGCAGATATCAAAGTCTGTGTATCCTCAAGTCACTTATATGAAATTGAGCAGTATTTGAACATAACTTACGCACATCCTCCCTCATACTTTAAATCATCTCTAGATTACTTAGAATCCTAATACAATGTAAAAGCTAGTGTACATAATGTATATAAATAGTTGTTACAGTGTATATTTTATTTGCATTATATTTTATTCAATTGTTATTTATATTTTTTCTGGAAAATTTTTGATCCATGATTTTTAGAATACATGGACATGGAACCCTGGGATAAGAAGGGGCTGACTATGTATTGATTTCTTACTATGTGTTAAGCATTACTCTAGGAATTTTACATTTATTAACCAATTTAAATACTCAAATTTGTCCTGATAAGCAGATCATTACTATCTGCATTTTATAAATGAAAACCGGATTTCAGAGAGATTCAGAAACTCAATCATGGTTACAAAACCATTTTGTATTGTTTACAAAACCATATTATATGGTGAAGGCCTACAGAAAGGAAAACATTTAATTTAGGGAGAAATGTGAAATAAGCTGTTGTATTAGTTGGTTTTCATGCTGCTGATAAAGACATACCTGAAACTGGAAATGAAAAGAGGTTTAATTGGACTTACTGTTCCACATGGCTGGGGAGGCCTCAGAATTATGGCAGGAGGTGAAAGGCACTTCTTACATGGCAGTGGCAAGAGAAAAATGAGGAAGAAGCAAAAGTGGAAACCCCTGATAAACCCATCATATCTCGTGAGACTTATTCACTATCATAAGAATAGCATGGGAAAGACTGGCCCCCATGATTCAATTACCACTCCTTGGGTCCCTCCCACAACACATGGGAATTCTGGGAGATAGAATTCAAGTTGAGATTTGGGTGGGGACACTGTCAAACCATATAAGCTGTAAATCACCCCAACCTGTAATAAAATGTAAAAGTTAATACTATTAACATAATTCATGAATACACTCTTTGAATTTATTTTTTAATTAAATGAAAACTTTTATTTGGTGAGCAGCTTCTATTCATTATTTACCCCAAGTTAATTTTACTTTATTCATATGTAAACATATAAAATCAATGTCAGAGCTTCCTATAAAAACAAAGGTAGATAAACATTGCAGTGCATGATTTACAGTTTTATTTATTTTAGAAAATATCTTTTAGGCAGCTTTAAAATTTGGTTTATTGTACTATGATTAAACATTATTGCTCATATCTATGCAAAACAGAATAGCAACTCCTGGACAGATAATTAAAGTTAAGATATTCTTTCTTGAAGGTGGCACCCTAAATTATTATTATAATGATTTAATTGAGCATCAAATATACTCATGATGCTCATAAAGCATGAAGCAGGCATGCAGCTGTTTTTCCTCTGTAATGTTTTATCCTTTGTCCCACTGCTTTAATGACTAAAAACCTGATTTTTACTGTTTTTCTTGTGTACTCCAATTTACACCTGTGACCAATCTTTTTAATTATCAGGAACACTGCAGTTGACACAATTTGGTTCCATGTGACAATATCCATTATATTCTCTTGAAAAACTCCTGGCAAATGGCATTACCACAGATGCCAAACTACATGGATAGTTAAGGCTGTCTCTTTTTTGCTTTCAATTTTAGATGTTTATATTAGCCAAGAGAATCATTTTGAGAAACAATTACTGAGCTTTGATGTAATGAAAATCTTCAAGTTATTAAAATACTTTGTTCATTTTGTTCCAATTACCATAAAATAAAATACTTCTGTGTAATGGAATTTGTTTATTGTTATTCACTGAAATGGGAAATAGCCAGGCAGAGGAATCAACTTATGGGAGCATAGGTGAATACCTGAAGTTTAAGCATTGCCAAAAATAAAGTCTATTGCAACTAGCTTGATGTTTTCTCCTCCAGCTATAGAAATGCTCCCGGATAACTATTAGATGAATGGGACTACAAGTCGGTCAGTGTATAATGGATTAGAACTCTTTGTTTCATCTTCAGGAGACTACTTTACTACTTGTAGTGATTATGTTCCAATTCTCCTGTGCGTAGAACTATCAATAGGCTTAACTCAAAGACTGTATGGGGAATGGCTTTAAGTAAAATTATAACTGAACCTGTAACAAAATAATTGTGTCTTATTTACAAGGCCCAGTGTGGTATGTGCAATATATTCATCACGCATTAAACATTAAATATTGTTATCCTCAAATAAAACCTAAGCCAAAAAGTAATATGTATTACATATAACTTATCAAAGTGTAATCTGTATGAGCAATATAAAGCACAATACAAAGAAAATATAATAAGGATGTTGATTATGTAATATATAGGCCAAACTGGGATACTTTGCACAGAAAACGGGGTCTGTTAATTAGTTATTTATGCTGAGACAACACACATAACCAGGACTGTCCTGCACAAACTGGAGCATATGGTTCTCTATACAGAAATATACTTACGATATAATTAACAAAAGCAAGAATGCTGTGAAATAATTATGCTAATGATAACAAATACTTTTGTATTTAAAAGTATAAATAACTTAAAATTATGTACTGAGATCCATGGAAGCTTAATTTCTTCTTCTTGTTACTCCTTAACTATTACCTTGTTAGCATCTGCTTACAAGAATTATCTTACATATTTTCATGGCAGCAGAGGAGAGCAATTTGCTCCTCGGCTGCTCTGTGGGCTTTAGGTGGTTCACATCAGTGTGGCTTCTCTCATCTCATCCTTGCTTTCCTATTCAGGCATTTGCTACACTTTCTCTGACCTGGCCACATGAGGCTTTGGGTATCTCATAGTATGTTTAAACCAAAAGTTAAATTAATGTAAATCTTATATTTACATGTTTTAAAAACCCTCAGACGTTAAATACTGAAGTTTTGGTTTAATATCTTTATATAACTACATATTAGAAAAATTAAAATTCTACATTTCAGATTTTTTTTTTCCGGTCCAGAGTTATGTTCTTTTGTGAAGCCATTAACAAATGTTCTTTAGCTTTTGGCAGAAACGTTAATATTTCATTTGGCCAAGATATATTTTATGTAATCTCTAGTTATCTGAGAATTTCTTAAAACATCTGGACACTTGGATACTTAACCGAGATAGGCAAAATGCCAGTAGGAAAAATATGATTGTATAGTGCACTTAGTTTTGTGAAGACATTGCATAGGACTTTAAGCACACATAACCAGGATCCTATGCTCAAATAAGAACATGCTCAATAGCTGAACAGTTTAATGAGTTTATCCACCCTTTAAATGATATTTTGGCCCAAATGCTTAACTGAAGTAAATTGCAGGATTAAAATGAAACCATTGGAGTGAAAAAGCAACTCATTAACTGATGTTATACTATATCACTATATTTTTTAAATGAATGATTACTATTCTTTTCGACGTAACTTAAACATAAATGATGCCTCATTAAATACTATAGGATAAGTCATTTGTTAATAGTGGCCAGTTACATTGGGTTAATTAAAACTGTTTTCTGCTTACAGAAAAAGAATGTTTAAGAAAATTTATTTTTTTATATGTCATACTGGACCACCATTGGTATTCTTAGATATCTGAGAAATTTTCTTATTTGTAGCATGACTAATAGCTTCATTCACTAAAAACAGAACATAGAAGAGAAGCAGTTTTGAGAAAAAAGAAATAGTGAGTGTCGCCAACTGAGAAGAGTATGCAATTTTACTCTACTTGCAAACTAACAATTTAGACAGTGGAAGAAGACATGAGATTACTGAAGCAGAGACAAAAGGCATTAATAGCCACAGAAAAAGCAGTAACCAGTGTGTCAGAAAGTTTATGCTTATTCTCTGACCCCTAATTGCACTGGGCAATATGGAGGGACAGATTATGCCTGCATAGGAAGGGGTTTGTCTTACAGGAGACGATCCCAGGGCCAAGGGCCCAGTACTTTCTGAGTTAGCAGCAAACTTGGTAGCAAGCAGCAAACAAGCCAGTCTTCCTCCCTCCAGGGAGCAAGACTTTACATGGTCATCATTCCCTTGTGGGCTTGAGCTACATAGTTGCCTATGTGGCTAATTACCGAACTACTTATAATTAAGAGAAGAATGTCTTGAGGGTGAGCACAGTAAGCAAAATGTGCAAAAACACTCAGGGTCTATGGTGGACCTCCCTCCAAACAGTGGTAATCGGTTTAAATTTTTTGCTTAGGCACTTAAATTGAAATATTCATCTAAAGCTTAGTTTATCACGCAATACCACCCTGGAGGAAGACTACAACATGGGTTTAAGAAACAAAGAAATGTCATAACGAAAATAATTTAGACTGCAATTTACCCTCCTCAAATTGCCTCCTCCCTCAATAGAGTTCTTAATTCTTTCTTTGTTGGCTGTTTCCCTGTTACTGTTGACACAGGTCTTTATTTAGCTTTATGTTAGTCCAGGTCCTCAGAGAAGCAAAAACCAAGAGAAAAGGAGAAATAAATTGGGAAGACTGGGATAGCCATCAGATCGCTACGCAAATCTAACACAACATAAAGGGATAAGGGAAGAAGAGAGTTTTGATGGAAAAGTCCTAGACTGAGGCATGTCTGACAAGGCCTTAAGCATTCTTTAGCCTAAGGAGCCATATGTCTCCCAGGAAATGGCCTGCTCAGTATCCTATGGAGCTTAGTAATTGGCTGGGAGCAGCACATAGAAGCGTGGTCTCTGCACAAACACAGCCGTAATCTCAGAGCAGCCTCTCATGGCCTAGGCCAGTTATGCTCCCTGTAGTTGGAGGTCTGCAAGGTACAGCCTCATGGCTGCCACAGTCTCTTTCTAAATAACATATTAATTCAGTGCTGCTTCCACTGATGAATGAAATATTCTTATATTTCTTAGAGGTTTTTCACTATTATTTGTACTTTCAATTAGCTCCAACATACATAGCTTTTGGAAAGCCATGCAGATGGAACCTTAAAGGCTGAATTTGTTGGAATATGTAATTAAGGCAGAAAAGGTCTCCTCACAGCATTAAAAAAGCATTAAAAAATAAAGTATGGTATGTTGAATGTATAAATGAATGAATAAAATTACACTGCCAGGGAAATATTATATTTTGGTACATTATGTGTCCTGTTGAAGGGGGAACATCCTGTTACAAGAAGGATGAGGGAAAGATAAGACAGGCAATGAAAATACGAACCGCAATATTGAAAATTTTAAAATACAACCTGTTTTATATATACAGTGGAATACTATTCATCCACAAAAAATGAATAAAAGCATATCTTTTGCAGAAAGATGTGCAGAACTGGAGGCCACTATCCTAACTGAAATAACTCAGAAAGTTAAATATCCATATTCTCACTTAAAAGTTGGGAGCTAAGTAATGTGTATACATAGAGTGTGAAATAATAGTCATTGGAAACTCGGAAGGGTGGGGAAGTGTGAGGAAAGTGGGGTTGAGAAATTACTTAATAGGTACAATGTACATTATTTGGGTGATGGTTACACTAAGAGCCCAGACATCACCACTATGCAATATATCCATGTAACAAAACTGTACTAAGTGCATTGTGTCTCTTAAGTTAATATAAATAAACTTTCAAGTACTTCAAAGGGCAAAACTGATCTACTTTTGAGCAAATTGACTGAAACTGAAAGTTTCAGTGTTGATGTTATTATTGTCTTGGATATAAGATTATAAAGGTTGAGTTTTTAAAAGGTATATGTATTTCATGTATATCTCACAGCATAAGCAAATGAAGTGTTTGAAATAGTTTTCTGTCTATAAAACATTTTACAGAAATATACTATTAGCATGTTTATTGTAACAAAATTTACAACTGACATAAATTAAATATAGAGCAGATTTTGTATGTTTAGCTTTGTATACAATGTGCCTCTAACCAAGAGTTTCAATTACTTAGACATCAATATCTAATTGTTGACTAAATGACTGAAAAATTCATGCGATTTTAATTTTTCTCATAAATCAATAAACTCATGATTACATATGTCAAGGATAAAGTATAATACTGTGCGTAAACCAATTTTATGATTTAAACATAATTTGTATTGGATTTGTTTACAGATATATTTGGATTTATTTTTTACATAGTAGAGTGACAGATTACTCACTAATCTGACCTTTAAATCATGTGTTTTGTGTTTTCATACTGGTGATATTTTCACATAATTGATTTGCCCATTTCAAGTAAGGATTTTAAGTAGGTTTTTGTAAGAGCTATACTAATATAGTTGAAAAGTTTTATTTATGAATTAATAGATTGTAGTAATTGATATCATGTTATTGTAGCTGAAAAAAATTGGAGATTTTAGAACATGTTCTGTCTTTCCAAAATTGTTAATATTGCCCAAGTCTCTCTGATCATTGAATGAAAGCTTTTTACAGCTTTAGGGGAAGGGCAGAGACATCCTAAAGAATGAAAGTTAGTTCAGCTTCACAATGGCTGAAAGTATAATGGTGATTACCAGAGTCTGGGGAGGGTAGGGGGAGCAGGGAAGGATTAAGAGAGGTTGATGAATGGGTACAAAAATACAGTTAGTTCAGGGGTGTCCAATATTTTGTTTTTCCTGGGCCACATTGGAAGAAAAATTGTCTTGGGCTACACATAAAATACACTAACATTAACAATTGCTGATGCCCTAAAAAAAATCACAAAAAAAAAAATCTCATAGTGTTTTAAAAAAGTTTATAAAGCTGTCCTGGGCCACATGCAGCCCATAGGCCTCATGTTGGACAAGCTTGAGTTAGATAAAAGAAATAGGTACTAGTGTTTGATAGCATAGTAGAGTGACTATAATTAACAATAATTTTTGTATATTTTGAAATAGATAGAAAATTTGGAACATTTCCAACACAAAGAAATTATAAATGTTTGAAGTGATGGATATCTGTTATCCTGATTTGATCATTACACATTGTACACATGTATCAAAATATCACCTGAACCTCATAAATATGTACAATGATAATGTATCAATAAAAAATAAAATATTTCCTTATATTTATCTTCAAAGAAAAGTACAAGGCAGAGTATTGGCTTGAAACCAAACTCATATCAGTGAGATAGAAAATAGTTCTTCCTTGAAATCCGAAAGATCCTGGAGTGAAATATTAAGTTAGAATATGGGCATCCTTAGTGAAGAGTTTATTAAGGATAATGCAAATATAGATCTATGTGGAATCTAACTTAAAAACAGCTTTCATTCCCACCCTAAAAGACCAGTCAAACCCTTGACTGTCATGGAGGAGGGGGCTGAAGAGTTTCAGAGATGAGACAATGAAAGGACTTACTTTCTGCCCATTACCTGTGAGCTGACAACCTGGACAGCTGGGAATAAAGGTCTTTATATTAGTTTTGGGAGTTTTAAAACAAAGGTGGTTTCTGCCCTGCTACCCAATGGGAATTCTGTGACAAGGATAACTGAAAAAAAGCACCGATGATAACAAGGAGTCTTAGCACTGGAATAAAACTCAGGAGAGGGCTTCAGGTAGCCCTTCTGCTGGAACCACATGCCCCCACCTATGCCCCACCTCCATCCCTATAGTCCACTGTAGTATAGAGAACATCCGAAAATTCCAACACAGCCACCAAGTGTTGGCAAGATAGTGGACTGAAAGCATTTTAGCATTAAGATGAGACAATTGCAGAGTAACTGGATCTTTCATCTAGAAGTCATACTTTAAACATAGATATTGCCAACAGCAGATGCCTACATATCTCCTAGGCCAAACAAGGTGAACCACTTAAATGAAAATCATTGAATCTAAAGTGCTTTGTGTGAAAGTGAAGCTTCGCTTCAAAATACCATGATGATGTATAAACTCTCCCATGAAGCCAGGTGCCACCACAGGAGAAGGCAAAGAGTAGGGGCAGGAGGAAAAACACGGAAAGACTAAGTATTGACTTGGAAGACACTAACTAAATGTGAAAAATTAAGTTTATACTAGAAGTGATGATACTGCCATATGTGGACAAGTTCATATTTGTTTAGACAATAAGATGTTGCTAGACTGAGTTCAGTTCAGTAAAATAAAGTTACCTATGTGCATATCTGTATTGTGATAATATATTTAAACTTACCTCATATGATTCATTTTTCATTTATTTGTTTGTATTTTTTAGTTTTGAATTTTGGACAGTATTTCTTGTGTCTTCAATATCTAGTTGATTTCTTCACTCTTCCTAATGTGGTATTTAATAACCAGACTATGTTTAATAAATATTAATGATGTAATGGTTTGGACAGGTTAGAGAACATCTCTTTGGCATGATAATCTTTTCTTTTTCACCTGCTTTTAATATGTCACAGTATCCTAGGGGTGTTGCTTTGCTAACCGGAAACCTCTGTGGCCTGCGGCACCTTCTGCCTCAGTATTGCTCATTCCTGCTGGGCTCGTGTTTCCCACTTGGCCCAGCAGGTTGAGGTTGACTGGTGCTATCAGCCCAGATCCCACACCTGCCATGGGCAAGCCAGGCACAGAACAGTGAGGGGTGTGTGTGTGAATGAGCTTGTGGTTCAGCCACTGGCCACAGCCAGGAATGCCAACTGCTGCAGCAGGGAGGGAAGCTCCAGGAGCCAACACAGGTACTGGCTCCATGTGAGGCTGCAGCTAGACCAGGTGTACCACACGCAGCTTCCAATGTGGGCACCCGCGGATTGATGAAGGGAACACGGTGGTGCTCAGAAGCATGGAGATGCCAGGAACCACAGATTCCCAAAGAGGGTGTCATAGCACTGGCATGGAGAGCCCCTAGGTCTGGGATCCCCGAAGGACAACAGCTCTTCTCTCCCTCTTGTCACCAGCATCTTGGGGAGCCTGGGGCTGTTTAAGCCCTGCTTGTGTTACAGTTCTTTCAGTCCCGCCATTCGGTGGGTCCCGAGTTCTTGTCCAGCATCCAGGAAGAACGAGGTATGGGGAAAACTGGAGGGTGAGCAAGGTGGAGAGGAGCTTCACTGAGCAGCAGAATGGTTCTCAGGAGACCTGGAGTGGCTAGCTCCTTTCTGCAGGCAGGTCGTCCACAAGTGTCCAGCTCTCAGCAGAGAGACCCGCAGTGGAGAGGAAACCTTTTTTGCGGGCAGGTCGTCCTGACAAATTGAGGAGACGAGAAGTGGGTAGCTCCTTCCTACAGCTGGTGGTCCCCATGTCTGTGTGAGTCTGGCTGGGTTCTGGGTTATTGTGGGCTCAGAAGAGAGGAAGTGTGCGTTGATTGGTCCAAGGATGGCCATGGGTGGGCCCAGAAAAAGCACATAAGTTCTCTCTCTAGGTTGTGGACTTCATCTGGAGCCACAGTTTGGCCCCCAGACTTCAGTCTTTTCCTGGCTTAAAAGTGGGGCTTTACTGAGAACCCACCCCTTTTCACCCAGGAACTTGTCTGCTTCCTGCCATCAGCATGCTGTCGACAGTGCCGATGCTGTTTGTGCCAAGGGTCATCTGCAGGCCCATGCCAGGCCACTCTCAGCCTCCCAGCCCCGGCCTCTCTCCCTGATTTTGTTGGTGTCCAAAGTCCAGAGGGGACAGAGGTGGCATGGGGCTGGGGTGTCAGCACCACCCTGAATGCGTGCACACCTGTCTTGGTCGTGACAGTGCCCAGGCTTGGCTTCAACTTTGCTCTAAAATTGGAGTGGGTTCCAGGAGCAGGGAGAGGCCAGGCAGTGGGAACAGGTACTTCTGAGTTCTACAGGGACAGGGAGATTCCTGGGCCCCTCAGAGCACAAGGATGCTCAGGTCCGCAGCCGCAGCTGCAGCTGGCTGGCTGCAGCTGTGCCTGGGAGCATGGGGCTCCTGCCCTGCCAACTCAGAATGGGATGAAGCTCCTGCATGTTCCTGGTTCCTGCTGGCTCCATGGAGTGTGTAGCCCTGGCTGTGCCTCCCCCGCTGCAGCTGGCATCCCCAAAGTGGCTGCTCCAGACAGGCCACCACTGCCATCAGTTATACAAAACATGAGCTATGATTTTCAGCGGTACTGCCTGGAATTGGCTGTTTCTTGTTAGATTTCATAAGTTTGGTTCTAGTTTGTGTGTGTATATTAATTGGGCTGTGTGTGTGTCTGTGTGTGTGTGTGTGCGTGTGTGTAAGGGAGAGGGCAGGTGATGGCAGGAGCTGTATCTACTACTCTAAGGGTATAGGTGTCAATCTCCAGCAAAAGATATTGAGGCACCACTATTGATTTTTAAACAATTTCTAATTTTATTTAATATTTACAAGAATTGTCATTGTACTTTTGCACTAAAATCTACTTATTAGTCATTGAATTAGAGAAAATTGATGACTAAAACAATGGTAATAACTTTGGTATGTGGGAGTGAATGTGAACTTCCAGATTTTAATATGGGTTTGATAAATACTGTGAACTAATAAGGATGAAATTGAAAACATTTTAAGCAGTTTACAATTTTCTGGAATGATATTAAGTTCTTATTAAAATCTTTAAGAAGAAAACTAATATGAATGAGACCTAGCAGGATTTTGCTGAAATGATTATGTAATTTCTATGGAGATATCAGGAAAGCAGGTGTGTGCAAAATGAATTTCAATTTCTTACCTCAGATATTCAATTGCAAAACATTTACTGTTTTACTAGAAAATGTGTTAAATAAGGTCACACAAGGTAGGAGAGAATCGTTAGTTATATTTTGGCTTTGGACATCCACCCAAGTCAGGGGTCCAAGAGAGAAAGAAATGTTATTCCAGCTGTTATGGACACCATAAAAAAATGAAACAGTACTTGAACTTAAACTTAGGGGTTACTACCCCACTAGAAGAGAAAAGTGCATTGGACAACTGACTATGGCATGCTCTTCACACTCTAAAAAGAGAGAAGGAGATAAACAGAAGGCCTTGGAAACCTGACATTCTCAATGATAAAAATGAAGCAGTAAGAATGCTTCAGGCTATTTGTAAATCATGCGATAGATCAGGTCTGAGGTCATACCACTTGCTGATAGTGGAAAAAACGTGTTTCTCTAACAATAATATTGATTATTCTAATACAAAAATGGTACTAGAAATGAAAAAAATAGCATTTTCACTAAAGTGAGTCCTGAAGGAGTAATTGCTAAAAAGAATATTTCAGTTCAAGAACAGCTGTTATCCCAAACTTCTTCCAAATATTGGAACTACTTTAGAGATGAGTAGAGAAAAAGAAGACAGTGGGCCAATAAATTAGAAGAGGAAGCCAGGAATAATTGAGGTGACTACAGAAACACCATAAAACATCCTGATGACAAATATAGATAAACTCCTGATGAAATATGTCTTAGGCCAGACATCTTTTGGGAAAAAGAAATCAAGGGCAAGCCCTTAAAGTGTAGACACCAGTGTAAACCAGCAACCCAAAGATAAAATAAGTCTGCTCAGGAACCTCTAAAAGGTATAGAGAAGTCAGGAATTTTATATATATATATATATATATATATATATATATATATATATATATATATAAATTATATATATAAATTTATATTTATCTATATTTATCTATATTTATCTATATTTATATATATAAATTTATCTATATTTGTATAAATTTATATATTTATCTATATTTGTATAAATTTATATATTTGTATATAAAAATTTATATATATTTATATAAATTTATATATAAATTTATATATTGTATATAATTATATATTTATATATTATATAAATTTATATATTATATATAATTATATATTTATATATAATCATATATAATTATATATTTATGTATAATTATATATTTATATATATTTATATATAATTATAGATTTATATATTTATATATAATTATAGATTTATATATAATATATATTATATATATTTATATAATATATATTATATATATTTATATAATATATATTATATATATTTATATAATATATATTATATATAATTATATATTTATATATTATATATATTTACATATATTTATATATAATTATATATATTTATATAATTATATATAAATTTATATATAGATATATATTTATATATGTAATTAGAATTTATATATGATATATAAATTATATGTTTATATATAATATATATGTACCCAAGTACAAAACCTATTGAAATTAGTTCTAATTTTGAAATGAGTTCCAATATTAATTGTAAATTGAGGAATGGCTTAAATGATCCAAATGTCCTTATGGAAAGAAAACAGCAATGAGCAAACCTTATAAGGATGAGCGAGACATGGAATGATGGTTTATTCCATCTTCTATGGTGGTTCATCTTTCATGATGCAGAATAAATGGAATTGATTTGGTGTTCAGTGATAATATTGTATAGTCAAGAATTAATGCTCTTTTGTTCCAAGAAATAGAAATGTAATAGAAACATGGTATGACTATTTAAAAGTCCAGAAAATGATTTATTGGCTAAAAAGCCCAAATGCGAAAAGAGTACATGGAGAGCTGGTGTTGTGATAATGGATGCTATTTATGTTGACTCCTTTAAAAATCATAGCACTGATTATTACTCAGTTTTTCTTGTTTATCTTTGATTTATTCTCTTTCTTTGCATAATAGAAAATCCATATCACGAGTTCAGAAATCTTACTGGATTGTTTATTGCTGCATCTTTTTTCTTCCTTTTTTAAACTTTTAAGTTCAGGGTTTGTTTGTTATATAACAAACAAGTGAAGGTTTGTTATATAATGCAGTTTAAAAAGTGCAGTTTGTTAAACTTGTGTCATGGGGGTTTGTTGTACAGATTATTTCATCACCCAGGTGTTAAGCCTAGTAGTACCCATTAGTTATTTTTCCTGATCCTTTCCCTCCTCCCACCCTCCTCCCTTCAAAAGGCCCCAACATGTGTTGTTCCCCTCTTTGTGTCCATGTGTTTTCATCATTTAGCTCCCACATATGAGTGAGAACATGTGGTATTTGTTTTTCTATTCCTGTGTTAGTTTGTTAAGGATAATGGCCTCCAGCTCCATAAAACCACCATGAGATACCATATCATGCCAGTTAAAATGATTATTACTAAAAAGTCAAAAAAATAATAAATACTGTCAAGGTTGTGGAGAGAAAGTAATGCTTATATTTTGTTGATGGGAGTGTAAATTATTTCAGCAATTGTGGAAGACAGTGTAGTAATTCCTCAAAGACCTAAAGACAGAAATATCACTCCTGCATCTTTAGCATCTGGAACAATGGGCATGTGATGTGCTCAATTAGCATTTCAACATTTAGTATATTGAATGAATGCATAGATGAATAAAATCACCTTGCCAGGGAAATATGATAATTTGGTCTTTCATGGGTTCTGTTTAAAGGGAATGTTCTATTACAGGAAAGACAAGGAAAAAATATGAGGGGCAAAGGCAATGCCAACCAATGATATTTAGAAGTTTAAAGTAGTTCAAAGGGCAAAACTGATACACCTTTCAGCAAATTGAGTGAAACATTAAGTGTTTGAATGTTGATGTCTTGGATATGAGATTATAAAGGTTGATTTTTTTAAGGTATATGAGTTTCAGGACAGTAATAGAAAAAAGAATACTGAATATAAAATGTTTTTCATTAACTTTAGTAAGAACTTAGTTTCAACTGTTTCTTAACATCCTTCTTGTTAAACAAAAATTGCCCAGCAACAAATGCTAAACCATAACCCCATTCTTTCTGCCACTACCATCTCATTACTAATGCAACTTCAGTTTCCCTGTACTTTCTGAGCATTTGAACAGTGAACGATATTCAGAACAAGGTGAACTTTGAGTTCCATCCCTTGTAAATTCTTTTAGTTTCTTGCTTTTCCTATAATTGTCATCTCAGAGCTGTTCTTTTTGGCAGCCTTTTAATAAAGGCTTGCGCTGATGGTTTTTGGTTGGGTTTTCTTCCCCTATAGAGAAGACATAATGAAGGTGACTGCTAATCAGGGTCAACTTTATATTTTCGAAGCGTGTCTTCAAAGTTATACCCAACATACCTTAATAGAACATCCGGATATCTTTTCTGCTTGGTGATTGCATACAGAAACCTGCAAAAAATAGAGGTAGAAAATGTTCAAATACTTTAACCAGTGTTTTTGTTCCTGAAACTGTCCCAAATGGCTGTTTTCAATTTAACTCATGTTCCTTTGATTCTGGGCACTCCTAGTACCTGAAAAGGGAAAAGAAATATTGAACAATTTGTAGCCAGAAGGGGTTTTTCACTCATCATATATTCAATATGAACTATGTGCAGGCTCCCAACTTTCTCTAACTAATGTCTTGTGGATCATCTTAGAAGAATAATTTTTAAGAATCTTTTCCGAGAATCCCTGACAGATATTGTTGTCATACTTTTTTGGGGGAAAATATTGAGAAAATTCAGATTCCTGTACTCTGAATTGCACAGCATAACCTTCAACTGCATGTTCAAGATTCTCTAGAACACTTCTATTGAATAAAATTTCTGCAATAATGTAAATGTCCCAAATCTGTGCTGTTCAATCTCGTAGAAGCCATGTGTTACTAAAGATTTGAATTTTCATTTTTACCTTCCGTAATATTAAAAAAATTAAATGGACACACGTATAGTATGATCTGTTTATTATTACCATCAAACAACATATTAAAAATGAAAATTCTTGGGCTCCAGCCAAGACCTACAGTATCAAAATCTACATTTTTAACAACATCTTCATGTGACCCATATTCGCATTAATATTTGAGAAGCACTGGTCAGTACAATGGCTGTCAAACTTAACTTAGCCTGTGTCAGAATCACATGAAAGCTTGTTGAAATAGATATTGCTGGTCTCCACCCCAAGCTTTTTAATTCAGAAGTTATAGATTATAGCCCAAGTTTCTAGACAATGTTGACTGTGCTGTTCTGGAGACCACATTTTGTTAAACACTAGAGCACTGGTTTCTCTCAAATCAATAAAAGGATCAGTGCAGGGCTGTCTGGCTTGCGGCCACGTGAAGAGCTTACTAAAAATACAGACTCTTAGTTCTTAAACTTGTAGATTCAGTTTCGTCAGGTTTGTAATGAAACTCGGGAATCTGTATTTCTGATAAGACCTTCATGTTTTAATAATGTACAAGTAGATTTGGGGAGAACTGTCATAAGATTCTCTTTGAGGAATGGCATTTTACAGTGCTGCATTTTACAAGTGCTTACTGTCAAATGAAGCGTTAAGAATCCCTCCATTACTAAAGAGTCAGCAATTTTATTTATGTACTATCCAGAGTGGCTATTTTATATCGATGATATTTTAAATTCTATGAATAATGACTACTTGAAATACTCACAGTCTAAAACAGTTAGACATGAGTTATTGCTTAGAAAAACCAATTCTGCTGCATCACTAAGATAATTAAAGCATGTAGTATCACAAGTTGAGTAAAGACCCTGAACTTATATTTCTTCTCTGTTACTGTGATGGTTAATACTGAGCATCAACTTGATTGGATTGAAGAATGCAAAGTATTGATCCTGGGTGTGTCTGTGAGGATATTGCCAAAGAAGATTAACATTTGAGTTAGTGGGCTGGGAGAGGCAGACTTAGCCTTAATCTGGGTGGGTACCATCTAATCAGCTGCCAGCTCAGCCAGGATATAAAGCAGGCAGAAAAACATGAAAAGTTAGACTGGCTTACCCTCCCAGCCTACATCTTTCTCTGATGCTGAATGCTTCCTGCCCTTGAACATCGGGCTTCAAGTTCTTCAGCTTTGGGACTCAGGCTGGCTTCCTTCATCCTCAGCTTGCAGATGGCCTATTGTGGGATCTTGTGATCATGTGAGTTTAACACTCCTTAATCAACTCCCTTTAATATATAAATCTATCCTATTAGTTCTGCCCCTCTAGAGAACCCTGACTAATACAATTACTAATTATGTGAATTTAGGAAAGGTAATTAACCTTTTAGGACCTCAGACTTTTCATCTGTGAAAGGAGTAACACAACATACTTCTTTAGGTTACTGTGATTAAATGAGATAGTACCTTTTAAAGGCTTTAAACTAGTTGCCATTATTATTATCATCATGATCATTATTACCACTGATTGGGCAAATTATGCAAATTTCAAGGAATTTAAAACATTATTTATGGTTGGTGTGTACAAAAGTTGGTTTTTGAAAAATCAGTTGAGGAATCAAAATACATTTTATCTACTCAATCCAGCATTATCTGATCAAAACTGAGGCATAATTATAAATACTCAGTGCCCCTTATACAAAAAATAACTCTAGATGGGTTAAAGACTTAAATGTAAAACCCCAAACCATAAAAACCCTAGAAGAAAACCTAGGCAATACCATTTAGGACAGAAGCATAGGCAAATACTTCATAAATAAAACACCACAAGCAACTGCAACAAAAGCCAAAATTGACAAATGGGATCTAATCAAACTGAAGAGCTTCTGCACAGCAAAAGAAAATATCATCAGAGTGAACAGGCTACCTATAGAATGGGAGAAAATTTTTGCAAGCCACCCATCTGACGAAGGTCTAATATCCAGAATCTATAACGAACTTAAACAAATTTACAAGGAAAAAAAAACATCAAAAAGTGAGCGAGGATATGAACAGACATTTCTCAAAAGAATACATTTATGTGGCCACAAACATATGAAAAAAAGCTCATCATCACTGGTCGTTAGAAAAATGCAAAATGCAAATCAAAACCACAATGAGATACCATCTCACGCCAGTTAGAGTGGCCATCATAAAGTCAGGAAACAACAGATGCTGAAGAGGATGTGGAGAAATAGGAACACTTTTACACTATTGGTAGGAGTGTAAATAAGTTCAACCACTGTGGAAGACAGTGTGGTGATTCCTCAAGGATCTAGAACCAGAAATACCATTTGGCCCAGCAATCCCATTACTGGGTATATACCCAAAGGATTATAAATCATTCTACTATAAAGACACATGCACATGTATGTTTATTGAAGCACTATTTATAATAGCAAAGACTTGGAACCAACCCAAATGCCCATCAATTATAGACTGGATAAAGAAAATGTGGCACATATACATCATGGAATGCTATGCAGCCATGAAAAAGAATGAGTTCATGTCCTTTGCAGGGACATGGATGAAGCTGAAAGCCATCATTCTCAGCAAACTAACACAGGAACCAAAAACCAAACACCACATGTTCTCAGTCATAAGTGGGAGCTGAACAATGAGAACACATGGACACAGGGAGGGGAACATCACACATCGGAGCCTGTCAGGATATGTGGGGCAAGGCCTGCTGTCTTGCTCCCATTCACCCTCCTCAGTTCAGCATGTGGCCTTGTTGGATTGTTACTTCAAACTCCTAGCCTAGTAGAAAAGTTTATTTTGTGCACGGATTGTAGTTTGGAGGAACTTAGAAACAATTGGTATATGTCAGAAGCAGCCTAAAGACGTGATCAGAGAAGTGTGTCTGCTTATGAGATGCCACACCCTATCCACAAATTATGTATCTAGGTTTACAGGGCAACACTATATACCACAATACAGAAGAATTCTCTTATCATGTGTGGAGTTGTATTTTTATTTTATTTTTTATGAATCTCTGTGATACGATTTGGCTGTGTCCCCACCCAAATCTCATCTTGAATTGTAGTTCCCATTATCCTCACGCGTCATGGTAGGGACCTGGTGGGAGGTAATTAAATCATGGGGTTGGTTTCCCTCATGCTGTTCTTGGGATAGTGAGTAAGTTCTCATGAGACCTGATGGTTTTATAAGGGGCTTACCCCTTCACTCAGTTCTCATTCTTCTCTCTATTGCTGACTTGTAAAAATGGACATGTTTGCTTCCCTTCTGCCATGATTGTAAGTTTCCTGAGGCCTCCCCAACCCTAGTGAACTGTGAGTCGATTAAACCTCTTTTCTTTATAAATTAACCAGCCTTGAGTATGTCTTTAGAGCAGCATGAGAACAGACTGATACACTCTGTGAGCATTAGTTTTCTTTTCTAAAAATGAGAATAATGCCAATACCTACATCATAGGCTTGATCTAAGAAATAAAAAATTCAAACACTATAAATCTAACTGCCTGAAATATAACAATCAATATTATTTATCTTATAATTTATTAGAGTACCATATTTATATTTATGCCTATTAAGGTCTACCAGGTTTCACCAGTGGCTGACTAGTAAAGTTCCTTTCATTTCCCTCTTGGTGGCACTTTGGAAGGGGTTCTCCAGAGGCTCAGTTCCCTAAAAGCTCAAAAATTAATAGGCACTCAGGGTTTCCACCTAAACTTCCATTCTTGGTCACATGGATTTTTCACGTGAATCTGAAATGGCAACAGTGCTGTATTCCCTCATTTACTTAGATCTTTTACATACATTTGTGTATTTTTTACATACAACAGGGCTATATTCCCTCATTTACTTAGGTACATTTATGTTACCTAAAGATAGTGAAAGAGGGTTGAAAGAGGTTGCATATTTCAGGTTGATGGACACATTGGAGTTTAGACAGGTACAAAAACAAGTGTTATTACGTGGAATAGGTTTTATCTTCCTAGTGACTGATATCTTCACTGTTCTTTTCTGTCCTTCCTCATTACCATGATCTGTTTCCTTTTGAATATGATAATAAGTTTCTTGGAGTTGCAGAGATGGGGGCAGACAATGAGATTCAGCCAGCATATTCTTCAGTAATAATAGATAGCCTTTGGGATGTCCCTGGGAGGAAAGGAAGTAGCTAATTCCTGGGCTTTAAGGCTTTATAAAAGATAAAAATTGTGGATTAATAATGGTGATTTTAGAGGTGAAAAATGGAAATAGACATGGAGTCAAGTGGCTGGCATTAAATGAGAACCCTTGCAATAAAGAACAGATATTTTTGAAAGGAGTTATATGGTACATTGTTTGGCATGTGATAAAAATTTTCTTTCACATATCTTTGCCGTATAGTAAATTCTACAATATCTGAAAGTACCTCACACTGAAAGTGAGGTAGTCATACTACATTTGGGATTTTCCAGACAGCAGGAAGATATTATGCACTAAATAGCTGTCAAAGTTTGTTTCTTGATTTTGGTGGATTTCAGCAGAAATACTGCACTCTATGGGGTTTCTCTTAATAAACTCTAGGCAAATATGAAATACTACTTGTTCTACAAGGGAGGGAAGTGTAAATTTTTGTGTGTGTGGAATTATTGCCATCAAATATTGACCTATCATATTCTAAGACATTTATGCACACTAAATCTACAGTAATCGTTAGAATAAACTAGGAATTTTTTAAAAAAACTCCCAAAGGTCAGACCACACCCCAAAGGATTAAGTCAGATTTTAAAAATATAGACAGAGGCACTGGTACTTTTTTAAAGCTTACTGATATCCCCTTTATCATTTTTTATTGCATCTATTTGATTCTTCTCTCTTTTCTTCTTTATTAGTCTTGCTAGCGGTCTATTGATTTTGTTGATCCTTTCAAAAAACCAGCTCCTGGATTCATTAATTTTTTGAAGGGTTTTTTGTGTCTCTATTTCCTTCAGTTCTGCTCTGATTTTAGTTATTTCTTGCCTTCTGCTAGCTTTTGAATGTGTTTGCTCTTGCTTTTCTAGTTCTTTTAATTGTGATGTTAGGGTGTCAATTTTGGATCTCTCCTGCTTTCTGCTGTGGGCATTTAGTGCTATAAATTTCCCTCTACACACTGCTTTGAATGTGTCCCAGAGATTCTGGTGTGTTGTGTCTTTGTTCTCATTGGTTTCAAAGAACATCTGTATTTCTGCCTTCATTTCGTTATGTACCCAGTAGTCATTCAGGAGCAGGTTGTTCAGTTTCCATGTAGTTGAGTGGTTTTGAGTGAGTTTCTGAATCCTGAATTCTAGTTTGATTGCACTGTGGACTGAGAGACAGTTTGTTATAATTTCTGATCTTTTACATTTGCTGAGGAGAGCTTTACTTCCAACTATGTGGTCAATTTTGGAATAGGTGTGGTGTGGTGCTGAAAAAAATGTATATTCTGTTGATTTGGAGTGGAGAGTTCTGTAGATGTATATTAGGTCTGCTTGGTGCAGAGCTGAGTTCAATTCCTGGGTATCCTTGTTAACTTTCTGTCTCGTTGATCTGTCTAATGTTGACAGTGGGGTGTTAAAGTCTCCCATTATTATTGTGTGGGAGTCTAAGTCTCTTTGTAGGTCACTAAGTACTTGCTTTATGAATTTGGGTGCTCCTGTATTGGGTGCATATATATTTGGGATAGTTAGCTCTTCTTGTTGAATTGATCCCTTTACCATTATATAATGGCCTTCTTTGTCTCTTTTGATCTTTGTTGGTTTAAAGTCTGTTTTATCAGAGACTAGGATTGCAACCCCTGCCTTTTTTTGTTTTCCATTGGCTTGGTAGATCTTCCTCCATCCTTTTATTTTGAGCCTATGTGTGTCTCTGCACGTGAGATGGGTTTCCTGAATACAGCACACTGATGGGTCTTGACTCTTTATCCAATTTGCCAGACTGTGTCTTTTAATTGGAGCATTTAGTCCATTTACATTTAAAGTTAATATTGTTATGTGTGAATTTGATCCTGTCATTATGATGTTAGCTGGTCATTTTGCTCATTAGTTGATGCAGTTTCTTCCTAGCCTTGATGGTCTTTACAATTTGGCATGATTTTGCAGTGGCTGGTACCGGTTGTTCCTTTCCATGTTTAGTGCTTCCTTCAGGAGCTCTTTTAGGCAGGCCTGGTGGTGACAAAATCTCTCAGCATTTGCTTGTCTGTAAAGTATTTTATTTCTCCTTCACGTATGAAGCTTAGTTTGGCTGGATATGAAATTCTGGGTTGAAAATTCTTTTCTTTAAGAATGTTGAATATTGGCCCCCACTCTCTTCTGGCTTGTAGAGTTTCTGCCGAGAGATCCGCTGTTAGTCTGATGGGCTTCCCTTTGTGGGTAACCCGACCTTTCTCTCTGGCTGCCCTTAACATTTTTTACTTCATTTCAACTTTGGTGAATCTGACAATTATGTGTCTTGGAGTTGCTCTTCTCGGGGAGTATCTTTGTGGTGTTCTCTGTATTTACTCAATCTGAATGTTGGCCTGCCTTGCTAGATTGGGGAAGTTCTCCTGGATAACATCCTGCAGAGTGTTTTCCAACTTGGTTCCATTCTCCATGTCATTTTCAGGTACACCAATCAGACGTAGATTTGGTCTTTTCACATAGTCCCATATTTCTTGGAGGCTTTGTTCGTTTCTTTTTATTCTTTTTTCTCTAAACTTCCCTTCTCGCTTCATTTCATTCATTTCATCTTCCATCACTGACACCCTTTCTTCCAGTTGATCGCATCAGCTTCTGAGGCTTCTGCATTCCTCACATAGTTCTCGAGCCTTGGCTTTCAGCTCCATCAGCTCCTTTAAGCACTTCTCTGTATTGGTTATTCTAGTTATACATTACCAATCCCACAGAAATACAAACTACCATCAGAGAATAATACAAACCCCTCTACACAAATAAACTAGAAAATCTAGAAGAAATGGATAAATTCCTTGACACATACACCCTCCCAAGACTAAACCAGGAAGAAGTTGAATCTCTGAATAGACCAATAACAGGTTCTGAAATTGTGGCAATAATCAACAGCTTACCAACCAAAAAGAGCCCAGGACCAGATGGATTCACAGCTGAATTCTACCAGAGGTACAAGGAGGAACTGGTACCATTCCTTCTGAAACTATTCCAATCAATAGAAAAAGAGGGAATCCTCCCTAACTCATTTTATGAGGCCAGCATCATCCTGACACCAAAGCCGGGCAGAGACACAACCAAAAAAGAGAATTTTAGACCAATATCCTTGATGAACATTGATGCAAAAATCCTCAATAAAATACTGGCAAACCGAATCCAGCAGCACATCAAAAAGCTTATCCACCGTGATCAAGTGGGCTTCATCCCTGGGATGCAAGGCTGGTTCAGTATATGCAAATCAATAAATGTAATCCAGCTTATAAACAGAGCCAAAGACAAAAGCCACATGATTATCTCAATAGATGCAGAAAAGGCCTTTGACAAAATTCAACAACCCTTCATGCTAAAAACTCTCAATAAATTAGGTATTGATGGGACGTATCTCAAAATAATAAGAGCTATCTATGACAAACCCACAGCCAGTATCATACTGAATGGGCAAAAACTGGAAGCATTCCCCTTGAAAACTGGCACAAGACAGGGATGCCCTCTCTCACCACTCCTATTCAACATAGTGTTGGAAGTTCTGGCCAGGGCAATTAGGCAGGAGAAGGAAATACAGGGTATTCAATTAGGAAAAGAGGAAGTCAAATTGTTCCTGTTTGCAGATGACATGATTGTATATCTAGAAAACCCCATAGTCTCAGCCCAAAATCTCCTCAAGCTGATAAGCAACTTCAGCAAAATCAATGTACAAAAATCACAAGCATTCTTATACACCAATAACAGACAAACAGAGAGCCAAATCATGAGTGAACTCCCAATCACAATTGCTTCAAAGAGAATAAAATACCTAGGAATCCAACTTACAAGGGACATGAAGGACCTCTTCAAGGAGAACTACAAACCACTGCTCAATGAAATAAAAGAGGATACAAACAAATGGAAGAACATTCCATGCTCATGGATAGGAATAATCAACGTCGTGAAAATGGCCATACTGCCCAAGGTAATTTATAGATTCAATGCCATCCGCATCAAGCTACCAATGACTTTCTTCACAGAATTGGAAAAAACTACTTTAAAGTTCATACAGCACCAAAAAAGAGCCCACATCACCAAGTCAATCCTAAGCCAAAAGAACAAAGCCAGAGGCATCATGCTACCTGACTTCAAACTATACTACAAGGCTACAGTAACCAAAACAGCATGGTACTGGTACCAAAAAAAAAGATATAGATCAATGGAACAGAACAGAGCCCTCAGTAATAACGCCGCATATCTACAACTATCTGATCTTTGACAAACCTGAGAAAAACAAGCAATGGGGAAAGGATTCCCTATTTAATAAATGGTGCTGGGAGAACTGGCTAGCCATATGTAGAAAGCTGAAACTGGATCCCTTCCTTACACCTTATACAAAAATTAATTCAAGATGGATTAAAGACTTAAACGTTAGACCTAAAACCATAAAAACCCTAGAAGAAAACCTAGGCATTACCATTCAGGACATAGGCATGGGCAAGGACTTCATGTCTAAAACACCAAAAGCAATGGCAACAAAAGCCAAAATTGACAAATGGGATCTAATTAAACTAAAGAGCTTCTGCATAGCAAAAGAAACTACCATCAGAGTGAACAGGCAACCTACAAAATGGGAGAAAATTTTCGCAACCTACTCATCTGACAAAGGGCTAATATCCAGAATCTACAATGAACTCAAACAAATTTACAAGAAAAAAAGAAACAATCCCATCAAAAAGTGGGTGAAGGATATGAACAGACACTTCTCAAAAGAAGACATTTATGCAGCCAGAAAACACATGAAAAAATGCTCACCATCACTGGCTGTCAGAGAAATGCAAATCAAAACCACAAGGGGATACCATCTCACACCAGTTAGAATGGCCATCATTAAAAAGTCAGGAAACAACAGGTGCTGGAGAGGATGTGGAAAAATAGAAACACTTTTACAGTGTTGGTGGGACTGTAAACTAGTTCAACCATTGTGGAAGTCAGTGTGGCAATTCCTCAGGGATCTAGAACTAGAAATACCATTTGACCCAGCCATCCCATTACTGGGTATATACCCAAAGGATTATAAATCATGCTGCTATAAAGACACATGCACACGTATGTTTATTGCGGCACTATTCACAATAGCAAAGACTTGGAACCAACCCAAATGTCCAACAATGATAGACTGGATTAAGAAAATGTGGCACATATACACCATGGAATACTATGCAGCCATAAAAAATGATGAGTTCATGTCCTTTGTAGGGACATGGATGAAATTGGAAATCATCATTCTCAGTAAACTATTGCAAGAACAAAAAACCAAACACCACATATTCTCACTTATAGGTGGGAATTGAACAATGAGAACACATGGACACAGGAAGGGGAACATCACACTCTGGGGACTGTTGTGGGGTGGGGGGAGGAGAGAGGGATAGCTTTAGGAGATATACCTAATGCTAAATGACGAGTTAATGGGTGCAGCCCACCAGCATGGCACATGTATACATATGTAACTAACCTGCACATTGTGCACATGTATCCTAAAACTTAAAGTATAATAATAATAATAAAAATAAAATAAAGTGAAACAACAACAACAACAAAAATCTTAATGGGTAATTCTAATGTACAACTAAGTTTTAATATCACTACTAAACATTTTGTTGTTGTCCCTGGTATCCAAATAAACTGTCAGTTTTCCTGTTTTGAACAATTTATTGGCAATGAAATAAACATGTCTCTTATTTGAACCTCATAGCCACAGCCATGTTAGACAAAAATGAAATTGTCCTTTATTTAGTTGCACCAGGAAACTGATTTGAGAAACTGTCATTATGAAGTAGCACATTTTATTTTTTGTGCTTTTTATCCTCACACTAAAATAATCTGTAATGAATTCTATAATGTATAGAATCACTGTGAGCTAAAAGACTACTGATTCAGAGTATTAAGATATTTATATATTAATTTGCATTCTGATTCTTAATAAAACTCTTCTTATATAGTTGAATTCTGATCAATCCTATTTAATACTCCTTTACATTTTTAGGGGAGTCATTTTATTGTTTACAATTCACTTTAATAGAGAAATAAAATCTACTTAATGCTTCTATAGCATTGATGATTGAAAATACAAGGAACATCAACATATCAAGTATTTATGATGCATCTGGAAGAAGCAGCAGTATCTGAAAATTACTTCTCAATTGCTATTTTTGCACAACATAATGGGCTGGAATTTTAGTGAAATGGAGCTATTATTTTAGTTGCACTAAATACAAGCCAGTATGTATGTATGCTCGTGTGTGTGTGTGTCCATCAAAATGTTGCAGCCTTGTAGTGAATTTTACTAAATTACAACTATGAGTTCTTTCCTTAATTACACACAAACCATCACTTATATTCCATCCCATCCACGTCAGGCATTTTGGTTCTCAATCTTGGTGGTACACTGAAATCACCTGAAGAGCTTTAACAAATACTGATCCCTGGATCCCACTCCCAGAGATTCACATTTAATTGTTCTGCAGGTCAGTTTGGGCATTAGGATTTTTTAATGTTCCAAGGGGATTGTACTAAAGCACCAAAGTTGAGAACCAAAGAACTAGGCTAAAGAATACAGCATTAACTACTAAACTATGAAACAAATACAAGTTTCTGGTAAGTGCATTTTTAAAATTTCACATCTAAAGTATTTTTTTAAACACACTATTATGAGTCCATATATATGGGGGATTATTCTGAAAAAAATAAAAAGTCTATTTTTTTCTTTTAGAAAATTAATTAAATGAAGTAGGTGCTCGTTAAAAACAAGGTGGAAATGGTAGTAAAAATAATTCTTTTCTATACTGATAATATTCATATATTTATACATGTATACGTGTATACATATATACATGTCTAGATACATATTTACACTCAGAAAATATATGAATATGTATGGATACACACATACGTATTTATATATGTGTAAATATATGTGTATGTGTGTGTAGATGTTTGTTTGCCAACACACATGCAGTAGTCCCCTAATAAGGTTTGGTTCTGTGTCCCCACCCAAATCACATCTTGAATTGTACTCCTATAATTCCCATGTGTTGTAGGAGGGACCCGGTGGGAAATAATTTGAATCCTGGGGGCAGTTTCCCCCATACTGCTCTCACAGTAGTGAATAAGTGTCACGAGATCTGATGGATTCATCAGAGGTTTCCGCTTTTGAATCTTCCTCATTTTTCTCTTGCCACTGCCGTGTAAGAAGGGCCTTTCACACTCTACCATGATTCTGAGGCCTCCCCAGCCATTTAGAACTGTAAGTCCAATGGAACCTCTTTTCATTCCCAGTTTCAGGTATGTCTTTATCAGCAGTCTGAAAATGAACTAATACAGTAAATTGGTACCAGTAGAGTGGAGTGTTGCTGAAAAGATACCTGAAAATGTGGACTTGACTTTGGAACTGGGTAAAAGGCAGAGGTTGGAACAGTTTGGAACCTCCTAGAGACTTATTGAATTGTCTTGACAAAAAATGCTGATAGTGATATGAACAGTAAGTTCCAGGCTGAGTTGGTCTCAGAATGGTAGATCTACCCACCACTTGCACTGTGCATCTGGAAAAGCCCCAGACACTCAATGGCAGCCCATGAAGGCAGCGGGAGGGAGGCTGTACCCTGCAAAGCCACAGTGGCGGAGCTGCCCAAGACAATGGGAACCCACCTCTTGCATCAGCATGACCTGGTTGTGAGACTTCATGTCAAAGGAGATCATTTTGGAGCTTTAAAGTTTGACTGCCCTGCTGGATTTTGGACTTGCATGGGCCCTGTAACCCATTCATTTTGGCCGATTTCTCCCATTTGGAGCAGCCGTATTTAGCCAATACCTGTACCCCCATTGTATCCGTGAAGTAACTGTCTATTTTAAAATAGAATTTTGCTTTCTATTTTACAGGCTCATAGGCAGAAGGAGCTTGCCTTGTCTCAGATGAGACTTTGGACTGTGGACCTTTGGGTTAATGCTGAAATGAGTTAAGACTTTGAGGGACTGTTAGGAAGCCATGGTTGGTTTTGAAATGTGAGGACATGAGATTTGGAGGGGCCAGGGGCAGAATGATATGGTTTGGCTCTGTGTCCCCACTCAGATTTCATCTTGAATTGTACTCCCATAATTCCCACGTGTCATTGGAGGGACTTAGTGGGAGATAATTTGAATCATGGGGGCGGTTTCCCCCATACTGTTCTTGTGATAGTGAATAAGTCTCATGAGATCTGATGGGTTTATCAGGGGTTTCTGCTTTTGCATCTTCCTTATTTTTCTCTTTGCCTCTGCCATGTAAGAAGTGCCTTTTACCTCCTACCATGATTCTGAGGCCTCCCCAGCCATGTGGCACTGTAAGTCCTATAAAACCTATTTTTGTTCCCAGTTTTGGGTAATGTCTTTATCAGCAGCATGAAAATGAACTAATACATCCTCCATTATCTGCAGTTTCATTTTCCATGGTTTCAGTTAGCTGCATTCAACTGTGATCTGAAAGTATTAAAAGGGAAATTCCAGAAATAAAAGATGCATAAGTTTTACATTTCATGATGTTATGAGTAAGATGATGAAATCTTGTACTATCCTACTCCTGCTCCATTCTGTCCAATTCCACCAAGGAGATGAATCCTCTCTTTGCCCAAGGCATCCACACTGTCTATGCTACTGGCCCTTTAGTTACCTAGGATCCTTGTTGGTTATCAGATCAACTATCATAGTATTGCAGTGCTTGTGTTCAAGTAAACTTTATTTTACTTAATAATGCTATAACGCTTCGGTTTTACTATTAATTATTGTTATTAATCTCTTACTGTGACTAATTTATTAATTAAACTGTCATAGGCATGTATATATAAGAAAAGACATGGTAAATGTAGGGTTCAGTACTATCCATAATTTCAAGCATCCACTAGGGGTCTTGGAACATATTCTCCAAGGTTAAATGGGGGCTAACGTATATAATACACATATGACATTAAGTTTTTCAAGTATTTCACCAAAAAAGGTTTAAAAACAGGAAAATTTGTAATATTGTGCTTGAAGCCTCACAATTATAAAAGTTATAGAGCATTACTTTTATTTGAGCTGTGAATCAATCAGGTTCAGAGCTGGTCAAATAAATAATAGAGTGGATAAGAATGATTGAATGTGAATGCACATGTCCAAATTCATGGTGATGTAATTTCAATACTCTGCAGTAAAAAAAGGTGTGTATAGGTGTAGATTTCCTTTTATTTATTACTAGAAAACATAGATCCTTCAAATCCAGGTAGTGTAGCTTTCTTCTGATTGTTCTTACATGTCTGTGTTTTCTTTTGGAAATCCTAATAGTCACATATCCAACTTCTTGGTTTTAGTTTCTATTTCTCTCTCTTTTCTCCTTTCCTGATCTTTATCTCTGTCCCTTGTTCTATTTTCTTAGAGACTTTATCCATTTATCTTTAAATGCTGGTATTGCTTTTTTTCCCCAAATTTTGAAACACACAGTTTTTTTTTCCAAAGATACCTTTCCCTGTGATGTTGGAACTTTTTTTTTTTCATATTGCAAACAAATGAAAAGCCCATGTCTACCTTGGCAGCAGAGACAAAGGTATTTTTCTTATTCTAGTTTACAGATCTTTAGTGAGTGGCTGTTGTCTTCAAGCTTACTATCTTCCAGTTTGAACATATCCAGGCAGGAAAATACAGGTAGAGATTTTTTAAAAGATGTGCGATATGCCATAAGGTCTCCTGTATTTGAAATGTTTATGTGAAATTCTGCTTACATCATTGGCCAAAAGACTGACATTTGTTGATAGTTCCACAAGGTAAAAGAGATGTTTAGATGGTTTTCTGTGCACAGTAGTGCCCTGAACAATATTAATTTTCTGTAATAAAGAGGGTGAAGACAAGGTAAAACATCAACATTGTATACCACAGTCTAATTCATTTTGTACGTAATATATCTGCATATTAATCCAATGGTGCATTAGATTGCAATAATGCAAAACTGAACCATAATAATTGTAATAGTATATTGACTCATTAAGTATCAGTGACTCTTCTACTGAACAAGATACATACAAATCTATATTTTGAGGTTGCTTCCAAGATGGCCAAATAGGAAGAGCTCCAGTCTGCAGCTTCCAAAGAGATCAATGCAGAAGACGGGTGATTTCTGCATTTCCAAGTGAGGTATCTGGTTCATCTCATTGGGACTGGTTGGACAGTGGGTGCAGCCCATGGAAGGTGAGCTGAAGCAGGACGGGGCATCACCTCACCTGGGAAGCACAAGCAGTCAGGAGATTTCCATTTCCTAGCCAAGAGAAGCCATGACAGACTGTATCTGGAGAAACAGTACACTTTTGACCAAATACTACACTATTCCCACAGTCTTAGCAACCTCCCATGCCTGGCTGAGTGGTTCCCATGCCCATGGAGCCTTGCTCACTGCTAGCACAGCAGCCTGAGATCCACCTTCAATGCTGCTGCTGGATGCGGGGAGGGGCATCCACCATTGCTGAAGCTTGAGTAGCTCACAGTGTAAATAAAGAGGCCTGGAAGCAAGAACTGGGCAGAGCCCACCACAGCTCAGCAAGGCCTACAGCCTCTATAGATTCCACTTCTTGTGGCAGGGCATAGTAGAACAAAAGGCAGAAGACAGCTTCTGCAGACTTAAAGGTCCCTGTCTGACAGCTCTGAAAGAGAGCAATGGTTCTCTCAGCACAGCATTCGAGCTCCGAGAATGGACAGACTGCCTCCTCAAGTGGGTCCCTGACCCCCATGTGGCCTGACTGGGAAACACCTCCCAGTAGGGGCTGACTGACACCTCAAACAGGTGGGTGCCCCTCTGGGACGAAGCTTCCAGTGGAAGAATCAGGCAGCAATATTTGCGGTTCTGCATCCTCTGCAGGTGATACCCAAGCAAACAGGGTCTGGAGTGGCCCTCCAGCAAACTCCAACAGACTTGCAGCTGGGGGTCTGACTGTTAGAAGGAAAACTAACAAACAGAAAGGAATAACGTCAACATCAACAAAAAGGACATCTACAAAAAAACCTCATCTGTAGGTCACCACATCAAAGACCAAAGGTAGATAAAACCACAAAGATGAGGAGAAACCAGAGCAGAAAAGCTGAAAATTCCAAAAAACAGAGCACCTCTTCTCCTCCAAAGAATCACAGCCCCTTGCCAGCAAGGGAACACAGATGGACGGCTAATGAGCTTGATGAGATGACAGAAGTAGGCTTCAGAAAGTTGGTAATAACAAACTTCTCTGAGGTAAAGAAGCATGTTCTAACCCATCGTGAGAAAGGTAAAAATCTTGAAAAAAGGTTAGACAAATGGCTAATTAGAATAAATAGTGTGGAGAAGACCTTAAATGACCTGATGGAGCTGAAAACCATGGCAGAAGAACTTCGTGATGCATGCACAAGCTTCAACAGCAGATTCAGTCAAGTGGAAGAAAGGGTATCAATGATTGAAGATCAAATTAATGAAATAAAGAGAGAAGACAAGATTAGAGAAAAAATAGTGAAAAGAAATGAAATAAGCCTCCAAGAAATATGGGAATATGTGAAAAGACAAAATATATGTTTGATTAATGTACTGGAAAGTGATGGGAAGAATGGAACAAAGTTAGAAAACACTCTTCAGGATATTCTCCAGGAGAACTTCCCTAACTTAGCAAGGCAGGCCAACATTCAAATTCAGGAAATACAGAGAACACCACAAAGACAATCCTCGAGAAGACCAACCCCAAGACACATAATTGTCAGATTCACTAAGGTTGAAATGAAGGAAAAAAAATGATAAGGGCAGGCAGAGAGAAAGGTCAGGTTACCCACCAAGGGAAGCCCATCCGACCAACAGCGGATCTCTTGGCAGAAACCCTACAAGCCAGAAGAGAGTGGGGGCGAATAATTAACATTCTTAAAGAAAAGACTTTTCAATCCAGAATCTCATATCCAGCCAAAATAAGCTTCATAAGTGAAGGAGAAATAAAATACTTTACAGACAAGCAAATGCTGAGAGATTTTGTCACCATCAGGCCAGCCTTAAAAGAGCTCCTGAAGGAAGCACTAAACATGGAAAATAACAACCAGTACCAGCCACTGTGAAAACATGCCAAACGGTAAAGACCATAAATGCTATGAAGAAACTGCATCAATTAATGGGCAAAATAGCCAGCTAACATCATAATGACAGGATCAAATTCACACGTAACAGTATTAGCCTTAAATGTAAATGGGCTAAATGCCCCAATTAAAAGACACAGACTGGCAAATTGGATAAAGAGTCAAGACCCATCAGTGTGCTCTATTCAAGAGACCCATCTCACCTGCCAAGATGCACATAGGCTCAAAATAAAGGGATGGAAGAAGATCTACCAAGCAACTGGAAAGCAAAAACAAGTAGGGGTTGCAATCCTAGTATCTGATAAAACAGACTTTAAACAAACAAAGATCAAAAGAGACCAAAAGGCCACTATATAATGGTAAAGGGATCAATTCAGCAAGAAGAGCTAACTGTCCTAAATATATATGCACCCAATACAGGAGCACCCAGATTCATAAAGCAAATCCTTAGAGACCTACAAAGACAATTAGACTCCCACACAATAATAATCAGAGACTTTAACACCTCACTATCAATATTAGACAGATCAATGAGACAGAAGGTTAACAAGGATATCCAGGACTTGAACTCAGCTCTGCACCAAGTGGACCTAACAGATATCTACAGAACTCTACACCCCAAATCAACAGAATATACTTTCTTCTAAGCACCACATCACACATATTCTAAAATTGACCACATAATTGGTAGTAAAACACTCCTCAGCAAATGTAAAGGAACAGAATTCACAACAAATGTGTCTCAGACAACAGTGCAGTCAAATTAGAACTCAAGATTAAGAAACTCACTCAAAAACACACAACTACATGGAAACTGAACAACCTGCTCCTGAATGACTACTGGGTAAATAACGAAATGAAGGCAGAGATAAAGATGTTCTTTGAAACCAATGAGAACAAAGACACAACGTACCAGAATCTCTGGGACACATTTAAAGCAGTGTGTAGAGAGAAATTTATAGCACTAAATGCCCACTAGAGAAAGTAAGAAAGACCTAAAATTGACACCCTAACACCACAATTAAAAGAACTAGAGAAACAAGAGCAAACAAATTCAAAAGCTAGCAGAAGGCAAGAAATAATTAAGATCAGAGCAGAACTGAAGGATATAGAGACACAAAAACTCCTTCAAAAAATCCATGAATCCAGGAGCTAGTTTTCTGAACAAATCAACAAAATAGATAGACCACTAGCAAGACTAATAAAGAAGAAAAGAGAGAAGAATCAAATAGATGCAATAAAAAATGATAAAGGAGATATCACCACTGATCCCACAGAAATACAAACTACCATCAGAGAATACTATAAACACTTCTAAACAGATAAACTAGAAAATCTAGAAGAAATGGATAAATTCCTGAACACATACACCTTCCCAAGACTAAACCAGGAAGAAGTTGAATCTCTGAATAGACTAATAACAGGTTCTGAAATTGAGCCAAAAATTAAGAGCCTACCAACCAAAAAAAGTCCAGGACCAGACAGACTAACAGCCAAATTCTACCAAAGGTACAAAGAGGAGGTGGTACCATTCCTTCTGAAATTATTTCAATCAATAGAAAAAGAAGGAATCCTCCCTAACTCATTTTATGAGGCTAGCATCATCTTGATACCAAAGCCTGGAAGAGATACAACAAAAAAAAGAGAATTTTAGACCAATATCCCTGATGAACATCCATGCAAAAATCCTCAATAAAATACTGGCAAACTGAATCCAGCAGCACATCACAAAGCTTATCCACCACGATCAAGTCGGCTTCATCCCTGGGATCCAAGGCTGGTTCAACATACGCAAGTCAATAAATGTAATCCATCACATAAACAGAACCAATGACAAAAACCACATGATTATCTCAATAGATGCAGAAAAGGCCTTGGACAAAATTCAACAGCGCTTCATGCTAAAAACGCTCAGTAAACTAGGTATTGATGGGATGTATCTCAAAATAGTAAGAGCTATTTATAACAAGCCCACAGC
Organism: Homo sapiens; assembly: GCF_000001405.40. Classification (NCBI taxonomy): domain Eukaryota; kingdom Metazoa; phylum Chordata; class Mammalia; order Primates; family Hominidae; genus Homo; species Homo sapiens. Next base: position 41,326,488 of record NC_000014.9, on the reverse strand, counting down.
CAATATCATACAGAATGGGCAAAACCTGGAAGCATTCCCTTTGAAAATGTCCTCTCTCACCACTCCTATTCAACATAGTACTGGAAGTTCTGGCTAGGGCAATCAGGCAAGAGAAAGAAATAAAGGCTATGCAATTAGGAAAAGAGGAAGTCAAATTGTCCCTGTTTGCAGATGACATGATTGTATATTTAGAAAACCCCATCATCTCAGCCCCAAATTTCCTTAAGCTAATAAGGAACTTCAGCAAAGTCTCAGGATACAAAATCAATGTGCAAAAATCACACGCATTCCTATAAACCAATAATAGACAAACAGAGAGCCACATCATGAATGAACTGCCATTCAGTTACCACAAAGAGAATAAAATACCTAGGAATCCAACTTACAAGGGATGTGAAGGACCTCTTTAAGGAGAACTACAAATCACTGCTCAATGAAATAAAAGAGGACAAAAACAAATGGAAGAAGATTCCATGCTCATGGATAGGAAGAATCAATACTGTGAAAATGGCCATACTACCCTAAGTTATTTATAGATTCAATGCTATCCCCATCAAGCTACCACTGACTTTCTTCACAGAATTGGGAAAAAAACTACTTTAAAGTTGATATGGAACCAAAAAAGAGCCTGCATAGCCAAGACAATCCTAAGCAAAAAGAACAAAGCTGGAGGCATCACACTACCTGACTTCAAACTATACTAAAAGGCTACAGTAACCAAAACAGCATAGTACTGGTACCAAAACAGATATATAGACCAATGGAACAGAACAGAGGCCTCAGAGATAACACCACACATTTACAACCATCTGGACTTTGACAAACCTGACAAAAACAAGCAATGGGGAAAGGATTCCCTATTTAATAAATGGTGATGGGGAAACTCACTAGCCATATGTAGAAAGCTGAAACTGGATCCCTTCTTTACACCATATACAAAAATTAACTCAAGATGGATTAAATATTTAAATGTAAGACCTAACACCATAAAAACCCTGGAAGAAAACCTAGGCAGTACCAATCAGGACATAGGCATGGGCAAAGACTTCATGACTAAAACACCAAAAGCAATGGCAACAAAAGCCAAAATAGACAAATGGGATCTAATTAAACTAAAGAGCTTCTGCCCAGGAAAAAGAAACTATCATCAGAGTGAACAGGCAACCTACAGAATGGGAGAAAATTTTTGCAATCTACTGATCTGACAAAGGGCTGGTATCCAGAATCTAAAAAGAACTTAAACAAATTTACAAGAAAAAAGCAAGCAACCCCATCAAAAAGTGGGCCAAAGATATGAACAGACACTTCTCAAAAGAAGACATTTATGCAGCCAACAGACATGTGCAAAAATGCTCATCATCACTGATCATCAGAGAAATGCAGATCAAAACCACAATGAGATACTATCTCACGCCAGTTAGAATGGTGATCATTAAAAAGTCAGGAAACAACAGATGCTGGAGAGGATGTGGAGAAATAGGAACACTTTTACACTGTTGGTGGGAGCGTAAATTAGTTCAACCATGGTGGAAGACAGCGTGGCGATTCCTGAAGGATCTAGAACTAGAAATACTATTTGACCCAGCAATCCCATTACTGGTCATATACCCAAAGGATTATAAATCATTCTACGATAAAGACACATGCACAAGTATATTTATTGCGGCACTATTCACAATAGCAAAGACTTGGAACCAACCCAAATGTTCATCAGTGATAGACTGGATTAAGAAAATGTGGCACATATACACCATGGAATATTATGCAGCCATAAAAAAAGGATGAGTTCATGTCCTTTGCAGGGACATGGATGAAACTGAAAACCATCGTTCTAAGCAAACTGTCACAAGGACAGAAAACCAAACACCGCATGTTCCCACCCATAGGTGGTAGCTGAATAATGAGAACACATGGACACAGGGCGGGGAACATCATACACTGGGGCCGGTCAGGGGGTGGGGGGCTGGGGGAGGGATAGCATTAGGAGAAATAAGTAATGTAAATGACAAGTTGATGGGTGCAGCAAACCACCATGGCACATTTATACCTATGTAACAAACCTGCACATTGTGCACATGTACCCTAGAACTTAAAGTATGATTTAAAAAAATAAATACAATCTATATTTTTCATGGAGTGCCATTCTAGTGGGGGAAACAAAGTCAATCAATCAATCAATTATACATAAGGATGTTATAAAATGGGACCAGAGCATGTAGAAATTGAAAGTCAGGGTAAGGAATATTGATTCTATTCTATATGTGAATATTTTTGTTTGCATTTGCCCTTATTTGTATTCATCACTTAGCAATATTTTTGTCAGCTGCATTTCCTACATTAATTTTCACTGCTGTCTAATTTTTTTTTGTTTAAGTAAACAACGGTTTATTTAACTTACCTGTTCATAGACACTTGAATAGTTTCTAGTTATTTTTTTCTTTTAAGAACTACGCTGCTAAGAATATTCTTACACATATCTGTTAGTTTAGACATTGCAGAGATTTTATAGGACATGTCTTTAAGTATAACCCAATGATATGTAGTTTTAGTGACAATGACACATCCTTTCCAACATGGAGCTTAATTTTATACTTTGAATAAGAGTAAGAGCCACATTTTGTTCTAAATTCTTACCAACATTAGTAATTCTCAGAATTCTAAATTTTTGTCAAATCTATGCATGTAGCCATAGTATGGAATTTTTTGGGAGGGTGGTTAAATTACTTTTCTTTACTACTAATGAGGCTGAAGATCTTTTGTGTGTGTGTGTTTGCCCTTTTTGTCTTAGAAAAATCAAATTTTTTATGTAAAATTTCTTTCTTTCTTTCTTTTTCACATTTACTGGTTTATTATAAAGGATATTACAAAGAATGAAGAAAGATGTAGGGCAAAGTATGGGAGAAAAGGTAGGAAGTTTGTGTGCCCTCCCTGGGGCGCTGACCCTCCAGGAACCTTCACATGTGTACCTGTCTGGAAGCTCTCTTAATCCTGTCCTCTTCAGTTTTATAAAGGCTTCGTTATGTAGGCATGATTGATTAAACCATTGGCCATCGGTGATCAACTTGACCTTCAGCCCCTGTCCCCTCCCTGGAGGTTGCAATGTGGGGCTGAAAGTCCAGTCCTCTAATCCCGCCTTAGTCTTTCCTGTGACCAGCACCACCCTGAACCTATCAGACAGAAGACACACAAAAGACAGCACTTTGGAAATCCCAAGGATTTTAGGAGTTATTAACCAGGAACCATAGATGAAAACTAATGAAAACATACACACACACACACACACACACACACACACACATATATATATATATATGTATATATATATATCTCACCACCACAGGCCACCCCCTGGTTTTTGGCCATGGATCTTTTACATCAAAAAAATATACAGAACCATTCATAATTAGTCCACTCCACCACATTGTAAGAATGTCTGCCAGGGTGAGGTTACTCATGCTTATAGGCTTCCTTTCAATCTTGTCAGATTCCAAAAGTAGGAGTGGTCTCGGCAAATGTGTATCTTCACCCTTTCAGGCATCTGGAATAATTACGCTGAGAGACAATATCATCTCTTGCTTTGAGACTCTTTCGAGTTGTTAATATAATATTGAATTTTCCTCAATTAATACTCAATTTATTCATTTCTTTCCTCTCAGCTACTGTTTGTCCTCTCTGTTAATATCAGGCTGATGTCCTCCAATTCAATTCTGACACTATCTACCTGCAGGTAGCATCAGATCCCACACGCTGAAGGCTTAGTCCTCAAGACCGTTCCCAGTCCCTGCAGACACCAGTCACAAGCCCAGGCCTCCAGAACTTCTGAGCCATTGGCTTCAAGTTCACAACCCCCTCTTTGAGTTTGACTAATTTGCTGGAGCGGCTTATAGAACAGGGAAACACTTAGGTTTACGAGTTGATTATAAAAGATTATCACAGAAGATACGGATGAAGAAATGCATAGGACAAGCTATGTGGGAAGCGGAGCGAGCTTCCATGCCCTCCCTGGTTGTGTCACCTTCCAGGAACCTCCACTTGTTCAGCTATCTGGAAGCTCCTCTTTCTGTCTTCTTCTATTTTTCTAACAGATAATGTATTTTACCTGTAGATTTTCAGGAATTCTGTCAATAATCTGAATATCAACATTGCTAGTTATCTGTATTGCAGCTTGCATTTTTGCTTCAGTGTATCCTTATCAACAGAAGTTCTTAATGAAATAAAATGTACTGTCTCTTATTACCCTCAGTACATTTTGAAAAGTATTTAATAAATCTTTCTCATACTGAGATTACAAAGCTATTCTGCTATACTTGTAAATATTCAAATTTTGTCTTCCAGGTTTAAAATGCTAAATCATTTATTTTGATTTGTAGCAAATGGCATGTTGCATAAGAATCAAAATTCATATAATGACTATATGAAAAACAAACTAATCCAGAAGTATTTATTAAACAAACTCCTTTATTTACAATCATCTTCAATTCCAGCTCTTTCACATCTACTATTTTAAATAGAAGTAAATTTATTTCTGCACAATCTTTGCTGTTCCATTGGCCCATTTACCCATTCGTGTGCAAATACCACAGGATACTTAGCACTGTAGCTCTCCCTAAATTTTACTATCTGCTATGACAAATTTATGCACCTTGCTCTTTTTCAGGAGCATCTTTGCTCTACCTGGCCCTTACCCCTTCTATATGTCTAGTCTTTTATTATTTAGGTCCTTAATTTCTCCCAATCATATATTTTAGTTTTCTATGTAGAAATCTTACATACCATTTGTTGTATTTATTATTATCTGATTATGTGTGCTATTATAAATGGTTCCTATATTAAAGCATATTTTCTATTGCTGATGGTGTAGAAAAATAATTTATTTCTGTGAGTTCACAAACATGCCATGCTTCCATCAAATTTGCTATTATTTTATTAACTGCAAAATGTTCTCTGAAACATTTTTCTACATTCACAATGATGTCTTCTCCAAAAAGTTATTTCTTTAAAATAATTTTCTGTCCTTAGATGTTATATCTCTTTGTTTTGCCTTAATTCACCAGCTAGGACCTTCAGGCCTGGTTTCATAGAACTATTTATTTCAGGTATCCTTGTCTTATTATGAATCTAATAGGAAAATTATTTAATAAATCATAGTCAACCATTTTACTTATGATAAGTATATCTTAGACATTATTTGTCATATCAAAAAACTTCTCTTCTGCCTTCAGAGTTAGGTATTTTTACCAAATGTACTTTTTTCTTCATGTATTGAAATAATCATATATTTGTTTCCATTTCTATACAATGTTAATCAACTCATTTTTGGTGTTACATCACTGTAATATATCTGGAATAAACTCAAAATTGCTTGTGATACCTCGTTCCTAATTTAATGTCTTTTGTGATTGTAAGTAATTTGTAAAAATGTGTATTTTCAAATTGTTGTTTCTTGAAATATAGACATAAAATTGATATATAAATGTTTACTCTGTATCCAGGTTTAAGGATTTAAATTTTCTAGACCATATGGACAATTTGAAGCAGTTTATGCTAATGCTGCTATAGTCTCAATTTGCTCCAAATACTGGCATGCAGCCTTTTGGGGTCACTACCAAAAACATAGGAGTGTTCAACAGAGTTTCCATTCCTGGAGGCCCTATTGTTTCTAAAATATGACCCTATACCCTTGAGAGACTGCATACTTGCTGCTAATCCTTTTACCTTCCTCTTCCTTATCAGCTAATACCCTCAGGCTCAATGCCACCCAAATGCTGGGCTCATCTTTACAGATTTATATTTTATGCCACAGTTGGCTCAGGAATTCTTCACTACTGTATTACCATTCTGATGTCTTAAAGCATTTGTTTGCATATATATATATATAAATAGCCTATCTCTATCATGAGTGATGGTCAAAATTATGTTCTTTATTGTACATTGACATTGGATCTTGTAGTCTTTTACTTTCAATTATTGCATTTTTATATTTTAGTGTTCTATTCATTTTTCTAATCTTGATGCCAATATTTATGGCCTCCTCTTTTTGCATGTTTTTATTTCATTTTTTTATTTATACACCGTTATTACATATTCTGTATTTAAATATTCCAACATGTCTAATATCTAGGCATGGTACTAGATCTGCTTTTTTATGTTTATGCTCATTAATTAGAGTTTGTTCATTGTATGTTTTTGGTAAGTTTTTATTTTGTTGATGTAATCTCTGGTGTATAGAGGTCCTAAATTGTGGATGATATATTCAAGAGAGAATGCTGCTTACTTCTGTTGGAAAAAAGTAGATATTCCTATCCTAGAAACAGTTATCGCTCATGGAGGACTCCTAGGTTAATGTTTGAAAGTGGGGGGATGTATTCTCCTTATTTTAGTGAGTCATTGTCAATCTCATTTTTAGCCTTATTAATCCTTACACTTTAATGGATTTATTTCCCATTTCTCTCTTGCCATACTTATTAGTGATCCTAATAATTAATGAAAAGTATTCTTTACGGTAAAAATAAAATACAGTTATATTTAGCATGATAATCCATGTGCATACTAGCCAGAAGCAGAAATTGAAATTCTTAATCTTTCAAACAATTTATCTGTCTTTACATAATCTATAATTACTAAATACTGAATAAGGAAGAGTAGCTTAGTCAGTGGCCTTTTCCCTGTCAATATGGAATAATACTTTATTAATTCTTTTTGGTCTATTATTTAGTTAAAGAAAAATATAATGTTAAAAATGTATGGCATAAGGAGTTAATGAAGTGTTCATATATTATTCCTACTTTTAATATCTGACTCAAAAATTGAACAAAAAATTGAAGAAAAATATTAAAATTAATACTGATCTTATTAGGCTTATTGATGGCATGTTTGGTTACTTTTAGTTTATTTGAATATAAGTCAGAATCTTAATAGCATAAAACTTTGGTTTAAAGTTTCTGAGAGAAGATCAATCAGTAGAGCATTTTAAAACCCCTATCTGTAGCATGTATCAAATACATATTAAAATTTAACAAAAAAAGAAGCATTGTTTTCCAACTTGTGTTTTTGGGGGTTATGATAATTCTTTTACTAATATGTTAAGTGATACTGAATGAATTAGCTGTTGAAACATTAATCTCCAGGACAGAAAACACTTGAAATAAAATTTCTGTATTTTAAAATGCCTTTTAGAATAGGAAGAATGGAAAACTGTTCATGTTGTTAGACCATCTAATTTAATCTGAGTTGTGATTGTTTGGGGCAGCTAATGTAATTAAAGTTGATGATGTCTAAAATTCTGTTGACTTAGCATACACAGTTACTTTCAGTCAGAAATTTTTCTTTTGTAATATCTTATGGGTACCACTTATGTATTGTTTACATTTTGGACAACTCCAATAGTATCAGTTACTTATAGTAATGTTAGTAAATAACTTTGTCAAGAAGAGTTGTATGTTGTTTAGGAGGAGAAAATGGAGAAACAGCAATTGGAAATAATGATGAGGCTTTTAAAATTAAACTTTTAACAAAAATGGGAAAGGCACAAAAATGGACAACAGGCCCAGGAATTATGTTATGCTGATGCCTGCGTGAATGGAGCTCTCATGGGGACCATGACAAAGTCAGCCACGTCATGAACAGCTATATGAACAGTATAATTAAAATGCCAAGGGATTCCAGTGGAGGTGGAAATGGACTTTCCTTGTTGATTTGGAAGAGGTTACAGTTCAGCTGAGGCTTTAAAGGAGTAAGATTTTTCTGAGTGGAAGGAAGGGTAAACAATTCCAGCAGAGGGAAACACAGCCAAGGCATAGGCTTATGCCTCAAATGCAATATGCATGTATGTGTGGAGTATGGGGAAATGCAACTAGAGACAGTAAGTAAACAGATAAATGGTAGATTGAGGCTAACCAGGAGACAATTGAAGAAGTTCAAAATTTATTCTCAAGATTTTAATTTTAGATGTTATTCAGTTTGATGGCCACCACTAACCTTTCGCTTCTCATATTAAAACCTCCCTGGGAAGAGGGAGAGACTGCAATGGATGACACAAAGAAAGTAAACGTTGGATTGAGGTAGACACATAGTGAACATGGTGGAAATATTTAGTCTGTGCTGAGCTAAATATTTCTGAGAAGTATAGAACTGAGACATCTAGAGGCTGAATTGGCTGGTGATAAAATAGCAGCAAATTACAAAATGTAACTGAAGAAAGATAACTCTGATGCATAGGGAATGTCTTTGATGAACTTTTGGCATTGGAGTTCCTAGAGATAACTTGATTTTTATACTTCCCAAGATACCAATGTTAGCTCTTTTTTGGAATGTTGTGAGAATTCCCTACTTTAATATGCTTTAAACATTTTTAAAAAATGTTTAGGTGTTTAAAAAACATTTTAATCCGGTTAGATTTGGTTTTTATTCTTTGCAACTAAAATATTTCTGACTAGAATTATTAATAAAAATTATTGAAAAACAAACAAGCAAATAATATGATTCTTTTTGAGTTTTGAAAAGATACTCTTGAATTTACATGTTCACATTAAATTAAGTTTTAAGTACTATGCAATATACTTCCAACTCTTATGTACCTAACTTACAAGTGCCAATAAAAGTTATCCTCCTTTTTTGCTGTCAATTCTGCCAGAGACATCAAAGGTTACTTATATATTCATGCATTTGAGAATCAACTATCAAAGCTTATTTTTTAATGCCAGCCTCTGTTCTTCATGTTGAATAAAAAAAGATATCAAGAAAGTAGGAAGTATAAAAAACAGACAAAAATCTCTGCTCTCAGAGAGCTCCCAGTTGAAAGACAAAGTGTTTGAGAAAAATTAAATTTAATTAACGATGTATTTTTCAAAAAAATTTTTTTCAACTGTAAAATTTAAATATAGGATTTATTATTCTTCATTAGAACTGGCATAACATGGTTTTGGTGGTCTTCAAGTTTGGCTTTTTTATCATTAGGTAAATTACTATGTTTTTCTTTCTTTCACTTACTTCATCTAAAAATAAATAATTAGACAAAATAACTTCAAATAATCTGCAACATTTTGTGGTAAATTATTCTTGAGATGATTTAAAGAAAATATAGTTATGACTTGACATCATTGTGCAAATAAATATTGAAATTATTTTTGAAATTTCAATTTTATTTGGTCAAATAACCTTGACATTACAAAACTTGTCAGTCAGGGAATACAATATTTAGTCATTCCATGAAACAGTCAAGAGATCACTTTCAATCAGGTCCACGGCTTATGAAATGTTAATCATAATTAAATTTTAGGTATTTTAAGTTTCAAAAATTAGTAATCTCCAAGATATAAAACAGTAAAATTTAGCATAAAAAACAATTATCCCTTATTATTATGTAGGTTTAATTCCAGCTTTGAAAATTTCTTCTTCAGGATATTCATGGGGATGGTTATTATAATCAGTAACTGAGTTATTTTCTCTTATATATACCACAGACCTCTTTAAAATTATATGTATCAATTCAACAAGCTTGTAATTTTATCTCAAGCATATGCTCTCTGTTTTTAGTGAAACATAATGCTACTTAAAAGCTACTTCTATCTGAATTTCTGTTCCTAGTGTTATTCTTCTGTTACTCAGAAATGTTGAGTATTCAACTCCAAGCACCTAGCTTATTTCACTTAAGCTCATTCTTACTTGACTTTAATTAGAGATTTTCATACAGGTATTCTGTATTCAGCTACAAGACCAGTTCTTCAGTTCTTTGTGAATAATCTCTTGCTTTCTATAAGCTCTTATTACAGTTTACAGACATTTATTGATGTTTTACATTGTGAGTGTGAAATGCAACTGTTCTCTTACAGTAATTTGTCTTTCTCTGCACTGTGATATAATTAATGAAAGCTTACTTTTTGTGTTAACAAGATAGTTACATGAAAATGCTAAAATGTTACATGCATGTAATTACATTTTAATACATTTTTCCTTTAATAAGTGATAAATTTTAAAAATTATTCTAACAATTTTTGAGAAAGTAGAAAATGTATAGAATGTGACATTAGGTTATCTCTTTACTTAGGAATAAGATACTTTGATTATGATATCAAGCACCAATATTGTGATATGTTAAGCTGCTGATTTCCCTCACCAAATGTATTGTAATTTTGTTAGTAACATCACTTTATGTTCTTTAAAATGATACATTGTTCTATCTCTTCTTGGTCTTTAGTATGGGGCACTGAGTTAATCTCATCAGGAGTAGAGCTGCTTTGGGAACTATTTTTGCTACAGTTACCCTCAGAATACCATAGGCTTCAAATTTTGCTAGTGTTACCTTGTGTTTATTGTGATGGTTGGTGTGCCAGAAGATTTATCTCAATGTGTACCTACCCTTGGTTTTGAGTCTTTCCTTTACACTTCCACTTCAGGGAATATTTTTTCCTATTGTCTTAGCTCTTGTTTAGCTGCAAAGTCTTCATGAGTGGGCAAGTTCTCCTTGCTTTCTGATTCAGCCTCAGATTTAAGCAGATACTGTGTCTCCGGATTGTCAGGGGTGAGATCTGCCCTCATAGAGCAGAGCCTAGAACGTCTAGACAGAGTGCCTCTCTACCAGCATTTTGATTTCAGCCCATTCAAACTGATTTCAGACTTCTGGCCTGAAAAACCGTGAGAGAATGCATTGCTGCTCTTTTAGTTCAACATGTTGTGCTAATTGTTACAGCAGCCCAGGAATATAATACTCATGTAAGCAAGCCATCTTGTCCTGCCTTTTCTTGGAAGCTCCTAGCTTTCCTTATATTTCAGATTAGCTGGTTTGTTCCAAGAAAACTTTATTAAAACAGGCAGTGGGCTGGCTTTGGGTAGTAGGCAATAGTTTGCTGAGCCCTGGTATACATCATTCCAGACCTATAATTATGTAAGTACATAATTTATTTATGCACATGTGAGCATGTTGCACAGAAACATATATGGAATGTCTGTGCATTATTCTGATACTTGGTACGTTAGTTTAATAATACATTTTAGCAGCATAGATGAAATTCAGCAGCAGGATGAAAGAGAGCTATGGTAAAGTGAGAAAGAAGACCTTGTCTCCCTTTTGGTTCTGTACTGTGTTAAATTGCTACCAGTCATTGTTAGCTGTACTTGAATGACTAAATTAATTTTTAGTGAAAATGCTCTTTTAGTCTGTACTCAGAAATCCCTTTCCCTTCAATTTATATAGAATTCTATGAATTTTGGGCAGAAAATAAAGTTACTGTGACATATTATTTCTGTCTGCTCAAATATATGATGCCTGACTTCCCTTCACCTTGATATATATATATGTGTATATATATACATATATACATGTGTGTATATATATACATACATACATATATATATACATATATACATGTGTATATATATATACATATATACATATATATAACATATGTATGAAAATTATACATCATTTCTTCCCACCTTTGGGAGCTTCTTGGCCTCAGATACCCATATAGTTATAACAATCCTTTCCACTAGTTTAGCAGGCACATTAAATTGTGAAACCTAGCATAAGCAGGACCTGAGTACCTTACACATAACAATGACTATTTAATTTAGTATGTTTATTTTGTGTTTTGCACCTTTATACAACCCTACTAGCTCAAATTATTTTTATTGGATTTATTGAGAAATTTACCTATGTAAATTTCTTGTATACCACTTTCTCAACTCTTTTTATTTGAAGTTTAGGTATTAGTCAGAAGTTTAAGAACCATGCCAAATATGTGTGTAGAAATTTTGCTTTAGGAATATCTCGATGATCCCTATAATATCATTATTAGCTGTATTGTTGCTTTAATTTTGTTATTTTTTCCATGTTATATGATATTATCTTCAATTTTTGATAGATCTTTTTGGATTCATTTTTTATCATATACTGAGATTATCTAATTTTCTTTGCCAAAATAATAATGTAAATTTTATTTTTAAACTATAATTATAAAACATACTTCCAATAACAGTATAAACCTTTACAAGCATCACTACTAATTTTCAAATATGCTTATGAATTTGACTTGCATCTTTAAGTTGGTTGTTGGCATATTTATTCACTGAGTGATGTTTGTGTAGGGATGTGCATTTCTTGTTCATATTTAGAATCAGAGATATTCTGGCATAATGGGTCTGATTAGGAAGATTGTTTTCTTCTCTATAATTTGAAAACTTGCAATAATTTAAGTAAGAAAATTATGTCTTCTAAGACAGTGAATTAATTTTTCTGACAATATTTGTGAAAATGTTTCCAGCTCAAGTTATACCCTGTTGGGAAAGTTTTCCTTAAAGCTTAGCATTTGTTAGTGCTCTTGATTTCCTGAAGCAGTTGCTTTATGTTACCTTCCTTCTAAAACCCATATTTATCATAAACATTCAAAGAGTGATTAACCAAGACCCAGTGAACACAACAGTAAATTCAAAATCTATTGCTCTTCCCATCTTACAGTAATGACACAGCCATTTATTGTTTAATAATTATCACCTCTATGGTATGTTTTACATATTTTTTTTACTGTATTTCCATTTAGCCTAATGTTACAACTGCATAATTCTGAAAGTTCTTCTTGTCAATAAAATATTCAACTAAAATTTTAGATTCCAAGTTCCTGCATTATCTATCTGTTTATCTAACTACTAGTCATTTTTCTATTTATCCAATCATCCAGCCATCTGATTTGCAATGCTTTATCTGGTCCCATAATTTTGAGAACAGGGGCTAGAGGCTGTTACTTTGCATTATAATATCTAGCAGAATTTGCAGCACATATCAAGCCATAGTAAATGTTTGATGTTGAGAATGAAAAGAATCTATGTTTATGGAAATATGTTTATTGAAACTGTACATGACTTAAATTATGTAAACTTCTTGAAAACCAAGCAGCAGAACATCTGTTCTGGTGTGGGGCTTATTTAGCATAGTTTTTTATGTTTTCAGTTGAAAACTTTCTAAATTACAGGCAACTTCCTTGTGAGAGTGAAAGCTATTGTTATAAAAAACACTGTTTATTCATGTTCTTAGAACTCATGTTTAAGCAATATATAACAAGGCATATTTGGCAGCTGCAAAGAAACAAATTTAAATATCTCCCAATAATAATGCTTAGTAATATGCACAAAGGAGAAATACATTTCATCACGTGGTTATCCATGCTGAGTGATTAAACTGAACCAGCTGTGATAAAAAGGACTTATCATTTATAACTCAAGCTCAGCAGTCTCTCTCAAAAGTGTGTCTTCAATTAAAAAACTCTTCTAAGGCCAATGTAAAGGAAAATTTTTCCCATAGATTCTACAAATTGCTGGCTATGATAACTAGTAATCAGTAGCATTTTAACAAAATATTAAAACAATGGTCTATAAATTATTTAAGGCCAAATTAAGTGACTATACATTTTAAGAACATGATTCTTGAGAGGCATCAAGTATATTAAGTTTATTAAAATAAAATGGCTATTTAGGTTAGGATAGTATATTAGTCTGTTTTCACACTGCTGATAAAGACATACCTGAGACTGGCAAGAAAAAGAGGTTTAATTGGACTTACAGTTCCGCATGGCTGGGGAGGCCTCAGAATCATGACATGAGGTGAAAGGCACCTCTTACATGGTGCCAGAGACAGAGAAATGAGGAAGAAGCAACAGCAGAACCCCCTGATAAACCCATCAGATCTCATGAGACTTATTCACTATCACTAGAATAGCACTGAAAAGACCGGCCCCCATGATTAAATTACCTGTCCCTGGGTCACTCCCACAACATGTGGGAATTCTGGGAGATACAATTTAAGATCAGATTTGGGTGGGGACACAGACAAACCATATCATCTAACCCCTGGCCCCTCCAAATTTCATGTCCTCATATTTCAAAACCAATCATGCCTTATCAACAGTCCCCCAAAGTCTTAACTCATTCCAGCATTAACCCAAAAGTCCACAGTCCAAAGTCTCATCTGAGACAAGTCAAGTCCCTTCCACCTATGAGCCTATAAAATCAAAAGCAAACTAGCTACTTCCTAGATACAATGAGGATACAAGTATTAGGTAAATACAGCTGTTCCAAATGGGAGAAATTGGCCAAAATGAAGGGTTTACAGGGCCCATGAAAGTCCGAAATCCAGCCAGGCAGTCAAATATGAAAATTCCAAAATGATCTCCTTTGACTCAAGGTCTAACATCCCAGTCATGCTGATGCAAGATGTGGGTTCCCATGGTCTTGGGCAGCTTCACCCCTATGGCTTTGCAGGGTACAGTGACCCTCCCAGCTGCTTTTGTAGGCTGGAATTGAGTGTCTGGGGCTTTTCCAGGTGCACAGTGCATGCTGCCTGTGAGTCTACCATTCTGGGGTCTGGAGGATGGTAGCTGTCTTCTCACAGCTCCACTAGGCAGTGCCCCAGTAGAGACTCTGTGTGGGGACTCCAATCCCACATTTCTCTCTCGCACTCCCTAGCAGAGGTTCTCCATGACGGCCCCGCCCCTGCAGCAAACTTTTTCCTGGGCACCCAGGCATTTCCATACATCTTCTAAAATCTAGGCAGAGGTTCCCAAACCTCAATTCTTGACTTCTGTGCACCCACAGGCTCGATACCATGTGGAAGCTGCCAAGGCTTGGGGCTTCCACCCTCTGAAGCCACAGCCCAAGCTGTACGTTGGCCACTTTCAGCCATGGCTGGAGCGGCTGTAACGCAGGACACTAAGTCCCTATGCTGGACACAGCAGAGAGACTCTGGGCCCACTTTTTCAGGCCGGGCACGGTGGCTCATGCCTGTAATCCCAGCACTCTGGGAGGCCAACGCAGGTGGATCAGGAGGTCAAGAGATTGAGACCATCCTAGCCAAACATGGTGAAACCCTGTCTCTACTAAAAATACGAAAATTAGCTGTGTGTGGTGGTGCGTGCCCGTAGTCCCAGCTACTTGGGAGACTGAGGCAGGAGAATCGCTTGAACCCAGGAAGTGGAGGTTTCGGTGAGCCAAGATGACATCACTGCACTCCAGCCTGGCAACAGAGGGAGACTCCATCTCGGGGAAAAAAAAAAAAACAAACAAAAAGAAGAAATCACTTTTTCCTCCTGGGGCTCTGGCTGCTGTGAAGGTCTCTGACATGGCCTAGAGACATTTTCCCCATGGTCTTGAGGATTAACATTAGGCTTCTTGCTACTTATGCAAATTTCTGCAGCTGGCTTGAATTTCTCCCTGGAAAATGGGTTTTCCTTTTCTATCACTTAGTCAGGCTTCAAATTTTCCAAACTTTTATCTCTGCTTCCATTGTAAAACTGAATGCCTTTAACAGCACCCAAGTCACCTCTTGAATGCTTTGCTGCTTAGAAATTTCTTCTGCCAGTTACCCTAAATCATCTCTCTCAAGTTCAAAGTTCCACAAATAATCTAGGGCAGGAGTAAAATGCCACCAGTCTCTTTGCTAAAACATAAGAGTCACCTTTGCTCCAGTTCCCAACAGTTCCTCATCTCCATCTGAGACCACTTCAGCCTGGATTTTATTGTCCATATCACTTGTCAGCATTTTGGTCAAAGCCATTCAACAAGTCTCTAGGAGGTTCCAAACTGTCCCACATTTTCCTGTTTTTTTCTGAGCCCTTCAAACTTTTCTAATCTCTGCCTGTTACCCAGTTCCAAAGTTGCTTCCACATTTTTGGGTATCTTTTCAGCAATGCCCCACTCTACTGGTACCCACTTACTGTATGTATTACTCCATTTTCATACTGCTGATAAAGACATACCTGAGACTGGGAAGAAAAAGGGGTTTG
Organism: Homo sapiens; assembly: GCF_000001405.40. Lineage (NCBI taxonomy): Eukaryota > Metazoa > Chordata > Mammalia > Primates > Hominidae > Homo > Homo sapiens. Next base: position 41,310,718 of record NC_000014.9, on the reverse strand, counting down.
ATGGGACTTAACAGTTCCACCTTCCTGGGGAGGCCTCAGAATCATGGTGGGAGGCAAAAGGCACTTCTTACATGGTGGTGGCAAGAGGAAAAATAAGGAAGACGCAAAAACGAAAACCCCTGATAAACCCATCAGATTCTGTGAGACTTATTCACTATCACGAGAATAGCATGGGAAATACCAAGATTCAACTACCTCCCCCGGGTCCCTCCTACAACATGTGAGAATTCTGGGAGATACAATTCAAGTTGAAATTTGGATGGGGACATAGCTAAACCATATCAAATAGTATCACTAAAAGTAAAATAATTGTTTTCTTCGTAGGCTGGTTTTATAAATGTTAATTTGGTTTTTGAGAAATGCCAATTTTATTATTTAATAAATTACAATAATCAATTACTTTAAAAAGAGATAAAATGTTATAATCTTTATAAATGGGAACATCATAGTAGTTCATAGCACAGACTCTGAAATCTCAGCTCCCCCACCAAAGATGTGTTTTTTTGTAGGCTGCTTACTTAGCATCCCATGCCTTGGTTTTCCCACTTATAAAACAGGCATGATAATAGAAATAGTCTCATTAGGGTTGTTATGAGGATTAAGTGAGTTAATATTTTTGAAGTGATAGAAAAGGTGTCTGGCACACAGAAAATTATATGTATTTTAAAATATTCATATATAATCACCTTTCAACCTAAGTATACTGTAACAGTAATAAAAAGCAAGCATTTAAGCACATTTTCTATCATTAATAATATGATGTACATAGTTTTTTTCTTTTTTTAATTTTTTGAATTATAAAATTGATTTGTAGCAAAAAAAGGGGATAGAAAATACAAAGCACTTTCAGGTAATATAAATCATCCATGATTCTCTGCTATAGATAATAATTACGTAACATTTTTGTGTTAATTTCTATTTTTTCTATGCATACTTTGTTACATATTTGATATAGTATGTTATATACAACTTTGTGTACTTTCTTTTTTACTTAATTCTAAATTAAAGGCATTTATCTTTAAATTTATTTCATCTCTTGATAAATGAATGCATTCATTTCATTATAAGGATACATAATTATTTACTTGACTATTCCTATTTCGAGAAAACATTTTTTTCAATTCTATAACATATAGATAATAAAAGCCAATGTCTTAATTCAGACATTAGATTATTTTATTAGAGTAGATTATGAGTGAAATGCAGAGTTACATAGCCTTTCAATGTCTTAGCCATAAGTGTACTTTTGGTAGGTTCCCTTTTACTGCTCATATAGTCTATACATGCCTGTATCAAAACATCTCATATACCATATACACCTAATATATACCCACAAAAATTAAAAATAAACATTAAAAAAAGTGGTGAAATACCGAGAATCATTGAGTTTGAGAAGAAAGCTTCTAAACTGGGAAAGTGGTTCCTTAATTTTGCTTGGCTCTTGGGGAAATTGAAGTCCAAAAATAAACTCGTTTTCATTGATAATCTTTGTAGTAACTTGAAAACAAAAGATGCCATGTAAATGAACAAAAAGAAGACTTTGCCATACCCATGAGAAGCGAATATTTTGTAACTGACTATTCAACTTTGTTGAATTTGAAAGTAGTCTCTAAAAGAATTGGCAGCTATATTTGCAATGTCTTTCTTTTATTCAATAAAATGAAATATCTGTTTGTGTTACCAAAATCAATTCCCCACTTTAAAGCTATAAAAGATGCAGGAAAAATATCAAGCAAATTAGTACCAGCATTAAGAAGATTTTTGCAACTGAAAAAATTGTAACAGAATACTGGAGTTATTTTTATAGGACTTGAATGTCAAGGGTGCATCATCCACTTGGACAGTGTGACTGTTGACAACAGTACTTACCCAACAGTGGAAGTGCTGGATGCCCCAAATGGGCCATTATTCCAAGCCATTCAAGTCACATAATTTCTGGTTTGACATCTGTGCTGGGATCTCACACTGTTTGCAATGCTTGTAAATGTACCACATTGAAGTTGAGAACTGATTGTGATCTTAACAAAGTCTATGAGATAGTCTCCAATTCTTAAAATTTGTAGATCTGCCATCTCTGTCATGATCCCATCAAGTTCATTTTTATGGAATATTTCTTAGGATATATTCCATGTGATGCTTGGCTATTCATGGTATGAGATAAACTCCAGCTATACATAGCATTAAGGCAAGGTATAGGGCTGCTGGGTAGGGAAAGAACCAAAGATCTTTTCAATGAGAAAAACAAATGTAATGCTTTTCTGTAACACTTGTGTAAATCAATTACAAGAAAAAATATATGTTAAAATCTGGTCAGTTTTAAATTTATGATTTCTGATAACATCATTTTACAAATTTATTTCTCATGATTAAATTAAGTAAATTACTTTGAAGAGAAAAAGGATTACTTTTATTTAAGTGATGAGTTATTAAATGGGGGTTTCATGTTGAATAGCCATTGTAGTAAAGAGTCAAGGATTATAAAATTAAAAATATATACACTTTCAATTCTATCAATTTTAAAAGTTATTAGGCTTAACTTGAGATTGCTATTTTTCTATAAATTTGTAACCATAATAAAATATATAACTTAAAAAGTTATTGCTTCAATGTATAAGCATATTTGGGTCCAGCTAATCTGAGCCACCACATACGACCTGTGCAGTTCAAGTGGGTGAGATACCATGTGTATATCCCAAGGCATAAAGCCTGACTCTGTAGAATATGCAATACATTACCATCCTTGTATGTGGTAACCCTAAAGTTAATTTTAGCTATAATACTAAAAGATTCTTAAAAGCTTGGTAAAAATGTTCTTACTTGTCATTTAGGGAATTTCTACTCCAGAAGCTATGAAGTCTCTACTGATATTATAATTTTATGCTCCTTGAATCATTTTAATCAACTCACATTACTGATTGCCACAGGAGTATGTTAAGCTTTGAATATACAAAGATGAGATAGACACCACACCTTCATTGAAGAACATATTGTCTAAAAGAATTACTTTAATAAAGTGATTAATACAATGATAACTTTAAGAGCATAGGAGATGCACTGTTTGCCTGACACAGTGAGTTTGGGGGTTTTGCAGGAGGCCTGAATTTCTGAGATAAATATCAAAGGATGATACAAGAAAACAAACGAAGGAAGGGCATTTAAAGAAGAAGAAAAAGCAACACTGTGTGTAAAGTTATGGCACTACAATGCACTTGGTGGTGCTTGAATACAGATTGTGTGTTCAATTTAATTATTTAAAAGGGGAAACGTGATAAAGGACACTGAAGAACAAAGCACAGAATTTGTGCTCCATCCTCTATGATAAATAAGCATTGAGAAGTTTTAGTAGGTGAGTGAGAGTTTCATTCTAGCCTGAAAAAGAAATTTATAAAGAGCAAGCCTGGAAAGAGAGAGCAGTGGGAAATTATGCAGTAATCCAGGTAGGAGATGATGAAGGCCAGACTGCTAATATGAGGAAAACTGAGTCGAAATTTGGCTTAAAAATATTTGAGAGGTAAAATTGACAAGGATTTGTGTTTCATAGATTGCTAATGTTTTATAGGGTAGACACAACTCAACAAAACGTCAATGACAGGATTTAAAGAATGTGAAAGTAAACTAGTCAGATGGTACAAACTGAAGTGTTTTTAAATAAGTGGATCTCAAACTTGGATGCACAAAATAGTCACCCGGGGAAAATAAAAATATTGAGGTTTCATTCTCTCTCAAGGCCAATTATATAAGAATCCCTGGTGATAGGATTCTGGCATCTGTGTTTTTAAAAAGCTTCCCTAGTGGTTCTAATGTGTACACAGCATTGAACACCACTGCTATCTAAATCTTTCTCCAGATGTGATTTTGACTTATAAAACAAGAGAAGAATAAATAGAAAATAAAAATAGCATTAAGAACAAACTTGTATCCGGTAGTTATTACAGGCAGAATATAAAGCTGTGGTCATACCTTATGATAACCCTCTGAGGTAGATATTATTATCCACATTGTATAGTTAGAGGAACTAAAGTGTAGGGTGTATAAGTAAAACTCACAAAGTCATTGAGGGATTAGGTAACACAGGCTAGACTTAAACAGAATCTGTCTAATTTTACATTCCATATGCTAAAATTTTAAATTGCTTTTTCAATGTATCTAAAGCCATATAATTGCTATATGGTACAATTTATTTTACATATTTTAAAAAGTATACATTCTTGGCTGGGCATGGTAGTTCATGTCTGTAATCCCAGACATGATTTGATTAATTAATTTTAATACAATTAAAAAAATATATTTTCAATTCTATCAATTTTGAAAGTTATTAGGCTTAACTTAAGATTGCTATTTTTCTATAAATTTGTAAACATAATAAAATACATAACTTAAAAAGTTATTGCTTCAATGTATAAGCATATTTGGGTCCAGCTGGAGCTGGGAGGCCGAAGCGGGTTGATCACCTGACTTCAGGAGTTTGAGACCAGCCTGGCAAAAATGGCAAAACCCTGCCTCTACTAAAAACACAAAAATTAGCCCGGCATGGTGGCACATGCCTGTAATCCTAGCTACTCTGGAGGCTGAGAGAGGAGAATCGTTTGAACCCAGGAAGCAGATGTTGCAGTGAGCCAAGATCGTGCCACTGCACTCCAGCCTGGGCAACAGAGAAAGACTCCATCTCAATAAATAAATAGATAGATAAATAAAAGTATCCATTCTTGAAGTGTTATTCCTTTCTCCTTGTAAAATTTTGGAAATTCTATGGTAATGTTTAATAACTTGTTCTAGGATATTTACAGTAAATAGAAAAGTAACTTTGGGGGAAACAAATGTTTAGCTGATAAGGGAGTTAGCAAAAGAAAATGTCAATTCATAGAATAGCTGCAGACACTATAAAAATACAGATAAGTTAAAAGAAGAACATAGAAACTGCCCTGTCCAAATCAACTAGAATTAACTCTGCCATTGGCTTGGCACATTTTATACCATATTTCCAAAAGACGTGTGAAAGCTTTGTGAAATAAATTTTTTTTGTTTTGCTCACCAAATTTGTTATAGTCAAGGAACAAAAACTGATGTATGAAATATCTTGAACTGAACATTCTGTATCAAATTCCTCTAAGCAGAGTGCATAGTAACAAAACTCAGTTTTATAACTCCCCCAATTTCAAGGAAATTCTTTTGTAGTATCTAGTTAAATAAATCCTTGCCATTTGTTGACTTCTCTGCTTCAGAAATATTGATTATATTATATGTTAAATTTCCTTTGTCTTCCATATGTATTTCTTTATTTTTAACTGATTAATTAATTTGTCATTTTTCATCTCTATTCACTGTGACTTTCAAAGCCCTATTTGGAATAATTCTGTTTTCAGTACTGTTGCAATTATCTGTACTGTTAATTTGAATTTATTTTTTAAGTATTTGATGATATTGTCTTCATTCTTAATATGTCTTCTTAAGTTTGGAATTTTACCTTTCATATTAATTTTTAATTAATCATCTCATGTTAAGAACTTATGCTTTTTATTTCATTGACTTACAAAAGTTTCTTGAGTTCCTTATTTTTCTTGTTGTGGCAACCTTTATGTATATCTTTTGTTTCTTCTTTTATTTCATATTGCAGTATTTTGAACATTTTCATTTTATATCTTTTTATATTATTTGTGCTTGCATGTTTCTGTCCATACATAATCTTTCATAAACTTTTGGTTCTCTTTTTAAGGTATCTCAGACTAGTTTGACTTTCCTTTCAATATACTGTGAGGGCAAGGAATTTTGTGTTTTATGACCTTCTTGTAGCTAAAGAAAAGGTAATATGAGAGGAGTTTGCTCAGTGAGGATGCCTGTAGACTACCTGGATGCTTCTCTGTTTTCTTACTGGGTTAATTTTAAAAATATGTATATAATGGCACTACAAACATTTGTTATGTACCATATCCTTAGCATTTGGATTATTCTGTCAAGACTTCATTTCCTTTTTAGAGAATCAGAATCATTATCTGTATTCCTGATCTCCCAGCAGTCAACTTCAATAGTCCAAACACATATAGGCCTCCATCTAATTGGTTCATCTTAAGATGTTGGCATGTTACGGAAACTTCACAGATTTAGTCACCTCCATAGTGTGGATTTTGAGGAGTTGATACACATTGAGGAGAAGTCTTTCTCTGGCTCTGTGTGCCAGTCCAAAATCATTTATTTATTTATTTGATCCTCTTTTTAAAAAGTTAAGTATATTATCTTTCTCCCCTAACCTCCATTTTTTAAAAAAAATTTGGTAGATGTTGGTATAGTCCTTTTTCATTTCTGTTTAGTCTTTTTTTGAAGTGTTTCATGTTGCATGAATAAACTTCTATAAGATGTTTCTATTTTTGAATTTCCTTTTTCTTTGAGATGTAAACACATATTCCTAGTTTTTAAAGAAAATAATTTGTTGAGACTGAGAGTTTTAAACTGTTGAGGCCTATAGGGGCTACACAAATATTGCCTGAGCAGAAGTTTTAAATAATGAATATAAATGATAGAGTTGACTTCATACTAGATGTGGACTTAAGTACATTCCAAGAGGTGGTGAGAAATATGAGGGATTTTATAATTGATCACTTCACTTATAAAATAATATAGAACATTTAATGGGGAGAAAAAATTGGGTTATGGTAGGTGGTGAAATGAATTGAAGGAAAAAAAGAAAAAAAACCAGGAGAAATAGTACAAACTACTGTTTCCAGAAACTTGTGTTTGTAGCTTTTATCTCTCCTTTACCCTCTTACTTATGCAGGGTATAAAAACATTTTAACCTTTTTGTTTGTTTTTCTTTGTTTTATTTTTATTTTTGTTTTGTCAATATTTCTCTTTTGCTCTGTTCCTTATTAACATGCTCAATGCAATCTGGGGCTTCAAACAGTCGATGGCCTCCCTGCAAGTTGAGGCAATCTCAATAAATATTGAGGTATTGCAACATTAACTCAATTATTCGACTGAATGGAGAAGAAGCACTAATGCAGTTCAGAAAAAATAATTTGTTTGCTTTTGGGATGTGATAATGATATTGCACAATAAAACGGTTAATTTTCAGAGACAGATTTGCCTAGATGAGTATTAAAATTAATTGTTGTCACTAGAGCACAGGTTCAATAATGAAATGGGAGAATAAAAATAAATTGTATTTTGCTTATAATTATTGAGAAATAAAACAAAATATTTTCACCTAAAATGCATATCCAGGAAATATTAAAAACAAGATAAATTACCTTTACATATTAGAAAATACAGTTTTCAAAATATAAGAACAAAGACTTGTTAATATAAGACAGAGCAAAAGGTGAATCTGATTTTGAGGAGTTTAAAAAAATTATCTTTCTCATAATAGGCAAAATTACTGCCATTACTTGCTTTTGTTGTTAATGTGTATGGAAACGTAAGAATCACATTTATTTCAACTGTGTGTCAGGATTCAGAAGACTGAAACATAATCAAATGCATTTATTTATTTTCCCTTACTGTTGTCTGAATTCTTGCTTTATAGTTTTATGATGATTAAAATTATGATTAAGAAGAGGGAGACATCATTAACTGGTCCAGTGGCTCTGCAGGTTTTTTTTAATACCCTGCAGTGAATCTTTGCACCTAGATTTGTAAAGGACTGATTTCCACAAGAGTGGAATATGTTGTCTAAGTTTTTATTCTAGCATCTGGATGAAGCTTCAAGGCATTTAATGTGATCTCAAAGCCATTCATCCATTGCAACCCCCTGTTGTGACGAACAATGAGAATAGAGAGCTGTTTCTTAAGCTTGAGGCACATATATAAGCCACTTCTCCTAAATTTTTTATTTGTGTACAACTTGAATCATTCATTTAAAATATTTTGTAAGTTTAAATTAATCACCTTTATAAGATACGAATGGAATATGCTTTAAAAAAACTGTATTCCGCAAGCTTTGTGTGCACATACAATGAAACAACAACACATTTTTGTATCTGTATAGACACTATGGAAAAACACACTTCTGAAATCTGCTTCAATGTGCAATGAGAATAGATTGATTATTTGTGGTTGAGATTATTTTTCATGGTGTCAGGGACTATCAGTACTTAGCTTCTTTGTCCTGATACCATATGGATCAGTGTCATGAGAAAACAAACAAGTAACTGAAACAAACTTGCTGAAGATTACAAGTGAAATGCTTTACAATTAAATATGGAAGAAATACTATCTTTTAGTATTCTTGAGTATTCTTTTACCGTATTTTGACATATATGCATATAGTCTGTGCTTTATGATGAAGTATTTTGCAAGTGAATGGTAAATATGTAGGTCCTATGAAGGAAGAGGTAGAAAATTATTTCAGAGAAATAAAGAAAGAAGATCATGAAAGCTTGCAATTATGTGCTGCAAAGTTTGATCGTTTGTTTTGGTAAATGGAGATTTACTAAGTTTAGAAACAGAAGAGGCACTTATATGGTTAAATTTACATTTCTGACAGACCTTTCACTTGCTTATGTTGAGGATAGATATATATGTAGTGAGCCTAAAGGTAAAGAAACTAAAATATGAATGTAACAATACAGGTGAAACATTGGGGATTATGGGCAATAGAAGCTCTAATCAGAGGAAGGTTAAATAAATATAATTAAATGGATTTATTAACCATTAATTGAATGGGAGAGGTCCGTGGAATAACTCCTGTGATTTTGGTCTAAGTATTAGAAGAATGCTGTTACTACTCACAAAGGAAATTGCCTTTGGAATATCATATAGAGATATTTAGTAGCAGTTTATATGTGTCTAAAACATAAAAGACAAAGTAAAAACTAGCTCTAGAACCATTCACCTATGGGTAGTAATATACATTGTGTGTTGTCTAAAGGGCATACAGAGTAAGAAAAAAACTAAATATGAGCTCCATTGATAAATGAATCACAAATAAGAAATACAACTGAATTTATAAAATTATAAAATTATTTCTCCCTCGAAGTTTATATATTAATTTCTATTTACTTTTTATTGTCTTACTGAGTGATTTCCAAGACACTGGTCCTCTGATAAGGGGCACATTGTTTGGTCTTTGTTTCCTTTCATCCTGTAAGTAGGTTTTCCTGGGAGCCTACTCAAAATTTTGATAAGAAAGGATACTTTTCTGAATGTACTAATTATTTTTTCTGAAAGTTTATTTCTCCTATTTATACTATGAGATGAGTGCTAAATGGAGTCTTTTTCAGTGCCGAGGTTAGCAAAAAGTGATAAACAATATCATATATGCTAAATTATATTGCTGTAAAAACTAATCTTCAAATCTCAGTGACTTAAAGAAAAATGTTAATTTCCTCTTTAGGTTAAATGCCAATGCTCTGCCCCACATCACCATTACAGCAGAAGCTTCTGATGGCTCTCACACAACATTTACGCTCACTTATATTGCTTAAAGCAAGTCTCATAGTTAAACTTGATGGCAGTTGGTCAGATATACAGAATCCTTCCACAGGGAGAGGGGCAGCAAACATTTTAAACAATACAATCTGCCACACATACTCTGCTTATTTACATAATCGCATTATTAAAGATACCTCAACAACATTCCCTTTTCTACCTGCTTTGTTCCTCCCTGAAGGGAGGTGAGGGGATTTCTATTTCTCTCCTCTCTATCTAAAACTCTATAATGGCCTAATATAGTGGTATTTTTTTTTTCCTTTAATATACAAGTAAAGTTTAGAGGACTTGCCTGGTTGATGCAGTTAACACAGAATCACATCACAAGTCATTAATCTGGATTTTGGCAGTGCTTCATTTTGTTTAAGTCTACTTCCAAGAAGGGATATAATTCTCTAAGCTGGGCTCTTCCTAATATTTTAAAAGATACTGTATGCAAGAATAAGAAATACAAATTTTTTTTAAATATCCTATTCATATAAACATCATAGAAGCTACAAACAACATGGCTCTCAAAAATATATGCATTACCATTAAATGCATTTCTTTAAAAAATAATACATTTCACTTCAACAATGAAATATTGCTGTGCAAGGGAAAGCAGTTTAAACACAACAATGATTCCATATATTCTCTAATAATTCAAGAGGTTATGAATACTATAAAAACAAATGTTCTTCCAAATCAAGAACAACTTATATTCTAGCATCAACAGGCAGGAATTTTATAGGGCTACTTATTTAAATTTGCATTTAATAAAGATTTATACTTCAGCATTACATTATTGTAAATGAAGTATTTCAATTTTTACAAAAATAAAATATTTTATTAAGTACATTAAGTCAATATTCAGTACATAACTATTTAAACTCCATTTTTATCCAAATTCAATGAAAATACCAATATCTAAACATTAATGGGATTCTGCATAGACTTGCTGAATATTCAACATATTTCAGATAACTAGATAGAAAGGAATGCGTTGGATAGTTGAAAAGAGCTGCTTTATGTTTAGAGGAGATATGTTATAACTTTGAACAGAGAATAAAAAAATGTTACTTGTTCACTCAGCAATTATTATTGAGCTGTTATAAAGTGCCAGGTATTGAGCGTAAAAAAAAAAAACATCAACTTGTGTAATTCTAGCCAGTGTGAGGTAAAGCCCATACCCCCTAGCGGTAATTTAGGAAACCACCTTCTTCCAACATTTGAGTTACCATGGTCCTAGGCATCAAGCCAGGGGAAAGAAAAATGGCATAGAGTATGGCAAATGGAAACTTTGTATGGAAAAGGCCTTAAAGTGTATAAGTACAGCTAATTATAAGAAAGGCTGAGAAATATCATATAATTATGTGCCCACGAAGTAGAAAAAGAACCCATCTCTGCCACAATGATGAATAAGACATAGAACCTTAAGTTTAAGGCATTCACAATCTGTTTCATAAGTTGGCAGATAAAAAGATATTATACAGAGTGATGAGAATTTTAATAAATATATGTAGATGAAGATGGTACAACAGAGAACATGTTCAATTTTTTGTTGGGAAGCTGGAAAGAGTTGGTAGGAGTGGAATGCATTTGAGAAGTTTATAGGGAAAGTGATTCTTGAACTAAATTTTGGTAAACAATAGATTTTCACCAGTCAGATGGGGTCAGGGGGAAAGAAATTTCAAACACATAAGAAAAAAGCACTGGAGCATGAAACTTTACGTTATGATACACATAATTGTTTATGTATTTGGAATAATATGCAACAAAGCTTTATGCCTTAGATTATTTTTGGTCTGCAAATAATATTGTTGTTCTTGCCTGATTTAGGGATACATTTATTTGACATACTTGTTTGTCATCTTTTATTTTTGACTATTCTCAGTTCTTTGTTTTAAATAAATCACTGGTAAATAGCATATAGTTTGGATTTATGGTTTTAAATTAATCTCAAGACTTTATTTCTTATGAAATTGAATTAAATGCTACAACTTAAATATTTGGAAATATACTACCTTGTTTTGTATGTGTGCATTCTTATAATTTACATTTTTATGTTTCATGTGAACTAAGTTAAATATTCTTATATGTCTGATAGTTATTTTTAAAGTGGTGGTTATCTGTAAACAATCAAACACATTTATGATTATATAATATATATTTACATAAATAACTTATCAAAGGATGAAACAAAACTATGTCATTTGACATTTTGTCATATGACACAAACAATTTAGCATCCATTTTATTTTCCTGGAACCTACAACTTAGGATTCATAAATTAAAATGAGACTATAATTCGATATTTTGATATATCATCAATTTTACCACCAATATGATTTTTTTAAAAATTATCTTTGATTTTAAAATTTAATTTAAATGAATAATAATCTTCACACAATTTGTTTTACTTATCTCTACATATTACTTTGATATTAATTTCAACCCATGTAGACATCTATTTTACTACTCTCTAGTCCTTTACTTTTCCATTTTTTAATATTTTATTTTGGAAAAGAAGTAACATTAAAATCGACGCTTTAGGTATATAAACGTAACAATAAAAATTTAAGATACTGCCCTCATTCTGAAAGTTTGAAGAATAGTTTTGCAGATCTAATTTACTTACCCTAAGCCCTTAATTTTTTTTCTTCAGTTGCCCACAGCTCATGTTCAGTGTCCTCTCCAAAATCTGTATCTAATTGTATCCAATAAAATTACTTTCTTTATCTGAATTATCAACTTCTTTTACTGATAGTCTTAATACTTTTATAAACAAAGAGCATAGAAACTCAGACAGCATTGCATGACGTAGTGTAGGAAGAATCCCATAATTGCAGGCGTGGTATCTGTTAAAGGAAATTTTACTAGTCATTACCCAAAGTTTTATTTCTTTAAATCCTGCTGTTGTCTGAGATTTCATACATGAAGTTAAATAGTATTGTTGAATTACTTTATTCTGCTATTAGCCATTTGTTTTTATGAACTAAATTTTGTCTCTTGGACAGTCAGTCCAACGTTTCTCCTGGAAACATTTTTTCGAGAAGAAATGTTGGACTGCATGTCAATAAACTCTTGTCATTTTTGTGAATAAAACTAAGTAAAACTGTGATCTGTTCAGTCTCTGGTAAGCTTCCAAGATGAATGATTCAGAGATACCTCCAGAATTAAACACTCGCCAGTGAATTTCCTCTTTGGAGGTATTAAAAATGGAGATATTCTTTTGAATATAAAATGGCCTTAGTTAGCTGGGTTAAAAAAGTAAATCTTTTGAAAATCAAAATTATGCAGTAGTATTTTCTGAATTAGGATCAGGTTTTACAACTCAAACATTAAATATTTTATTCTATTTCAATGCACAGTTAGACAGATTCCAATAGTGAAGAATGTCATTTTCAGCACTAGCAAGAAGATACTTAGCACATGTTAATTTCCCAAAGTAAAGGTTCCTTATTTTCTCAGCTCATTGACAGAATGTGTATTTAAACTCCCATGCCTCTGAGTCTCGTATTGTGACGTTTTCCTCAAAACTGTCAAGAAGAGCCATCTTGTGAGAAACAAAAGTTTGTTGCTCTATATTTCTGGTAACTTTCCACAAAGTCACAGTTTCTGCAAACAGCTTTTTTCATGTATCATAATTATCTGTTAACATTCACACTTCAAAGTGCTCATCTCTACTAGCTGAAACAGAGGTGGGGTTTTTAACATTTTTCTGTATTACAGAAACAGAAAGATATGTTATCAATTTTTGTGCAGCATGTTAAGTTTTATGTTAAGAATGGACAGAACACTTATTTTCTTATTGTGTCCTTGATTGCATATGCAAGTAAAGCTTCATTTCTATTTTATTTTATTTTATTTTATTTTATTTTACTTTATTTTATTTTTTGCCGTTGTCCCACTATTCCAAGAAGGCTTCAATGACAGCTAAATGCAGTCTTTGCAAGTCCAATTTGGATCAAACTAAAATAACTGATATATTTTTACCATGTACCCATAATTTACATAAGTCGTTGTCACTCTGGAGAGAAGAAAACCACAGGTTCCAGGTCTTCTGTTTATCACCAAAGCTTTAATTATTAGATAAATTTTACAACTAGTAAAGATATCACTGTCTTCCACAATCAGAGTGAGATATAGAACAAACACCCTGCAGATAAGACTAAAAGATGACTAATAATATCTGCTAACTCTGAGAAAAATCTCGTCCCTGTAACATCTTGCCACTCAAAAAGTACAAATTCACAATGGCCACTTGGCTGACTGGTTACTGGTGATGTAAAACTCAAATCCATGACTACATCATGGTGTCAATGTAAACATGTGTATGTGGGCTTTTTATGAGCACCAAAATTCATTCAGTGATGATATTTGCAATTAATATGACCCACTGCTATGCAGTTTCACTTTTGGTGAAATGCTTCATAAGTAAATTTATTCTTGGTACTTATATATTCATCATTATCATCTTGATAACAATAAAGAACATTTTAATGTTTTAATTTAAAAAATCAATGAAAGTTTGGTACGGTGGCCACATATTGTCCTCATTTCTAAAGGTAATACATTTATGTTACCTGGTTTGTGTAATCTAAAGTAAAGGAAACTCTTTAGCTTGTTTTTATTGTCTTGATGATTTTGGTAGTTTCATGAGAACTAGCTGAAAGCTATCTGGAGCTTCTTTATTTATCATAAAAATATAGATACCTATTATAGGTAAGAGCAAGAAAGATATGTTGCTTATGTACAATATGAAAGTCTTTATGGGACAGTCCCACAGCTAAATTTTGACCTCAGAGGAAAAAGTGTACAGATGTAGATAGTTTTTAAGGTAAGCTGGAATAGGGTCACCAAACTGTTGCGACTCTGCAATATGTGTGTATACAGTCTTCTATAGATGTACCTTTGTTATAGAGACCCAGAAGACATATCTGGATATTACTCTTACGTGGCAGAACAATGACAACCCGTAGAAGCCTCAGTTATCTCCTCTGATTCATATGACAGCATCAACAATAGACCTTTCAATTATAATCTGCACAGAACATCATCTCAATATTCTGCTCCCTGCTACCACGAAGAACCCCACAGGGGTTCTCATCTTGCACTACATTTGCTGAGGCACTGTTACTTCCATTCTCAGTTTTGATCTGATTAATCATTTTGTTTACTGAAGAATGTTATTAGGGTTTAATCTTTTATTTGAGGAAAGATACTCATCAGTAGCATCTTTTCTAAAACCTTCTACAGCTGTCATTATTTTTTCTTTATTTGCTCGCGATAACTTATTTAGTTATAGAATCCTTGAGATGTTACACTTTTCATGCTAAATATTGTAAATACTGATGATACTGTCGAATATTTTCTAGAATTTGATGATGTAGTTAAAAACCTTGAAACCATTATAATTCCACTTTCATATTGTACATATACACTTTGGGACTAGATGAAAGATTATTTTGTTTAGACTTGAAGTCACAATTGTCCAGTATAGGAAGTTTTTCTTCCATTTTTCCTGTGATTATCAATTTTGTTTAATATATTGTTTTTTCTTTCAGAAAACTTCCTTTCAAAACTTGAATAATTTACACCTAACAGTCTTGCATTATTTCTACTAGTATTTTTACCACTTTATTTTTCTTTGAATTCTTAGAAACGTTTTAAATTTAATATTTAAACAATTTTCAGTGATTCAGTTTTCATTTACCATTTTATCAAAGCAGATTTTAAAAAAAATGAATACTATGTTAATTTTATATTTTCATGCTAAAGTCTTGTGTGTGATATTCAATGCATATTGCAAGGTGTTTTGGAAAAAAGACAGCGAGCTTGTTTATAAAGGTGCTTCTGCAATTTCTGAAATAATATGCAGTAAAGACTTTAGAATAGTTATAATTAAAGTAAATTTTGTGATTGCCTTACTTGGTAATATTGTATTCCAAAGACATTTTAGCAAAACATACTTTCATATCCATTTTCTTATTTAGCTGCTAATTATGGTATTCTTTAATAAGGATGAAGAATAAGTATACTTGTAAGGTCAGTGTATGCTTAGTAATGGACACAGTTCTAATTCCATAAGAGACATTTCAGGATGTCTCTTAACTTGCCCTTTAAACGTGTGAGCTCTTTTTTTAAAAAAGTTAAGAAATAGTCTTTTTCACAAATGCGGTACTGAATATCCACATGCAAAAGAATGAATTTGGATCCCCAATCCACAGAATACAAAAAAAATTAACTGCAAATAGATTATGGAGCAAAATGTTGCTAAAACTTTAACTCTACTAAGAAACGGAAAAGTTAACTCACAGAATGAAATACAATATTTTCAAATAAAATATCTAACAATAGACTTACATTCAGGATATATAACAAAATCATAAAACATAACAAAAAAGACAAATAACCCAATTTAAAAATGATAAAACAATATTTGAGTAGACATTTTCCCAAAGACTTACAAAAGGTACACAAAAAGGTGCTCGACTTCATTAATCATTACTTAAATGTAAGTCAAACCACATTGAGGTACAACTTTGTATTCATTAGGATGGCTGTTGAAAAGACAGATAATATAAAGAGTGTGATGGCAATCTGGAGAAATTGAAACCCCATACATTACAAAATGGTGCAGCCACTTTGGGAAAAGTTTGGTGGTTTTAAAACCTATTTTTTCCCTTCCAACTCTTAATTTAGGTTTAGTAGGGTACATGTGCAAGTTTCTTTTGTGAGTAAATTGTGTGTCATGGGGGGTTGGTGTGCAGATTATTTCATCACCCAGGTAATCAGCATTGCACCCAACAGGTAGTTTCTCTATTCTGACCCTTCTCCCACCCTTTACCCCCAAGTAGGCCTCAGTGTCTATTATTTCCTTCTCTGTGTCCCTGTGTACTCAATGTTTAGCTCCCACTTAGAAGTGAGAATGTTCATTATTGGGTTTTCCTTTCCAGCATTAGTTCACTTAGGATAATGGCCTCCAGCTGCATCCATGTTGCTGCAAAGGACATGATGTCATTCTTTTTTATGACTGTGTAGTGTTACATGGTGTATATGTACAACATTTTCTTTAGTCAGTCTACTGTTCATGGACACCTAGGTTGATTCCATGTCTTTGCTGTTGTGAATATTGCTGCAATAAACATATGCATTTTTATGTCTTTATGGTAGAATGACATATTCCTTTGGATATATATACAGAAATGCAGTTGCTGGGTCGGTTGGTAATATTAAATTCTTTGAGAAATCTCCAGACAGATCTCCACAGTAGCTGCACTAATTTACATTCCCACCAGCAGTGTATAAGAATTTCCTTTTCTCCACAACCTTGCCAGCTTCTGTTATTTTTTGACTTTTTAATAATAGCCATTCTGACACGTGTGAGATAGCATCTCATGTGGTTTTGATTTGCATTTCTCTAATGATTAGTAATGTTAAGCAGTTTTTCAAGTGCTTGTTGGCTGCACACATGTTTTCTTTTGAAAAGCGTCTGTTCATGTCCTTTGTCCATTTTTCAATGGGGTTGTTGGTTTTTTGCTTGTTCAGTTCCTTAAAGATTCTGGGTATCAGATCTTTGTCAGATTCATAGTTCACAAATATTTTCTCATTCATTTTGCAGGGTGTCTGTGTACTCTGTTAATAGTTTATTTTGCTGTGCAGAAGCTCTTTAAATAGATCCCTTTTGTCATTTTTGTTTGGGATTCAATTGCTTCTGACATCTTTATCATGAAATCTCTGCCAGGGATTATGTCCAGAATGGTATTTCTTAGGTTTTCTTCTTGTATTATTTATAGTTTCAGGGTTTACATTTAAGTCTCAATTCCATCTTGAGTTATTTTTTTGCATATAGTGAAAGGAAGGAATCTAGTGTCAATCTCCTGAATATGACCAACCAGTTTTCCCAGCATCATTTATTGAATAGGGAGTCCTTTCCATGTTGATTGTTGTTGTCAACTTTGTTGGAGATCAGATGGTTGTAGGGGTGCAGCTTTATCTCTGGATTCCTTACCCGGTTCCCTTCATCTATGTGTCTGTTTTTGTACCATAACCATGCTGTCTTGCCTTCTAGAGCCTGGTGGTATAGTTCAAAGACAGGTAGTGTGACGCCACCAACTTCGTCCTTTTTGCTTAGGATTGCTTTGGCTATTCAGGCTCCTTTTTGGTTTCAAATGAATTTTAGAATAGTTTTTTTCTAATTGTGTAAAAAATGTCATTGGTAGTTTGATAGAAATAGCATTAAATCTGTAAATTGCTTTGGGCAGTATGGCCATTTTAACGATATTGATCTTTCCAATCCATGAGCATGGGAAGTTTTTCCATTTGCATATGTCCTCTCTGATTTATTTCAATAATGTTTCGTAATTTTCATTGTAGAGATCCTTCACCTCATTTGTTAGCTGTATTCGTAGGTATTTCATTTATTCAGTGGCTATTGTGAATGCAATTGCCTTCTTTATTTGACTCTTAGCTTGCACATTATTGGTGTATACAGATGCTACTGATTTTTACATTGATTTTGCATCCTGAAAATTTGCTGAAGTTGTTTATTAGATACAGAAGCTTTTGGGCAGATACTATGGCTTTTTCTAGGTGTAGAATCTTATCGTTTTCAAAGATACTCTTAAGATAGGTAGATAGAATGTGTCTTTAGGCCTTTGAGGAATTGCCACACTGTCTTCCAAAATGTTTAAACTAATTTACACTCCCACAAACAGAACATAAACATCCTTTTTTTCTCCACAACCTGTCTAGTATCTGTTATTTTTTGACTTTTTAATAACAATCATTCTGAGTGGTGTAAGATGATAGCTCATCATGGTTTTGATTTGCATTTCTCTAATAATAAGTGATGTTGAGCTTTTTTTCATATGATTGTTGGCTGCATGTATGTCTTATTTGGAAAATTGTATGTTCACGACCTTTGCCCACTTTTTAATGGGATCTTTTTTTTCTTTAGATTTTACTCAAAAATCATTCATGAGCAGATGTAATTGTATGGTTTTGAGAGATCTCCTTGGTATTGACTTCTATTAATATTTTTACTGTACTGTAGTCCAAGAGTATAGTTGGCATGATTCTGTGTTTTCCAAATTTGTTGAGTTTTGCTTTATGGATGAGGATGGGGTCAATTTTGGAATATGTGCCATTTGCCAATGATAAGAATGTATATTCTATTGTTGTTTTCTTCAAGTTCTGCAGTTGGTATGGTAGGTCCATTTGGTCAACTGTCAATTTAGGTCCCAAATATCTTGATTAATTTTCTGCATCACATCTGGCTAATACTGTCAGTGGGGTGTGGAAGTCTCCCACTATTATTTTGTGGTTATCTGTGTCTCTTCATAGGTCTCTAAGAGCTTGTTTTATGAATCTAGTTTCTCCTGTATTGGATATATATATTTAGGATAGTTAAGTCTGCTTGTTGAATGGAATCCTTTATTATTATGCAATACACTTCTTTGTTTTTTACTGTCATTTTTGGTTTACAGTCTGTTTTGCCTCAAATGAGAATAGCAACCCCTGCTCTTTTTGTTTTTCATTTCCTTGATACATTTTTCTCCATTCCTTTACTTTTAGCCTACAAGTGTCATTGCATGAGGGATGGGTCTTTTGAACGCAGTATACAGTTGGGTCTTGTTTCTTTATCCAAATTGCCACTCTATAAATGTTATGTTGGGCATTCTGCCTAATTATTTTTAGGTTAGTATTACATGTGCAGATTTTATCCTGTTATTCTCTTAGCTGGTTGTTATGTAGACTTGATTGTATAGTTGCTTTATAGTGTCAATGGTCTATGTACTTAAGAGTGTTTTTGTGGTGGGAGGTAATGGAATTCTGTTTCCATGTTTAGTACTCCCTTAAGGACCTCTTGTAAGGCAGATCTGGTGGTAACAAATTTCACTAATATTTGCTTGTCTGAAAAGGATTTTATTTCTTTTTCACTTAATAAAGCTTACTTTAGCTGTATATGAAATTCTTGGTTCTAATTTATTCTTTAAGAATACTAGGCAACATCATTCAGGACATAGGCATGGGCAAGGAGTTCATGTCTAAAACACCAAAAGCAATGGCAACAAAAGCCAGAATTGACAAATGGGATCTAATTAAACTAAAGAGCTTCTGCACAGCAAAAGAAACTGCCATCAGAGTGAACAGGCAACCTACAGAATGGGAGAAAATTTTTGCAATCTACTCATCTGACAAAGGGCTAACATCCAGAATGTACAATGAACTCAAACAAATTTATAAGAAAAAAAACAACCCCATCAACAAGTGGGCAAAGGATATGAACAGACACTTCTCAAAAGAAGACATTTATGCAGCCAAAGACACATGAAAAAATGCTCCTCAACACTGGCCATCAGAGAAATGCAAATCAAAACCACAATGAGATACCATCTCACACCAGTTAGAATGGTGATCATTAAAAAGTCAGGAAACAACAGATGCTGGAGAGGATATGGAGAAATAGGAACACTTTTACACTGTTGGTGGGACTGTAAACTAGTTCAACCATTGTGGAAGTCAGTGTGGCGATTCCTCAGGGATCTAGAACTAGAAATACCATTTGACCCAGCCATCCCATTACTGGGTATATACCCAAAGGACTATAAATCATGCTGCTATAAAGACACATGCACACGTATGTTTATTGCGGCACTATTCACAATAGCAAAGACTTGGAACCAACCCAGATGTCCAACAATGATAGACTGGATTAAGAAAATGTGGCACATATACACCATGGAATACTATGCAGCCATAAAAAATGATGAGTTCATGTCCTTTATAGGGACATGAATGAAACTGGAAACCATCATTCTCAGCAAACTATTGCAAGGACAAAAAACCAAACACCACATGTTCTCACTCATAGGTGGGAATTGAACAATGAGAACACATGGACACAGGAAGGGGAACATCACACACTGGGGCTTGTTGTGGGGTGGGGGGAGGGGGGAGGGATAGCATTAGGAGATATACCTAATGTTAAATGACAAGTTAATGGGTGCAACACACCAACATGGCACATGTATACATGTGTAACTAACCTGCACGTTGTGCACATGTGCCCTAAAACTTAAAGTATAATAACAACAAAAATAAAATACTGAGTATAATCCTCCAATCTCTTCTGGCTTGTAAGAGATTTTTCTTCCTCTTTCTGTTGAAAGTTGTGCTCTTATCTTGATGGGGCTCCCTTTGTAGGTCACCTGATCCTTTTCTTTACATGCATTTCATATGTTTTCTTTCACATTGACCTTGATGAATCTGATGACTATGTGCCTTTAGGATGGTTGTCTTTCATAATATATTGCAGGGATTCTCTTGATTTCCTGAATTAGAATGTCAACCCCTTTAGCAAGGTTGGGAAAATTCTCATAGAAAATATTATCAAATATGTTTTCCAAGTTACTCGCTTTCCTTCCCAACGAGTCATAGCTTTGGTCTTCTCACATAATTACATGTGTTTCAGAGGTTTTGTTCATCTTGTACATTTTTTGCCAACGTGTCATAGGTTTGGTCTTCTCACATAATTCCATGTTTCTCAGAGGTTTTGTTCATTTTCAAATTTTTTTCTTTATTTTTGTCTGACTGAGGTGATTTGTAGACCCAGTCTTCAAGCTCTGAGATTCATTCCTCAGCTTAGTCTTTTCTGCTACACATAGTTCCAATCACATTATGAAATTCTTGTAGTGAGTTTTTCAGCTCTATCAGATCAGTTTGATTCTTTCTTAAAATGGCAATTTCATCTTTCACCTCTTGTATCATTTTACTGGATTCTTTAAATTCCTTGGATTGGGTTTCAACTTTCACCTGAATCTTGATGACCTTCATTGCCATCAGATGCTGAATTCTATGTCTGTTATCTCAACAATTTCAGTCTGAACCATTCTGGGTAGCTAGTGTGGTTGTTTAGAAATAGGAAGACACAGTTCCTTTTAGAGTTGTCAGAGTTCTTGCACCTGTTCTCTCTCATACGTGTGGACGGATGTTCCTTTAATCTTTCTTATTGCTGTCCTTGGATTGGGCTTTCTGCTTTTATGTTCTTTGATGTCCTTGAAGGTTTGACTATAAGTGTGGCTCAGTCACGTGACATTATTTCTGGAAGATTTCAGAATCCTAGGGCTCAGCTCAGCACTTCTGAGCTGCATGCTCTATTTCTGAGGGGGTGGAGCCAAGTCCACGGCTTAGTTCTCTGCCCCCTTGAGGTTAAACACTTGCTGTGCTGAAGGGGCTGAGGAGGGGACTGGAGTCTGCTGGCAAAAACACTTCAATCGGGGGTGCCAGCAAAAACATTTTGTTGGGGCAGTGGCTACAGGGTCCACATTCATGTGCATGTGACCACCACACAGCAGTGTGGTGAGTTCTGTGCATGTGCACGTGTTGGCAAAGTGTCCGGGGAGGCTCTGGGCAAGTGTGTGCCACTGGGAGCTCTTTTGCAAATCTCTGCTAGTTAGACAGGGTCTGCTGGCACAGGAGCTATGATAGTAGCCATTGGGAAGCATGCTGTTTGAGCATCTGAAGCTGCACTGCAAGTGGGAGTAGCAAGGCAGAGACTCTGGGAGAGGCTGATAGATGGGGGCATCAGGACAGGCTGGCCCTGTCCCAGGGGCAAGATAGCCCTTTTTGTCTAGATCTAACAGTCAACACAGGCCAATGCCACCTACAGAAACATAGTGAGTTTTGTGGAATGTGTATTGCTGGCCATGTTCCACGGTAGCCATTCATGCCCCAAACCCACTGGACTCTGTGCAGGCTGAAGTCCTCTCCCTGCCAACGCTCCAAGCAGCTCTCTCTGCCAGGTTAAATGTCCTTGGTGGTCCTGGTGTCTCCTTCATCTCGGATTCTGAAGTTCTGTTATGAGAGTGGGTCACTCCATGCCTGTGTAACTCACTCCTTCCTCAGGAACCACTGGGGGCCGGGATCGAGTCCTTGAGCTCGGCAACTCCATGGATCATTCCCACCTTCTTCCGTCTTTAGCCCAAGGTCTGCATCCTTTCTCCGTTCACTCAGAATGCCTTTCTTTGGAAGATCTGCTCAAAGTGTGCTGGTTTTCTTAATGGTTTGATCTGTCAGTGGGAGAAGCTCTTCCTGGCTGCCTCTAGTCAGCCATCTTGGCTTTTCTCAAAGCAGATATTAATTTTACTGTTGCGATTTTTTTAAAACATTTTTTATTTTTGTCATTTTGTACATTTTATCCTCCACCTGCCCATGTTTCTATTTTGTCACTATATTTTATTGGGAATATAGGAACGTGAAATATAGACATTTTCCCAATCCTCTGCTTAATATCCAGTTAGTTTTTTTTTTTACAAAATTTCTAGAATTTTCTCTTTTTTCTGTTTAAACTCTAATTTTCTCATTGTAATTCCACAAGTCTCACTCCGCTCCCCTTTTCTTCATCAGTGGAGAATAATAGTTTTAGAATATTCTGCCAATAAACAGATTGAATAGAAAGTCATTGACTCTCTTACTGTTTACCTATACATGTGCAATTTGCCTCCTAGGATATAAAGCTAGACAACAAATTAGTGGTCACAAACAAGAGCTTTTATCCAAAGACCAGCATCACAGTCCTCTTGTGTGGCACCACTAACTAAAGTAGGGTCTTCAGTTAGAACTGCCCAGTTTTTTGTGGTCACTGGAAAATATAATACTACTGTCTACCCTTATTCTAGTCCAAGAGCAATATGTAAAGGATGGCACTCTCCTACAAGTCCATACTCAACACAAACTTTTCTTAGTAGTCTTTTTTTCTTTGCCTGAGTTTATGCAATTTTACATCTTAGAGTGCAATATTTACCCAACAGTATCCTTTTCACCCTGTTTATGTTGTACACTAACAGTTGCAGGCTCTGAAGACATGTTAAATTAGAAGGTATGTTTGATAATAGTTTGGAAGGAAAACAGCTCTGGATACCTCTGAGCAGAGTCTTTATAAATAAAGTAAAGCTACTTAATTATCAATTATCAGAATTCCTAAATACCCTATCTAGAGTTAGATGGTACAGACAAATCTATATCTAACTTTTTTTCTCTGCATTCTTCTTGTGTGGCAGATGGATATTAAATTTAGATGCTCTTGTATACCACTATTTCCCTGCATACCTAGTGCAATTTTGTTTATTTTACCAGTTACTTATCAAGTATTCCTCTTGATGTTCTCATGTTGAATTGAGTACTCCTATTTTTATACCTCTATTTTTAAATCATGCACTAAGTATAATAGTCTTCATTCTCTACTCTATTTTATTTTTTGTTTTCTTGTTTGGGTAATACATTTCTAAAGATAATATAGCATTTCTTTTTCTATTTGTCTATGTCTAATATTTAAGATTGTTAGATAGTGTCGGTGATTTATAACTGTGTGTCACCATATATATACGATGTTCAAATGAATAATAAATGTAAATATATTCAGCATGTATGGCTAACAAAATCTATATTTGCACTTCAGCTTTACAAAACATCACTAAATTAAGAATAGAGAAAAAATATTAAAGTGTGATATGAAAATATTTAATTATATTTAAGTTTACCGTTTTAATTAATATATTGTTACTTAAAATTTTAAGGTGTTTTCTAGAACAGAAAACCAAACACCACATGTTCTCACTCATAAGTGGGAGTTGAACAAGGAGAACACTTGGACACAGGGAGGGGGACATCACAAATCGTGACCTGTTGGAGGGTCGGGGGCTTGGGGAGGGATAGCATTAGGAGAAATAACTAATGTAGATGACAGGTTGATGGGTACAGCAAACCACCATGACACATGTATACCTATGTAACAAACCTGCACGTTCTGCACATGTATCTCAGAACCTAAAGTATAATAAAAAATTAAAGTGTTTTATATTATTCATAAGATTTACTTCAGTAAAAATTGATAAACTTTTACCAGATTATATTCTGAGGAAAATGCTTTTATTTTATTCTCTGAATCAAATAAAAGGATTTTATCATCATGAACTACATATGTGGATGGTCATTTATTATCTCATTACAGACTTCAAATTTATGTGCAGTAAGGAAGAATATTCTGCATCACAATTATAAACCAAAGTAAATTATACAGATGAAAGTATACTTAGCAGAAGGTTTATACACAGAGCTAACTCTGTGTAAAAACGAATACAAGCACTCCAAACAAACAATTAAATCCTTTTAGAAACAGCAAGGAATAAGATAACACCACATATAAAATAAATCCGAGATTTCTTGTGCTGTAAAGTTATACAAAATGAAAGAATTCTTCTCTTCTCAAGGTAGGCACATTAATATTAGCATAAAGCGTATATTTAAACTAAAGTACTATGAATTTAAAAAGTAATTTTAATAAGTACTAGCTTATTTTTCAGTTCTCATATGTCAGAACTCAGATGTAATAAGAGAACTTGAAGGCCTTATTTCTGTGAGAATTGTACACCACTGGTACTTAAAATTACCTTTTAAATAAGAAATATCTGTAATCAGGAGTAAATACACAAACATCTTACTCGTCTACTGAATATTGACAATTTTGAACCTCTATATCTCAGCATTTTAATTCTATCTTTTTATAGTTCCTTGTAAAACCATTATCCTGTCATTATCTAATCGCCTGAACAATTTTACTGTTGTTCATTTTGAGTTATAGGCACATAAGATACACATCAGATAACAGTGCAGGTGCTCTAAACGTAAATATGGAAAGACCCTTAAATGTAAAGTTAACACAGCAGACTATAAATGCTTTTTAATACAACCTTTCTTCAAGGTAATCAGTCCTTTCTATGCCACATGCTATGGCAATAAAAAACTTAACTGGTATCCCTTGTCTAGAATCTTAAGAAAACGTCAGCTGTTCATCAAGAGCATTTTAGTTTTTACCAGAGCTGCAGCTGTAACTCACATAATTCATGTGGTACATTGGAGCTGTCCATCTGGTGGGTGCTGAATTTACGGTTGACTAATCATCTGTAACAGAATTCCTGTCTAGTTGTTTGTGCATAATACTATATTCTAATGACTCCAGATAACTTATCCTGCATGGATTTAGAGGAAAATATTATTCAATTTCCTCTAGAGAAATGCTATAAAACAACATTAGAAAGTAATTTTATTAAAAGCAAAACTCCAGACATTTGAAAACATTTATCTATCACTTATCAAACTGCTAATACGGATTCATGCAAATTTGAATCTCTATAAAATTCTAGTGTTCCATAGGTCTCCCAGTCTAACTTTATCTGTTTGGCAATGACTATTGGTAACCCTTAACATTTATTTAGTGCTTACTATTGGTCGGGGACATTTAAGAAATTATAGGTATTATTATAATTTATGAAAGTCCTACAGCAAATTTATTAGTTGAGTATTATTATATTGATTATAATAATTACACTAATTTAAAATAGTAATACAATTATACCAATTAATTTGTCACTATTATTAATATTTAAAAGAAAATTGTAATTTCAAAAGAGTTACAATTATTTGCTCAATCTAATTATTCACTCATTCAGTAAGCACATAATTATAGATTCTATACTCTAGCCACTTGGATAAATGCTTGGATAACAATAATGACCAAGTTTAGTTTGGGTCATTTAGCTCTTAGTGAGGCAATTAAAATATAATATGATAGTACAAGTAGAGATTATTGTGTAAGCACCCAAAAAGAAAGTAATTGATTGTTAGTTTTCATTGTTAGAACTGGAAATTGTTTTTGCTTACAATGTGTCCAATTCTTTTATTTTGGAAACAACATCTTACTTTGTTGAGGGACACGACTCCTTCAGTTTTCTGTCTACATGATGCAAAAGTAAACACTTATTTCTTCAATTTCAGGAATAAACATGTAAACTATACCTGGCCTATCAGAAGATTCTATCCTCTTGTCAGCGATTAGTTCAGAAGTGTAAACCAAGCGAAGCCAATAAGGCACACTTTTTAGATGGTTTTGACCTCAAAATGAAAGGAACGTTCACTTTTTCTTTGTGCCAGAAACAGAAAGAATACTAAGCTGGATCTGCCATAGTTATTAATACTAAGAGATCTGTCCAGAATAGCAGGCAACACAGAAGAAAGCGGTGAGAAAAATAATAACAAAGAGGTTCGATCTGGGCAGTATTATGGAAAGATGGAATCAGTTGTACTTTAAACCATCTCTGGCCCTGGAGTTTTAGTTATAATAGTAAAAAATATTATTTTCTCTAAACTAGTTTTATCTGATACTCAACTCTTGCAACCCTAAATCCTGAAAATTACAAAATACACAAAGCCAAGGCTCAGAGAATAAAAAAAGACACTGAATCTTACACACTTGTATCTGCCGCAAAAGCCTCACATTGCTGCTTCCTCCAATCTAATCAAGACCTTTTATTGAAAGGCCTTCTAGTAATCAAATTTACAATTTTTAATACATCTGACTTTACCTTTTATTTTCTGAGACACTGCCAAAGTTTTGTGAGATAATGTTCATTCGGCTTGATCTTATCAGTAAGTTATGTTACTAATCATTCGGGAGCCAGATTTTTGACAAAAGCGTAGGGAGAAGAGTCACTCCAAATAATAATTCGAGAGAGAAAGAATTGGAAATTTATATATAAGGAAAAATTAAAGTAGTAAGGTGTGAACAACTTGGCAACATCACAACAAAGTTGAACATGTTAATGTTAAAGTTCCAGAAATATATTATTATACATAAATAAAAACTAATTGTGAAAAAAGAATACACATTAATTTAGCAGATGAAAAAGGGAGGGAAGTGGCCAGAGGAAAGGAAGATGGTACAAGAAAATCATCGCAGGATTTTTGAAAGTTCCAGATGTGAGAATGTAAAAAGTCATAAATACTCATCAAATCTTTTATAACTGTGCAGTGCCATTTATGTGATAAGTTTGTTAGGTTCTGGCTAAAGAATGTTAATCAGCATAAAGAAACTCCTTACTCTCATAAAGCACAGTGTTTATCAGGAAAGCATAAAATCTTGCAATACGTTACAAATGTTCAAGCAATCAAAATTTCACAATAACTCTAGCTTAGAATATAAGATAATGATGGAAAAAAGTAAGTTAGACAAAATTTAAATCCTGAAATGATTGGTAAGCTCTTTTTAGGTGGTTGTTCTATGGATCTGATATTCATAAAACAATTACTGGCAATAAATACAGTCAATAACTCAATCAGGAGCAGAAAATAAGCCTACTGACTCCCAGTTTTGTTTCCTTTCCATAACACCATTCACAAACATATTAGAATTAATAAGCATTATCCATTCTTACAAGCTCCAAAATATGCTGACAATAATTTAAGATCTCAACTATTTCATTTTCCTATTGATAATCACACAAAATATCTCGGCACTAAATTAACAAAAATGTGAATCCATTTCTAGTATTTTCTCTGTTTCTCTTCCTTTGCCCCCAGTGTGTGTATGTGTGTTTCTCTCTCATCTCTCAAGTATATATTTCTCCTTTACATGTCTCTATCTTTTAAACATTTATTCATCTAGCCTAGCTTTAAATTAATAATAATAATTCATATTTCATTAAGGAGTAATTTAAAATATGCATTTAAACTATCCATGAGGCTGTAGAACTAGTCATAGTAATTTAAAAATTGCATTTACTCTTCATTTGATGTTGATTGCCTGGTTATAAAGAGATCTCAGTAATTGTAGTTGATGAAACAATGACGTACAGTCAGGCAAAAGTCTAAAATAAAATTTAGGCAATTGAGCAAACCTACACCTTTAATAATGTCTTATTATAATATTAAACAAGAACATAATTTTGTCCCAATAAACAAAAAATCTCAGTGCCTTTCAGAAAAGTTATCATCATAGTTAAATTTGTGAAAAAACAGTCCAAACTTCATAGTTCATACTTTTGAATTAAAACATATTTTTAAGATTACCTTCCTAATATACTACCTACGAGCATACATTTACCTATTGCAAAATACTTGTATTACAGAGAAAGTTTCCTAAATTGTATTGGTTCATTTAAGTAGTTACATTATAGTTAATATAATATTAACATTAATATGAGTCAGGAGGCTTCTGTGGAAAAATAAACAAACCCTTTCTGCCTGTTTACACTCTCATTATCAGCCTCTTTGTAGATTTGTAGTAATCTACAGATAACTACATAATATAAAAAAGTCAAGGTTCTACCCTAGAAGACCTCCTCTTTTCATTTTGTAATCTCTCCCTAAGAGATATAATCTTACCAAAGTTTCAAATACTCCCAGCTGCTTAAACTATTTAAATCTCTAGTCTTATCCTTTCTACTAATATAATATACCTAGTCCTCTGGTGGAGTGTTACAAGACACCTCATACTTATAAATCTGCAAATAAAACTTAGGAATTCTCATCTAAACATACTCCTCATCTAAACAACAGCACCACTCATTTTTCTGTACTGCCAGAAACTTAGGGGTTATCAACAATATCTAAGTCCCCTGTACCTACTGTATCCAACCTGTTTGTAAATTTTGTTTTATTTCCTAAATATATGTCTAATCCAATGGGTTTCATTTCTACCATTATTCCCCTAGACCAAAGCTACCATCAACCCTCACCATGACAATCTCTTGTAGCACCCTTTGAAATGATAATGCTGAATTCTCTTGACTCCTCAAATTTGGCCTCTTTCTTCCAAATTTTGTCTTAAAAATGTGAATGGTATTTACTACTCTTAGAAAAAATAAAGCAAAATCTCTACAGAGTGCTTGCCTGGTCTCTTCAGTTTTTTGTTTTTTGTTTTTAAATTTACTGTAGCAGACTGTACATGTCTTCTATGATGGCCAAACCAGTATCTCCTATGCTATGTGATCTTCTTACAATTTGATGTACATTCTTCCCATCTGGAGACTGCCTGTTGGCACTCCATCCATAGGGGCATCTATGTTTCCTCCGATTGCATCTGGTCAGACCTCTGACCATAATGTTAGTATTTTTGGTCACTAAAGTTGATTATTCCATGATAGCCACCACCTCTGACACTGCTTGCCTCCTCCCTTAGCCAAAATAGTAAGCTAAAACTAATATTTCTTCCTGTGGGTGGATGGCAGAGATTACTGTCACCATGAATAAGCTAAAGGACGTAGAGATTGAGATTCGTCTTCTATGTCCTTAAAATTCATCAGCCAGGCCCATGAAGAAACTGGATGGGTTCTGCAGAATGACTCTCAGCATAAAGGTTAGTAATCTTCCTTTCTTATTTTGAATGGACTGAAGCTGGAAACAAATGGGATGTTCTGCATTGGGAAATCTCAGAAGTACCACTCAATGGACTCTCTAATGAATTTTCTTATGCGTCCCAGCTACAAAAAGGACTTTGCTGCCTCCTACAGTTTCCTTAGGATAATACAGACTCCAAGTTCTGGTATTCTATTACACACTTTATATACTATTACATAGTAGGGTGACTATAGCTAATAACAATGTATTGTATGTTTCAAGATGGCTAGAGAAGAGGATCTTGAAAGTTACCACCACAAGCAAATGATAAAGGTTTGTGGTGATGGACATGCTAACTACCCTAATTTGATCATTATACAATAATGTATACATGCATTGGAACATCACACTGTACCCCATAAACAAGTAAATTTTACATGTCAATTATAAAGAAAAGTTTTGCAAAGAAATAAAAAGTATGTATTAGGCTCCATAAAGTTGCTAGGTAAGAACCCACATCAATACGCTCAACTGCTTTTCTCATAATGTGTTTTCTGGGAGGGAAAATAGATCACGTATTTTCTTTTTTCCTAGTAATGATTTTTTATTTCTCTGCCACTCTGTTTCTACTTCTACTTTTCTCTCTCCCCCATTTTTCCTCACCTTCCTTCTTCTCTTTCTGTCTTCATCTATGCATGCCTCTCACTCCATACTATTTTGGCATAATAATAAAATTCCACTACTGCTTTGAAGAGCAATGTTTTATTGTTGAAAATTATTTGGGCTGCTTTGTCTATGTGGTAGTCATTCTTTTGTTTCCTTACTTCTCTATTAAACTTGCTTTCACTTTTTAAAAAGAACAAAATTAATTATTTGGGAAAAAATTTTTTTGACCTTTTTAAGCTAATTGTTAATTCATATTAAAATTTTAAAGTATTTGAGTTGTGTATTTCATTTTTTGTAATTTGCTGTTTGAAAATACTTTTGCTTTGTTTCCCATTTTCCACATATTGTGTTCTGCATATATATGTGTGTATACATGTGTTCATGGACACAAAATAACACACATCTGAATTTGTTAAAACATACAGAAGAATTAGGACATTCCATGCATATATTTCATGTGCTTTTTACCAAGAATCTTTTAAATGCCTATATATATATATAAAATGTCATCGTAATTTGAATGGGTCTTTGCTACTCAAAGCTTCAGGAATTATTGGACGTGTAAGTTAGTTTTAATTTATTAATATAATATATACTTATATAAACAGGTGATATCATACACGAATGTATCCATTCACATAGCTTTGTATATATTTTAAATTATCCATTTAGGATATGTCTATGGTAAATGGATTAGTATAAATTTTAACTATGGAACTACTAAGAAAATAAATGAAGATAATACAATCCTGGAAATACTTTTATTTGGTCAAGTTACTCATACACTGAGTGCCTTAACACTCAGATCTGGCTATACAATTAATTGCTATAATTACTATAATATGAACTGGCTATACAATTAATAACACATGAATAAGGCATCAAACTAGAATTCATACTGTAAAATAGAACCTATGAGGACAAAATATTTGAAGTAACAAGTAGAGGCAGGAGAGAGAGCAATTGACAATGTCATCCATATAAAGATAGAATATGTAATCTGTACAATAAAGTGTATATGGTTGTAATGCTATTGTGTTAGGGTTAAAATTTTGTTAAAAGTTTCTATTCATGGGGAAAAGATTCCCTATTTAATAAATGGTGTTGGAAAAACTGGCCAGCCATATGCAGAAAACTGAAACTGGACCACTTCCTTACATCTTATACAAAAATCAACTCGAGATGGATTAAAGACTTAAATGTAAGACCTAAAACCATAAAAATCCTAGAAGAAAACCTGAGCAATACCATTCAGGACATACGCATGGGCAAAGACTTCTAAAACACCAAAAGCAATGGCAACAAAAGCCAAAATGACAAATGGGACCTAATTAAACGAAAGAGCTACTGCACAGCAGAAGAAACTATCATCAGAGTGAACAGGAAAACTACAGAATGGGAGAAAATTTTTGCAATCGATCTATCTGACAAAGGGCTAATATCCAGAATCTACAAAGAACTTAAACACATTTACAAGAAAACCAACAAACAAACAACACCATCAAAAAATGGGCAAAGTATATGAATACACACTTCTCAAAAGAAGACATTTATGCAGCCAACAAACATATGAAAAAATGCTCATCATCACTGTTTGTTAGAGAAGTGCAAATCAAAACCACAATGAGACACCATCCGATGCCAGTTAGAATAGTGATCATTAAAAAGTCAGGAAACAACAGATGCTGGAGAGGACGTGAAGACATAGGAATGATTTTACACTGTTGGTAGGAGTGTAAACTAGTTCAACCATTGTGGAAGACAGTGTGGCGATTCCTCAAGGATCTAGAACTAGAAATACCATTTGATCCAGCAATCCCATTACTGGGTATATACCCAAAGGATTATAAATCATTCTACTATAAAGGCACATGCACATGTATGTTTATTGCGGCACTATTCACAATAGCAAAGACTTGGAACCAATCCAAACGTCCATTAATGATAGGCTGGATAAAGAAAATGTGGCACATATACATTATAGAATACTATGCAGCCATAAAAAAGGATGAGATCATATCTTTTGCAGGGACATGGATGAAGCATGGATCATTCTCAGCAAACTGTCACAAGAACAGAAAACCAAACACCACATGTTTTTACTCATAAGTGGGAGTTGAACAATGAGAATACATGGACACAGGGAGGGGAACATCACACACTGGGGCCTGTCAGCGGGTGGGGGACTAGGAGAGGGATAGCATTAGGAGAAATACCTAATGCAGGTGATGGGTTGATGTGTGCAGCAAACCACCATGGCACGTGTATATCTGTACAACAAAACTGCACATTCTGCCCATGTATCACATAACTTTAAAAAAAAATGCTTTATTCCAGAAAAGTACTATTCTAAAAAAGGAAGAAAGATAATCTAGGAAAAATATAAACTAACGCAAATTTGGTCATAATATGCCAGTAACAAATTCAATCCTTTGCAGCAGGCCTGCAGAAGTCAGTGATCTTTTACAATAAATAGCCACAAATTTATTTTCTATTCATGAGGCATCTATCAACTTGATTCAAAGTACTTACATGAAAAAAAAAAGTGAGGCAGATTCTACTTTTTGTCTTACACCCATGTGTGTCTTAATTTCTATTTTATGTCACTCTGAAATACTTCAGCAGAAATAAATTCGTACTAGCAGCAATTCATTCAGTAATCTCTGAATCTGTACTCTCTTCTGATTTGAAATATAAATGAAGATGGAACACACCCATATGAATAAAACCTGTTAATTCGTTTATGGATCAGCAATCCCCAAGTGTATATCACAAATCTGTATGATATTCCTGGGCCTGCTTTTACATTTAAAATTCAGAATTGGATAAAAGATGGGTATAATTACATGGAGCCAGATGGCTCTCTTGTGACTACACATTTACAGAAGCTTTTGCAAGTTGTTTATTCCAACCAAATTTGGAATAATTCAAACTCATATAGGTCTTTCTGATTATTTTTAACTGAAAAACATAGAAAGAAGTACTTTTTTATTTAAAATAAGGCATCCTTGAGCATAGAACATGTATATTTATAGTCATTACAAATAAATTGCTTTCTGGAAAAATTTGGGCACATAGTTTAGCATAGTGATTATTTCTATTTTTATTTTTTATGGTTAATAATAAAATGTATTGAATCTGAATTAGGCATGCATATTAGTGGCTTAGTGGTAAGATAGAAAATTCATCAAGTGATTTTTTTTCTTCTTTTTTTAACTTTCATTTTAAGTACATGTGCAGGATGTACAGGTTTGTTACACAATTAAACATGTATCATGTGGGTTTGTTGTACAGATTACTTCATCACCCAAGTATTAAGCCTAGTACACATTAGTTATTTTTCCTGATCATCTCCCTCAACAATCCAATAGGTCCCAGTGTGTGTTGTTGCCCTCTATATAGCCATGTGTTCTAAACATTTAACTCCCACTTATAAGTGAGAACATGCAGTATTTGGTTTTCTGTTTCTGCATTAGTTTGCTAAGGATAATGGTCTCCACCTCCATCCACGTCCTTGCAAAGTATATGACCTCATTCTTTCTTATGGCTGCATAGTATTTCATGTTGTATATGTGCCCCATTTTCTTTATCCAGTGTACCATTTACATTGGCCATTTACATTGATTCCATATCTTTGTTATTGTAAATACTGCTACAATGAACATATGCATGCATAAGTCTTTATAATACAAATATTTATATTCCTTTGGGTATATACCCAGTAACGGGATTGCTGGGTCAAATGGTATTTCTGTCTTTAGGTCTCTGAGGAATTGCCACACTGTCTTCCGCAATGGTTGAAGTAATTTACACTCCCACCAACAGTATATAAGCTTTACTTTTTCTCCACAACCTCACCAGCACGTCATTTTTTGACTTTTCAATAATACTCATTTGGACTGGTGTGAGATGATATTTGATATTTCACTGTAGTTTTGATTTGCATTTCTCTAATGATAAGTGATGTTGAGCTTTTTTTTTTTCATGATTGTCGGATGCATGCAAGTCTCCTTTTGAGAAGTGTCTGTTCATGTCCTTTGCTCACTTTTTAATGGGGTTGTTTGTTTTTATCTTGTCAATCTGTTTAAGTTCTTTATAAATGCTGGATATTAGACTTCTGTCAGATGCACAATTTGCAACATTTTTCTCCCATTCTGCAGGTTATCTGTTTACTCTGTTGATAGTTTCTTTTGCTGTGCAAAAACTCTTTAGTTTAATTAGATCCCATCTGTCCATTTTTGCTTTTGTTACAGTTGCTTTTGGCATCTTCGTCATGAAATCTTTGCCCATGTCTATGTCCTGAATGGTATTGACTACGTAGTCTTCCAAGGTTTTTATAGCTCTGGGTTCTACATTTGAGACTTTAGTCCATCTTCAGTCAATTTTTGTATATGGTGTACAGAAGGAGTCCAGTTTCAATTTTCTGCATATGGCTAGCCAGTTATCCTAACACCGTATTTTAAATGGGAAATGATTTCCCCATTGCTTATTTTTGTCAGGTTTGTTGAAGATCATATAGTTGTAGATGTGAGTTCTTATATCTGGGTTTTCTATTCTGTGCCATTTGTCCATTTTTATTGATGAATAAATTGCTAAGTACTTATGAGTTTGTACTATGCAATTAAACTGAAATGTTAATCTTTAAGTATTGTGAAACTATACAGCTTTCTGAATTTGTGAATAAATATATAAAACCCATTAATTCTTAGACCAACATATACATTTACAGTTAAATCTCAGTCAAGTTAATGCATTAACTTAAGTGCTTTTTTGCTTTTGGAATATATAATTAAAATAAAAATCTAATTGTTTATATTTCATTTGGGAATATATCTTGTTTGGTGGGATTTGAGCATTAAGTTTTATTTTTCAGATAGTTGTTGATTATGTTAATATTTTATTTATATTGTATTCATTTTGTTCAATTACATATGTAGCAAAAAGATTTCTTTAACTTTGATGTTATCAGGTGGCAGGAGGAAGTGACCTGAAATTATAAAATGTACACATGTCATATGTATTTATAAAAATCTATTGTCATTGACTCTCCTTAAAAACTACCATTAAAAAACTCCCCAGACGTTAGATTACGTATGCATATTTTTTTAGATCATTCCCTTTAGGTTTTCATGTATAACAATTTGTATATCATGTTTCATACTGACAGACAGGAATCATGACTGAAAGATATGTTGATGTAAATATTAAATTAGATTTTATTTCAGTCATTTTTATGATTTTACCTCATCTGACAAGTATATTATCTACTGGTTTTACTTTTGAAAGTGAGAAAATATTGACTTT
Source organism: Homo sapiens (assembly GCF_000001405.40). Lineage (NCBI taxonomy): Eukaryota > Metazoa > Chordata > Mammalia > Primates > Hominidae > Homo > Homo sapiens. Next base: position 41,275,171 of record NC_000014.9, on the reverse strand, counting down.
GTGAAGATGGAAGTGAAATAGGAAGATTTATATTAATTTTAGTGGTAATAATTGATGACCCCTGTATTTTCTTTATGTCCTGAACTTTCAATTTTTCCTTGATGGCCAATGCAAATTCAACTCACAAGCTCTGTTTAGGAACTGAGTCATTTGGCTTCTTGCGTAAGAACCACCATCACAATGTTACCCGTTGGTAATATAGCATATGGAGTAATTCAGTTTCATAATTATCATTAGTTTACACTAAGTGCAAGGACAATAAGAATGTAGTAATATGCTCAATCTCAAACATTAATGATTATATGTCTCTTAAAAATTACCTTCTTTATTCTATCTTTTGGCTCTATTTTCAGTTTCCACCAGGTAGTCCTCTTAAGTCCCCCTGTACCAGCCTACTGTGGCATTTGTCAGTGTTGTTGACCTCTGTACTATGACTGTGCCTCCTATGGGAATAATGCCCCTTATAATTTATAAAGTAAGTCAGTTGCTAAATTACCTTTTTATGTGACTTCTCAATTATTATATTTGGGCATAACCATAGAGCTAGGCTATTTCTCCAAATGTAGAAAAACTGTATCTTGCTTTTGTGAATTAAAACTAGAAAAAAATTAAAAACTATTTCCTATCAGATCATATACAAAATAATTAGTGTTACTCTCAACCTATCAGTATTTTTTCCACTCCACATGTTTTTGCCTCTTTTTTTTGAGTGAGCCTATTTTTACTCAGTTATGACTAGTTATTAATTTTTTAAAATTATTTTAATGATTCATTAAGCCCTCTTTATAGATTATGTTACTACTATTTACTCAAGCTTTAACCAACTTGTTACTTTTTCATGATTTTTGAGGTGTACCTGGAGAAAATTATATTTGAATGTAGAGAAGAAAACCCAATTATATGACAATCCAGGTGTAACTATCCTTGCATGGGCTTTCCTTCATCTTCACTCATTAAGTCATACATGAAAAGGATTTCTAAACACTTAATTTTATGTCTTGAGAGCAGTTCTGTTAAAAGACTGGCTTAAAGGGGATTAAAATATGTAAAAGTCAAACAATATTTTAGAGTATGTATAAATTTCATTCTCCTTGTTACCTTAGGGGCATAGATACTTTTTTGACCATGACTATCAACATCCTTTCCTATTAGTTGTTAAAATGATTTTATAGGCAAAAAAGATAGTATTGAAGTAAGTCTTCTTTTGATATTTAACCATCTTTATTGATATAACCCATTTAATGGTCATATTTGAAATTAAAATAATGAATAAAAAGTGCAATGCAGTATAAATTTGTATACCAAAATTGAACACTCATTTATTCAAAATATTTACTGCCCTGGATTTCTAATTCATGTATACAATGCACTGATATAATCATGATGAATATTTTTTCCAGTGGTGGTGGTGTTTTAAACTGAATTATTACTACCATTTAATAGTACACATTATTGTCATATTTCAACTTTTGTTCTTTTAAAAATTAACTGTGAGCTGGAAAATAAGGGTACTTCTGATTACAATGGAAGTACTTTTATTGGCTTAATAATTTTGAGTTCCCTAAACTAGCACTCTGACAAACATCTTGTAAAACATAAAATTATTTGCAGTATTGCAAGACTCATATTTGGAATGGGTTATATTTAAATGCAGGGAAGAAATATCATTTATTTCATTTAGTACAGATTAACTGTTAAATCTACTCTTTTCCACAAATAATTGAGTAAATTTCCCAAGTTCATAAAGGTAGAAAGTAACAGAGGCAGGTTATAAACCTGCACCTTTCTAAATTCACACTAAATCACTATTTTATACATATTACTTTCTATGTAGTCTACTTATGCACTAGTTAGATATACTACAGATTTCTTAGGAAATATGGATCTTACTTGGTAGTATTTTATTTGCTTTGATACTCTTGGATTAAATTAGATAAAACGTAGTACATTTCTGAATTTTTAATGACTCCATGATTTCTGCTTACTATTTAAATATTTTTATTTTAAAAATGTGTGGTTGTACAGAAGTAATGACTACAGTTATATCCCTGAATTATCTAAATAATTTATTTAAAAGATTAATTTAACAAACATTTTTATAATAATTTTTTGAAATGATACATATTTCCAGTGTCCTACTATATTGCAAACACATCAATATCTACCATGCTATTTATAAGAAATAATTTCAAATTATATATAGTTATTAGTTAAATATATATAGTTTCATGTTAAATATATAAATATATTGTTATATATAATAAAATATATAGTTTGAATATTCAATACATAGTAATTAGTAACATATTATAATATAATATTGTAATTATAATTATACTATATAATATGATATATTTTATAATATAATAATTTAATAATATAATTATAATTAAAATAGATAACATATAATATAACAATATAACATAATTGATATTATATATCAATAAAAGATATCATATTATATAACATATTATATATCTTATATATAATATATTGTTTTACATTATATTTCATATTTTGTATATAAATATATAACATAAATATATATGACATATTAATTTAGGTATATATAACATAAATATATAAACATATATAAATATATATGACATGTTTATGTTACTATATATAACTTAAATACATATTTTTGAAATTATTTAAAAAAATATATATATATGATCTTAATATTATTCCTAACATCTATAACCCTGTAAGGGATAATATTTTAAATAAGATTCAGAAAAGGCATCTTTTAGGAGGACACATGAGATCTCATTCCTGAGTGAAAAATATAAGACAGGCTTGAAAATAAGTGAATGGAGATCATTCTGGACTAAAAGGACAGCATATACGGAGGTTCTGAAGCAAGGATGAGACTGGTGTCACAGGAGCAGCAGAATAAACAGAGCAGAGTGAAGGAGGTGGAAAATTGCAGGGGTTAAGGTTGAAGTTATAGGAAGGGCCAGGTCCTTTGGGGCTTTTAAGTCATAATAGAGTATTTTGCATTTGTGCCCCACCCATATCCTTTGCAAGTTTACCTTTATATCTGAGACACTTACCTGAGGGTGTTTTTTTTTTTCTTTTTTTTTCCAACCACCAAATTTCCCTTGCCCTCACGTGGCACTCAAACATTCCAGAGAATAATCTCTGCATGAGAAGCCAATAATGAACAGAAAGTTTGCTGGATAAATACCCAGCTTTGTTGTACCTCAAGTGAAATAACTCTGAAAAATCTTCTATACTATCTCCCAAATTCCGCCTAGAGATGTATGGTTAGAAATTTGTATATTTTAAAAGGTATAATTGTAAGTTACTGGGTAATTTTAAGCAGGGAGGTCATTTTATCTATTTTATAGTTTAAGAAATCATTCTGGCTGCATGTAGAGAATGAATATGGGTCATCAAGAGTGCAAACAGAGAATCCATTCAGCAGCCTAATGAAATAATTCAAGTAAGAATCAATGATGGTGTGGATCAGAGTAGTAGGAAGGCATTAAGAAGTGGTGGGATTCAATGAGAACACTTGGACACGGGAAGGGGAACATCACACACCGTGGCCTGTTGTGGGGTGGGGGGAGTGGGGAGGGATAGCATTAGGAGATATACCTAATGTAAATGACGAGTTAATGTGTGCAGCACCCCAACATGGCACATGTATACATATGTAACAAACCTGCACGTTGTGCACATGTACCCTAGAACTTAAAGTATAATAAATAAATAAATAAATAAATAAATAAATATATGTATATAAAGAAGTGGTGGGATTCATGGCACAATTTTCAAAAAAGAACTTAAAATACTTCTTAGGGTCTGGGGACAGTGTTGAAATAAAGAAAGGACTCCTGGGTTGGGGTCTTGGCTTAAGAAACATAATCTGTTTGGTTTGGTTTTTGAGACAGAATAAGGGAGATTTGGGAAGAGAAAATAAAGACACCACTTATGGACACTATATTTTAGTTACCTACTAGATATCCCACTGGAAATGTGAAAAAAAACCACAGGAGTTTATAGGAAATTTAAGACATGGAGATGTCAATTTGGAGCATAGAAAATATTTGTAACTATGGTTTGAATGAGACATATAGAAAAATGTGTTGGAAAGGAGTAGCATGTTGGGGACTGTGCCCAACTCCTCATATTTAGAGCTCTGGTAGACGAGAAATAAACCTAGCAAGGATTGATATTGTGTATGGACACCAGCATGTCTTAACACCTCTTTCATTTACCGTCCATTTATTCTTTGAATAAATATTTATTGTGCATCAACCAAGTTTTATTCATACACTAAAAATACAAATGTTGTCCTTGCTCTGAGGGATATCATGAGATAATGGGAGTGATATACAAGAGAATTATAACATGTATATTCAGTAAATAGCATACATGTAGAAAGTGAAACAGAAAAGAGGCCTCTCACTCAGCCTAAAGATAGGAACCAGAAAAGTTTGCATAGGGTGACACTTGAACTGCCTCTTTGAGGAGCTAAAGGAATGAATGGATAGAAGAATGGAAGTATGCTTGAATTAAGGAAACAGCATTTGAGAAGGTATGGGTAATAAGAAAGTGCTGGAAGTTTGAAGAGCTTTAATATGTGTGGCTTCACTAACTGGATGGGACCATATTATGATGCTCCTGAATGCTATGGTGATTCACTAAATGTGTTTTTGCAGGCTCTGACACTATCATATTATCTTTTTGGAACACTCTGTATACAGTGAGAAAATGGATTATAAGGTAGGAATAGAGAGGAAGAGAGATAACAAGGTAGTTTTTCTAGTTTGGGTAAGGATTACTTGGAGAGTGGTACTTCATGTCAATGCCATAGAAAGAGACAGTAACTTCCAGGAGTTGTCATAACAATGTTAAACTGACATTGCACTGATGGGCATGTCTTATGGGGCATGCTTTCACCTCTTCCCTGTTTCAGCTAGTCTTCAATCTGGTCTGTAGTCAAGTCCTTGCCTCTGAAGTTAAGTCCTGTCTCCTACATCATGTCTCCCTCAGAGATTAGATACTCTTCCTTTAATCTTAAGAGAGCTGCAGAAGGGCAGAAATCTGTCTTATGTAACTGCTTCCTGCTGAGTTTAAGGAATAGGCCCTGCCTAGCACCAGAGTAGTAGAAATCTCTGGATATCTGATTTAAGGGGCCCAGAGGCAGGATGCTTTTATTCTCCAGGTTAGTAGATAGGATGGGTTATAAGCCTTGTGCCAGTATTGTTTTTACCTGGACTTGTTGTAATCTAAAAGACACAAACTTTACTAAGAGGTTAAACAAGCAAGGGCCAAAGATTCGTAACAAGACAGCTACTAAATGTCCTAGAAGAAGTAAAAACTGGGTAGACTTGGGAAGGCACTTTTAGTAGTCAACCAGGTATTGCTGGGGTCAGTGTCCTGGTTATATCTATGTAACCAGGTAGCATGCTCATAGATGTTTTGAATGTTAACCTCAACCTGTCCAGAGTTGTTAATACATCTGCAGCAGGTTTTGTTAATAACTTCATAGACTTCACCTTGTTCAGCTAGTAAATAATCCAATGCTTGTGTGTTATTGAGAACTACAGTTGCCAAAGAGTCTAGGGAATCTTGAATTCCCTGTAGTGCCTGACATGTGTTGGTGGCTAAGGATTCTTGGGTTTGAGTCAGGTTCTTTAGGTTTGACTCATGATAGGCAAAGCCTCCCTAGGGTGCTACTAGTCTTATTACCACCTGGATTCCCACCAGAATTAATCCTCTTGCTCACTTACTTCTGGTGTTACTGGGTCTTATGGAGTTATACACTGTGACCCATGGAGAGGCATGGGTGGCCACCATACATTCACCTCTGTTCCAAGTTTTTGATGTACAAGGGAAAGGTGTTCCTAAAAGAACAGGTGGACCCCACAGAGAATTAAGTGATATTATTGGGCATTATTTTTCCTCGCAGCCAAAACCAAAAATGAGCCTAGTTGTGGAACAAATAGAGGTCCTACAGGTGTCCTGATGTCTATCTTTTGCTGCCAAATTGGGTCTATAGAAATATTCTTCTCCTGTTCCAATGGAGATGGTTGAACAATCTTTGTTTTCCAGAAGGGAGTGGTGCTCCCACCTTCCCAGATTAGGTAGTTGTTCCTGGCCTGTATGTTTTGATTTAGGAGGAGGCACCATATGTGGTTTCCTTGCTCACAAGTGGAATCTCATTTACCTTGCTATGTGGTCTTGGGAACTTGGAAACTAGAGTTGGATCAGAGTATTGCAGAGAGACTTCTGCTTTTGTGTCATTAACACAACAGTGGGTGCAAAGATAGAATCATCAGTGTGCTGGAGTTATTTTAATAGATACTTAAGCTCTCAGGTCCACATAATAATACTAGCGGGGGTTGGGTGGAATTCATTAAGTAGAGGAGAGTTCCACCTAACAAGTAGGTATCTGGGTACTTTGGAATCTCTATGGTTAGGAGATTTGGGGAAACAGCTGACATTTTTCTGGATAGGCCAGAAGGTGGGATTCCCTATCTGGGAATATGTTGATGACAAATCCAGCAACCATGAAGACGATTCCCTGATGATATAATTTTTGAAATATGTATTGTAGAGTTTTGTTCCCACCTACACTGTATTAGGGTAATTGGGAGAGCAAACAGGATTAAAAATGGAGGTGTGATGTTCAGTTTGGCCTTAGATTGGCCTCTACACTTAACAAGGACAAAAGAGGTGCTTCCCAGAAAAAGACAGTTGGTCAAACTATATAAAATACTGCAATCAGGAAGAAGAGAAAAATTAGTGCTCCTATCCCCATTCACAGCATTGCATTACCACTTCTGGCCAAGTTTTGATTATTTTAAACAGGTACTGGAAGTCTTCCAAATATTCATTATGTAGGTCACGATGTCATCTCTTTGTGCCTGTTACTTTAAGAAGTTTAATCCAGGATAGATATACCCATGCAGTTATTCCCTGAAGTTTAACAGTGGTGGGAGTATTCAATAATATCTGATAGGGACCTTTCCATTTTAGTTGTAATTAATCCTTAGGGTAGCCTTCTTTTTAGTAAGATTAAGTCTCCTGGTTGAACAGGGGAGCTATTATTTAGCTTTATGAGGAAGAGCAATGTCTTATTTTCATATTGGAGGGCCTTTTGAACTTGGCTTAAATTCCTAAGGGGAAAGGAAAGGTATAGTGAGGCATGTTTGACTCCCTCTTCCTTATCATGGCCTAAATTAGTTTTTCAGGTTTTCCTAGAATTCTACTTAGCCAAGATGGGTACATTCATTCAGTCCATTGGTGGGCTATAGATATTAATTTTGTAGTTTATCTTACCCCTTTTCATCAAGGTATACCAGAGGCAGTATTAATGGCTGAGCTTTTATTTAGTCTCATACTGATTCTGGGGTAGTATACTACCTGCCCCAGGTCCATCATGTACCTCAGTGAGACCCCTATGGCCAAGGGTCTCAGAGTCAAAAGACTTATGGCCAATTAAATGTTCTAGGACAGACAGGAATGGAGGTGGGCAAGCATCATTAGCTCTTAAAACCCTTTTAAGCAATATGAGTAAAAAAATAAAATCTAAATTTAAGGTTACACATAAAGAAAAAACAAGAGCATAGTATTAAGCTATATTGGGGGAAAACGTGCTCCCAAAGATCTCTAAGACACAACACTTCAGCAACAAGCCACAATAGTAGTCAGAATCAGAGGAGAAAAACTCACCAAAGTGATGAAAAAGCTAAAAGAGAGAGTTACATGACTTTGAGAAGCTTTAAAAAATAAATTACAGGATCAAAAAACTAAACTTCTAATAATTTAGCAAATTAATACCTTAAGAAGGTTTGGTTTTAACACGTAGACCATTTCTTATCACAACTTACACAGATGATCTACAACATGCTTGGACTTTTCAACTTGTCTTATACTATTTCTTAAATAACCAGTCATTTTACTATATGGCAAGAATTTACCATACTTGATCGCTCTTCATACAAAATCATCGTTCTTTATATTCTTTCTTGCAAAAATGCATATTTTAAATTCATAACTTTTTTTACATATCTCTTTTCTACTCACCAGTTTCATCATATTTTGAACCTACCTTTTAATAACTTCTGAATTAGAAATAACACATTTTTAATTATTAGTAAAAATACATCTTCTTTAGCATATTTTATGTAAACCTAGGAAGTGAGAAATCCTGAAATGCCTACCAGATATTTGCATTCTGTAGATTAGAACCATTCTACAATTTTAACATTTTTAACTATACCAAAGGTTACTGTTTAAAGCCACTTTAACCATTCTAAAACCTACAAACATCAGTGGTTTATCTAGGTAAAAATCTTAAATTTTAGAAGACACAACATTTTCTTCAAACTGAAAAGTTTAAACTAGTCTTATTTGTTTAATTTATGAGTGCTCTTTTATTTATAAGCCAATTTAATATGAAACTAGACACAAAACGCATAACGTAAATGAAGTGACCTATACAAGCCAACTGGATCAAAATTATTTAAAAAATTGACACCTCCCTACCTGGCCAAATGTTGGTTTTCCCAGTAGGAATGAAAGACAGGAAGAAGCAGGGAAGAGGATCTTATAACATTAAATATGGAAGGGAGGTGGCAAGCTGTGTTGCTAAAGGGAACACCCTGGAGTTTCTGAGCTGCCAGAGAGTTCACCCAGCAATGGAGATACTGAAGAAAAATATTCAGGTGGCTGCTTATTTGCCAATGGGGAAAGCTGTCTATCAGGTCAAGAGTCCACAACCCCCAGTAGACTTACTTGAGCAAGACAGCTCACTGGGGCTAATGGAAGGTTAGATCTAGTATTGAGCTGGAGCTTTTTCCTTTCTCACTGAGGACAGTTAGGATATTCTTATTGTCAATGGCCCTTTTGCTTTTGGAAGGAATACTGATTTTGGCCCAGGGTCTGTTGAGTCAGAGGCTCTGCTCTGGGTGTCCCAGAAGCTGAACTCATGACACTTTCTTGGAATAGGTAACCCTAGGGGATAGGGGGATTAAAGCAATAAAGGGGGCTTTATTAATCATTGCTATTCTAAGCCTTTTTTTTTTTTCACCTATTTTGCCTTGTCCCTATTGTTGTAAACTTTAAAGGCTACATTTAAGAATTGGATCATAAGGGTTTGAGGTTCCATTACTGCTTTTTGTAGCTTCCCCCAAATGTCAGGGGAAGATTGAATATCTATGAGGGCTTTCCCTTCTGAGGAGTCTGTGTCTACATTAGTATGTTTCCTCAACCAAATAGCCTTGAAACAGAGTGGGATTTTTATCCTTTCCCTGAGTTACTTCTCTAATCTTTCAATAATTAACTGGCTTTACCACACAGTTTTTAATATCTTCTATTAAACAAATTACCATCTGAATTCTGTATTTGAGATCTAGGGAACCCCTTTGGTAACCCTACTAGGGGTCCAGATTTGGGACTGTGGTTCCCCCCATATGATGAATGGCATGGCCCTGGTTACAAGCAGCCATTCCATCAGCATATTCATGGGAGGTGCCCAGAATCCTTTGGTTTTCCTCTATAATATAGCAAGTGGACAATAATATTTTCAAATCTTGCCAAGTTAAGTCAAAGGACATGGTCAACTTAACAAACTCCTCTATAAACTTACCTCAGTCCTCTGAAAACCTAACACAATTTTTTTTTCTTGCATGAAGCTAAATCAGACACCGAATAAGGCACATGTACCCTGATTGTCTCCCCACCTCCACTGGCTGCTTTCCACAATGGACACAGCCTTCATTTTTGAGGCTGATATAGGGTCCCATTCCTGGTGATACTGGTTGCGCTTAATTTTTCAGGAAGCAGGGGGTATAGGCTGAGGATAGTTGGATAAGAGGGAGAGGTGCCTGACGACCTTACGGTGTAATCTTGGCCTAGGGAACTGGCAGGACCCCTCTCAGCACTGAGGAACTGAGGAGACTCTGGGGAGGGCATAAGCTTTCTAGTGGAACAGCTAGAAGGAGATCGCTTACGTGTGGTTTCCTTGTGCCTGGAAATAATGAGAGCCAGTAAAGGGTCATGAAAGCCTACACATAAAGAACCTCCTCTCATTTTTCTTCTTTTTTTACAGAATGAATCTAATTGTAAAATATTATAATGTAAAGAACCATGGCAAGGCCAGATCTCTTGGTTTTCTAACTTGTACTGAATCCAGATCTTATTGCAACAGAAAATGAGATTTTTTTCTTTAAGCCAAATTTGAGTTCACTCCAATAGCCTAAAACACATCCTAGTGGAGAGTCCTCTGGAATGCTCATCATTTTCCCCATGTCTAACAAAGATTTTACTGATTACAGAAAAATTTTTTTAAATCTAGCAAGAGGAAAAGCAACAGGGACCTTGCAATTTTTCCCTTGTAGATACTTGCTTCCTGCAGAGAAGGTTTAATTACGGGTAGCAAGGTGTTTAAAAAGTGGATTAAAAGCATTTGCTAGTGAATGAAATATGACAAAAGAAGTACTCTTACTAAGCCAAGTGTAGAAGAAAAAATGTAAATAAAATGACAATTAAAGAAGAAAATGCTGTTATGGAAAATGATAACTTCAGAATAGAAAATAAGAAAAGGCAAAATCAAGATTCCCTTAGGGTGGGCTTCCAACTAACAGTCTTAGAGGGAATGCCAGTGACAAACACCCCAGAGCACCCAGGAGGTGACCAAAAATATCAAATTCTGAAAACCCAGAGAATCCAAGTATCAGCCAAGGAAGGTCCCCACACAAAATGCTGGAAACCCTGGAGGATCTGGGAGCAACCAAAAGCCGAAAATTCTGGAGTATCTGGTGGGCACCCAACCATGAACCCCAAAGTTGTGGTTGGGGCCACAGAACAACGTGACTCTGGCACCCCAGCATAGACACAATGAGGACCTCTCACAACCAATTGTCATGCCTTAAATAATTGCTCAGGAATTCAAAACAAAAAATGAAAGACTGCAGATAAAGCATTCATATTAGGACTGCAAATAAAATGACTTGTGGAGCAATAAAATAGAGGAGAAAGGACTCAGGAAAGGGGTAACAAGAACATGATTCCAGTCACTCAAACTATGGGGGACTTTTAACTGACCAGTTAGCTAAAGGCTTTTATTTGCTAGCTTACCCAGTATCATGGAGCAGAGAGGAAAGTTACCCATCCACAGGAGCAAAAATGACATTGACTGATCTTCCACATGGGACCAAGTCGAAGATTTCTTCAGATTACCCCAGCTTGGGTGGCCTTAGTTATCATGGTGGGAGGGGCCACTATGGGGGCAAGTAACTCACCACTGCCAGTAAGAGTGGCAGGTCCCACATGGGGCAGCAGTACTGTGGCTGCTTGCCCATCCAATGGGCTCCGCCTACCAGGAACAATGTTGGCTCTGAAAAGAGCCTTTGGTTAGTGTTACAGCTCTTGCAGTGTTAGCAGATCTTTGGTGTTATAGCCTCAATGTTACAGCTCTTGCAGCCTTGATCACTAACTGTTTCACTGTCTCTGTCTCTCCGCCTGTTGTCTTGTTAATCACCACTTCTCCTCTCTCACTGTCACCTTGCTGACTGCCGACTGCGACATCTCTCACTGTTTCTCATGTCATCATCTTTGTTCAGCTTCTTTTGGATGCTACTTGATGCAAGGCAGGCAGCCTCCAAACTGGGTTCTTGGCTTCACTCAGGAAAGAATTCAAAGATGAGCCAGTGTTGTTAGCAAGTTTTATTGAAGCAGCGGTGTACAGCAGTGGAAGAGGTACTGTTCTTGCAGAGCAGGGCTACCTCATAGGCAGTGTGCTCAGAGTAGCAGTTCAGGAGCAGCTCTGCAGTCATATTTATACTCACGTTTAATTACGTGCAAATTAAGAGTCAGGTTATTCAGCATTTTTCAGAAGAATGGTGGCACTTCTCTTCATTGCCATGGAAATCAGTGGTAACTTCCTTGAGTGCCCATGTCACTGGTAAACTGGACATGGCACTGATGGGCCTGTCTTATGGAGAGGTGCTTTCACCTCTTCTCTATTTCAGCCAGTCTTCAATCTGATCTGGAGTTGAATTCCTGCCTCTGGAGGTGAGTCCCATCCCCTACCTCAATTATACTGAAAAGACACTTGCACTCATATGCTCAACATCATGCTATTCACAATAACAAATACATGGATTCAACCTGGTTGCCCATCAATGTTCAACTGAATAAAGAAAACATGGCACATATACACCATATTATATTACACAGCCATCAAAAAGAATGAAATCTTATCATTTACAGCAACATGAATGGAGCTGGAGGACATAATTCTAAGAATTGCTTCATGGAGTATTTGGTTTTCTGTTTACTAAACATGGAGTACACATGGACATAAACATGGAAACAATGGAACGGCAGACTACTAGACAGGGGAGGGAGGGAGGGAAGTATGGGTTGAAAAACTACTTCTTGGGTACTATGATCACTACCTGGGTGCAATATACCCATGTGATAAACCTGTATATGTACCTCCTTTATCTAAAATGACAGTTGATATTTTAAAAAAAATGTTAAAACTAAAAATGATAATTATGGGCCAGGCACAGGGGTTCACGCCTGTAATCCCAGCACTTTGGGAGGCCGAGATGGGCGGAACATGAGGTCAAGAGATTGAGACCATCCTGGCCAACAAGGTTAAACCCCATCTCTAATAAAAATACAAAAAGTAGCCAGGCATGGTGGCACACACCTGTAGTCACAGCTAAACAGGAGACTGAGGCAGGAGAATCACTTGAACCTGGGAGGCGGAGGTTGCAGTGAGCCGAGATCGCATCACTGCACTCCAGGCTGGCAACAGAGCTAGACTCCGTCTCAAAAAAAATCTAATAATTGTATAGTTAGTCAATAGTTCTTTACCTATAATAGAAAAATTGTAACATTTGTAGGTGCATAAGACATTAAATTACATTTTATATATGAGAAATCTGAGGCACAGAAAAACTAATTTTACTTGCTTTTAGTCACACAACTATTAAGTGGCAAAGTTAGGATTTAAACTCATGCATGCTGGCATTAGAGACTACACCACATTGTTAACTGTGTAAGCAGTAGGATGTATGGGTCTTGGAATACTTTGGATGTGATGGCATTGAGGCAGAAGGTGCTGATTACTGCCATGATGCTGTTTTGTATTGCACAGTGTATTGTGGTATTATTTAAGATATAGGAAACTGATATAGGAACAGTATTGGAGTTAAATTTCATATTTTGATTAAATGTAGTTTTATAATATTAGATATTGAAGAGTATAGCTATATAATTAAAATCTAATAATATTTTCCTAGTGATTTCCACTATACTTCCAGATATATTAAAGTACCTATAGTCCTTTAAAATAGAAACTTTTCTGTGGCTGCCAAAATGGTTAAATCCAGCATTTATAAGCAAAATGAGGAAAAATAAGAACGATATTTTGATTTCGTGATACATTTATTTACTGCACGAAGAGAAACATTTTATAAAATCTGTTGTGAACAAAACATGATTTAATACATCTAAAAAGCATCATAGCCAGAACCACAGACTATGGGTAATATTCTAAGTATTCATTGCAGAACTACACTAAATTATAATATCTCTGATGTAGGCTAGTTAAATCGTAGGTCCTAGAAACTAGAAATATGGTATGATCTTACTTTTGATTTTATTTTTCATTAAATTATGCATAGATCGAGTGCTGGGATGATTAAGACATGTTTTACATATGATATGGTAAAGAAGTGTCCTTACTACACATTCATCTCCAAAAAACAGTTCAATGGAAGGATTCTCAGATGTCGCATGTTGCAGTTACAGAGGTGGGTATTTAATAAGCCGCAGTCTGAGTGTTTCAGGAGAGCTAAACATAATCTGGAGATCACCAAGGGGAAAAATAACTTTCAAAGAATTGTCTCATTCTTCCCTGTCTAGTCCTGTCATTTTTGTTTTCTAGTTTTCATTGTGTTTGAGTTAAACTATGGGTTTTACTTCTAATTCTTAAATTTAACTTAGTGGTGACCTAGAGCCATCGAATTATGCTTCTCAGTTTCCTGAGCCTTGGAATAAATTACAATGACATTAGGAACATCGAAAGTCGTGATTAAATCAGCCTTATTTAACTGTAATCATTTTGAACCAGGGTGCTCGTTCAATCATTCCCTCTATGCCAGAATAACATTTAGCTCTCAGGATCTGTAATTTGAGGAAACAAATGGAATTTGCCTAATCTTTAAGAAAGAGAATCCTCAGAAAGATATCCAAATAATCTTTTGCTTTCTTGACTGCTAGGTGTCCACATTTCACTGAATACTGCCCCTCCTGATTTCACTCTACACCTGTCAGGTATTTCATATGCTTTCTGCTACACAGTAGTTTTGTCTAAATGGCTGGTCTGGTCTTTATTTCTGATGGGTTTATCATGTGTCTGAGCTTTAGGAAGCAACCAGGAACCTCGTCTGTGCTGATACATAAGGATGTTTGACCCAAAGTTTTGTTTTGACTAATCAGTTCCATCCATGACGTTGCTCTCTGACTTCTTAATCAAAATACAGAATGCAATTTTTAAAATTTATACCTATCGTATTTTCATCCTAATACATACTGACTTACTGGCAGCTCGTCATCCCTGAATCCCACTATTATTTTCTATTGAGCCTTTTGAAGATGTCATTCAATTGTCAGCAAGTTGCCACAAATTATTAAAACTTTCCATGGTTCACTCTCCATTAACTTAAGCCTTTTTCTCTCCTGAGATCACCACTTTCCCTGTAGCCCCCTCAGGTAAATATAGTTGATTACTCCACCTCATCCAGCTATATTGCAGAAGTTGGAAATGTGCCACAGTACCACTTCTAAAATCTTTTGTATTTATGCATATTTAAAAAGCACACCTGCAAGTTTCACGGCAAACAGACTGACGCTTTTTTTTAAGGTTATTATTACCTGTCTACCTTTATATTATTGGGAATTTGATCTAATTCTTCAGGTCCTCATAAACTGTGGTAGACAAAATTTCAAAAATGGACCCCAAATATGTCCCACCAAAACCCCACAACCTATAAGTATGATATCATTCCCTTGTTATGTGGCACACTTAACCTTAGAAAAGGGAGATTATCTGGTGGGTTTAATCTTATCACGTGAGCCCTTAAAAGCGGAGAGCTTTATTTGGCTATCAAAAGAAGAGGATGTAAGATATTTGAAGCACAAGCTTCAGTGCACTGTTTCGAGTTTTGAACATAGAGAGAGCTATTTACTAGGAGATGTGGATGGCTTTTAGGAGCTGACAGTGGCCCCAGCTGACTGACAGCAAGAAAATAGAGGTTTCAGTCCTACAGGTGATAATGGACTAAATTCAGCCAACAATCTGACTGAGGTTGGAAGCAGATTCTTTCCCAGAGACTCTATATAACAGCCCAGCCTGGCCAACACCTTAATTTCAAAATTGTGAGACCCCCAAGCAGAAAGTTCATTTGAGCTAGCAGAGACCCTTGACTTACAGAAGTGTGAGGTAACAATTTTTTTAACAAGTGGCTAAGTTTGTAGTAATTTGCTACTCAGCAATATTAAACTAACATTATCACATATATATAGGACATTCATACTTTTGAAAATCACCTGTCTAAAATCCATCTCTATATTTGTTTAGACTGCCTCAACTAAAATGACCTTCAGTTTCATTCCACTGGCCCTCAACAACATATTTCCAGACTATAATTACTGTTGTGAGAACTAGAATGAAATGTGCTAATATTCTAATGCTATGATAACAGCTACCTTTCTACACACCACTGTCCTATTATTCATCTTTGACCTCATTTAGAGTTACTTTGAAAATTCCTGTTCTTTGTATCAGTCAGTTCTGGTCTTGCTTTCTCCCTCATTCAACCTACATTCTCTTACCAGCACTTCAACAAGCATGACAAGCAAGGTAATTTTTCCTTGGTTTCCATTCTTTATATTGCGATTTCCAAGAAAATATAAAAACCTGAAAAAGGTAACTTTCATATTTTTGCAACCAATTCAAAAACCGTTAAAGAATTTTGTTTCTAAAGACAAATGGGCACCTTCAGAAGATAGCATCTAATCTTTAGGAAGGAGAGTGAAAACATAGCCCATTAATCTTGAAATATCTCAATTTCTACCCCTTCTCCACCACCTGTCACTCTCCCTCCCACTAACCTTCCCCATCTCCCTTGCTCACCTTATTACTGACTACAGGAGAAGGTAAAATTTGCACCAGTTTCCCCTGGTTTATTCCTCTAATTGTTCTCTCTCATTCCTGTAGCTTTGAAAACTATGTCTCCACTGTCATCATCCCCACACTTTTTACCACATATGAAAAGAAAACAGAATACCTTTCATGATTTTGAATCCCCATCATTTTACTCCTTCTTTGTGCAGTCTAATTTCTAAATATAGAATGAGAGATATATTTTTGCAATGCCTCTTATTGGATCTTCCTATGTTAGGGTGGAGACTGAGTTCCCTTTCTTATTCCTCCACTTTTATTGTACCAGAGATGAGAACAGAATTATTATCATCTTGAGAATGAAAAAGGAGACAAATAAAATAGTTATAAAATAAATCTTCTGCCACAGCAAAAATGGATACTTTACCCACTCCACACATTTCGTATATTTTTAACAGAAAAGGGCTGATAAATTCTTAAACATGCATGTGCTTTTACTATCCTCTTATGAATTCTAATACTGGCAGTGGTGGTAGTTAGATAGATCATAGCAAAA
Organism: Homo sapiens; assembly: GCF_000001405.40. Taxonomy (NCBI): domain Eukaryota; kingdom Metazoa; phylum Chordata; class Mammalia; order Primates; family Hominidae; genus Homo; species Homo sapiens. The sequence goes on along the minus strand of NC_000014.9, from coordinate 41,258,456 downwards.
GCTGATAGTAGGACCTTTTCCCATCTCTTTTAAAATCCTGATATGAGACACACGCCAAAATTAGTGGCAATGGTAAAGTAGTGTGTCTAGATGTGGCTAGATAGAAGAGTCTAAGGCAGTATTCCTGGCAACCTACAAGTTGGATATGATGTGGAAAGGACCCAGAAGTTCTTCCATGCCCCATTGGGGGATGCAAACGGTAGCTGATAGTCTAACTGACTTGAATGCTGTAGATGCATTCGCTTGCCAGTTAGGGCAATATATTACTAATAGCTGCATTGGAGTAAAACATCTTTGTTCACTGAATGTGTTAAGTGATGTGACTGATCCTGGATTTACCAAGAAGTTAATGAAGTTGCAGCTTAAGGCCCCTAATTGTATGAAGCCCTTTAGAAACTCTACAAGTAACCTTGTATTCAAAATTATTTTGTTATGTTTGAAAATAATCTAAATTGTACAGGCTTATAGACTCACAAAACGTGGATCCGCCCTTGGATCCAGGGACTGACTGTGAATTTTGGCCACATCCTGGGGGAGAAAGGGATCTAAAGTTTTTGAAGAGAGCAAGGTAGAGCCACTATGTCCAAGTCAAGGGAACCTACTATAACTACTTCTGGACCATTCTATCAGAGACCAAAATAACACAGAAATAAGACAACAAAACATCACAGAAATAACAAATTGAACATAGCGTTCATATAGTAGACAAAACCCAACAGCAATATCAAGAGTTCTTATTGATATTGCTGTTATATATTAACAAGACCAACCAAAATGTTATATATTAACAAGACCAACCAAAACTTAGAAACTTAGTGGATACCCAACAGCATAACACCAAACCAAGATCCCCTGCTTCAAAGTCAGCATAATACCAGAAGGCTTTTCCCCTTCCAGACATCATGAAAATTATAAAATTGCCCTTATACACAGATATAATCTCTCGGAAGGAGGGTAAACACTCTTGATAATGGAGCTGGGATTTGAATTAACTAAAAATGAAATGACAATAAAATAAATATTGTGACTAGGGAGTTCTACCTTAGATCATTTCAGACTAGGTCCAAATTAAAAAGTGAAACATACTAACTATAAAAATAGATTACAGGCTGGGTGTGGTGGCTCACGCCTGTAATCCCAGCACTTTGGGAGGCCGAGGCAGGCAGATCACCAGGTCAGGAGATTGAGACCATCCTGGCTAACACAGTGAAACCCTGTCTCTACTAAAAAATACAAAAAATTAGCCATGCATAGTGGCGGCCGCCTGTAGTCCCAGTTACTTGGGAGGCTAAGGCAGAAGGATGGCATGAACCCAGGAGGCGGTGCTTGCAGTGAGACGAGATCGTGCCATGGCACTCCAGCCTGGGCGACAGAACGAGACTCCGTCTCAAAAAAATAAAATAAAATAAAAATAATAAATAAATAAATAAATTACAAATAAACTCCTTTCTTGGAAAATGACCATGACTGCACATAATCAATTTTTTTTCCTTGTAGTCAGGGGTTCAAATGATTTGTAAATCTATTAGTGGGGCAGAAAAACTTTCAAGCCTGTGAAGATACAACCAACTCTGAGGGCCTGAACAACTGAAATGGTAATTGTTGACCATTTTGACATACGACTTTTCTTTGGCTGCTTGCACAAACTTAGTGGCTTAAGAAAAAAACCACAAAATTATAACCTTACATTTTGTAAGTGGGAAATACACACTTTTGTTTTGTTTTGTTTTGTTTGAGATCTAGTCTTGCTCTGTCTCCCAGGCTGAATTGCAATGGCATGATCTTGACTCACTGCAACCTCCGCTTCCCGGGTTCAAGCGATTCTCCAGCCTCAGTGTCCGGAGTAGCTGGGATTATAGGTGCCTGCTGTGATGCCCTGCTGAAGTTTGTATATATGTTTTTAGTAGAGACAGAATTTCACCATGTTGGTCAGGCTGGTCTCAAACTCCTGATCTCAGGTGATCCACCAGCCTGGGCCTCCCAAAGTGCTGGGATTACAGGTTTGAGCCACCACACTTGGCTCACACTTCTTCTAAAAACTTTGATCTAACACCTCTAAGCATTTCAACTTTAACCATGGTATAAGGTCTTGATGGTGGTCAGGCAAGGAAATCCCTGCCTTCAAGTAAAATCATCTTTTGTTTTTCCACCTGAATAAATAAATTAAACTTAGCATTCTGATTAAAATTATATTTTTATATATTCACCTTAATTATCAATGGATGCAAATCACGCCTGGAGTTTATTTGGAAGTACTTGCAGTAGCACAGGTAGAGTTTCCCTATGCTGAGGTGCCTCCCTGCAGATAAGCCTCACTTCTTGTACCCGAGGGCACCCCATGCAGTGCTGCAAATTGGAACCTGTGCTAGAACTTCTGGTTAAAATTTTGATTCTGCAGATGCTTCACGTCCTGTTCTGCAGGCATTGCTAAGGAAGTCTAGTGCTAGATGAAGCTTATCATATCCTGTAAATTGGTTTACTGATGTAAACACAATATTACTGTTGGGTTTTTTCTACTATACGAATGCTATGTTCAAGTTGTTTTTTCTGTAATATATGTGAATAATTTTATTTTTATGTCTGTTTTATTTAATGTCTCCTTAACTATTTAAAATGTTGTATTTTATCTTTTCTTTATCCTAAATTCTAATTACTGCTTTTTAATAAATATTATCTATTACTACGGTGAAACATGTTCATTTCTTAAATTTTTTTAAAAACTTACTTTTCAGTTGTAGCTTTTCTGCTTCCCTATCAATGTTTTAGGTATTACTCTTGTTGATTTTTAGCCACATATTTATTTTGTATTTATCTTATTTACTTAAAATTATATTTAATAAATCTCTTTAGATATACTTTATTATTTTATTTCTATATCCATATATATTGTTTCATATAAACATATTTATTTTTAAAAAGGAAAACTCTAGACAATTATGTAGAGAACAAAAACTATATCACATCCTTTACCTCTTTTTTGTCTCTCTTCAATCACTAAAGCAAAGTTCTTTTCCCAAGAAAAAGTTGATTTTTAAAGTATACAGACATTTTAATTTTGTTCTCCACAGGTTAAGTGTTTTTGAACATGATCTTTTCTAGTTGAGTATTTTAAAACACAAGTTCTACTAGCAATATATTTAACTTTTCAACACATTTTGAAAGTTCATGTGATTTCTAGCTTTTGCTATTATCGAAATAGAGTAATAATATTGGCCTCCACACACAAAAAATTAAATTGTATAAATTTAGTTTCTGAATATAACTGGACTATTATCAGTCTTTCATTAATTATTGTTTATAAAATCTCTTCTTTTTCCCAGAGTTTACTATTGTAAAAGAGTCAATCTACCAAATGTCAAGTTACAATTTAACGTTTGTACATAAATATCTAAAAGGTTCATGTAGTAAATCAAAGTCTTTATAAAGCCCAAATTTGGACTATGTTGTGTTATTAAACTCAATCATAAGTAGACTTTGCAGTAGAATAAAATATAGATTATTCAATTGAGTTTGCTGTTATTGTATTTATAGAAAGAATCAGAGGAATCCCACTCCCTTAATCTCATGAGACAGCTAAGCTTTGTTTTCTGAGTACATCTAAGCTTAGGAAATTTTGAAGAATTGTTTTTTGTTTGTTTTGTTTTAAATTTTAGGGCTCCCAAATGAAATTGTCAGATATTCAAATAAAAACTTCCAAATTTTGTTTGTTTGAGTGGGTGTTTACCAAGAAAATAAAGATTTTACTATTATTACTTTCAGAATTCCTCCTAATCCTGGGAAGGAGTTTTTATTTTTTAGCTTTTCAGGGTAACAGAGAGCAGCCTCCATTTCTCCATTCCCATGCAAGATGCTTTGGGAGCAGACTAGAAATGAGGATGTCTATAAAGTTTGGCTAGGAAAGTTTGACATTTAGAGTTAGGCTCCACCTAGGAAAAAGACCCCTGAGCTGTTAAAGAGCCAGCCTTCCCAGCAAACACTTGCAAATGAACATAATACCTCTGGCCAGTGTGGTCTAAGGCCAGAGTATGTTCTCTGAATAATTAAGTCTTCTTAGGGACCATGAGGCCATTGAACTGCCCAGCTAGGTGGTGGCCCCACCACCTCCTGAACACCAAGATATCACTCCCTATCTACTAGGAAGGTAAAACCTAAAACTAGTTTTATTAGCTTGAGGTAAATAAAATAATGTGGAATTGAGTGGTAATTACTTCTGCTACACCTTCTGATATGTTTTGGATGAGATAGTGATGGTAGCAGTGGACATCTGGAATAGATGCTGCCAAGATACCAGCTGCAGCAGGGGAGGTATGGGCAGACCTGTGCACTCTATGGAGCTGGTGGAAGCTGAAAAGAGGCAGAAGCCCAGCCCTCTTCTCTGCCCTTGGCAGGCACGGGATCCAGGCTGGTAGCACAAACAGAGCACAGCCTGCCAGGCCGAGTGGACAGTATGAGCCCAGTGGGTGTGAGCTCAGCTGTGCCTATGGACCCATGCTGTCTCAGGGGCCTGGAAAGCTTCCTTTGCCCTGGACGCTCAGAAGTCTCAGTTCCCATTGCCTGGCCTCTCCTCACTCCCAGTGCCTGCTCTGATTTTGGAGCAAAGTTGAGGCCAAGCCTGGGTGTGCACATTCTTGGGGTCATGCTGACACATCAGCCCCCTGCCACATCAGCCGCCTCCAGACTTTGGGCACTGGTGATGAGCATAGGATGGTGGCTGGGAGGGGGCCTGAGGGCAGCTTGGCATGGATCTGCAGGCACACCTTGGCACAGACAGCCTGGGTACTATGAGCACCATGGATAGCACATTGATGGCAGCAGGACACAGGCAGGCTCCTGGGCAGAAAGGGGCAGGTCACCAGTGAAGCCCCACCTTCAAGCCAGGGACCACTTGAAGCATGGGGACCAGGCTGCCAGTTCCCTGGACCAGAGTGAGAACTTATGGTGTTGTTTCCCTGTCCTCCCATGGACCAATCAGCATGCACTTCCTCCCCTGGGAAGCCCATAAAAACCCTGAACTCAGCCAGACTTAGGCAGATGTTGGGATGACCTTCCTGCAGAAAGGAACTACCCACTTCCGGTCTCCTGAGAGCTGTACTGTTGCTCAATAAAGCACCTCTTAGCCTTGCTCACTTTCCAGTTGTCTGCATACCTTATTCTTCCTGGACATGAGACAAGAACTCAGGGCCCACCAAATGGTGGGACTGAAAGAGCTGCAACACAAATAGGGCTGAAACACACACCGCCTCACCATATTGTCGGTGACAAGAAGGGGAGAAGAGAGAATGAAAGAAGAGCTCTGGCCCTTCAGGGAGCCCAGACCTAGGAGCTCCCCAACCCAGGGCTGTGACACCCTCTTTGGGGTTCTGCGGTTCCTGGTGTTTTCCAAGCTTATAGGCAACACTAAGTTCCTCAGTGCCCACAGTGGAAGCTGCTTGTGGTGTGCCTGGTCCAGACCCAGGCTCACAGAGAGCCAGCACCCGTGCTCATGCCTGGAGCTGCTCATCCTGCCACAGCTGATGTGCCTGGCTGTGTGCAGTGGCTGGATCCCATGCTCACACATTCACCCACTCCTCTTCACTCTGCATCTGGCTTGCCCTTGGCAGGCATGGGATCTGGAGTGGTAGTGCAAGTAGAGCATACCTGCAGGCTGAGTGGGCAGAACCAGCACAGCAGGCCTGAGCAAAACTAGGGCAAAGGCGCCAGCAGCCACAGAGGTTTCTGCCTGGCAGCATGACACCCCAAAGATCCTGTGACAATAGCATTGTGAATAATATCCCTTGTTGGAGAAAAAGCTGAATTTCATTTTTCCACCATTGTCTCCATTCAAGGTATTTATGGGAGGTGTACCTGTTAAACTTTTACTATAAAAATAAAATCCTACTTTTAATATCTCCATAATCTTGCCACTTATTGGAAAGTCCTTCTCAACTTTATTTGAATACAGTTTGAGGGTGTGTGATATAACTTCTGCAAAGGAAATAATTAGCTGATTTGTAAATTCTACCACACTGAATAACTCTAAGTTTATTTTGAACCTGCAGTATCTATTCTCTTACTGATATTTTATTTATCTTTCTACTCTAGAACTAAATATCTTCCTTTGAGCCTCCTAGTGTTTGAGGAAAAATACCCTACTTTGCTCGTTCTAGAGGCTATGCCTTAGGACTCTGGCAGAAATTTCATAGTAAGTTTCTGGTACCTTAAATATGTTTTTCTAGCTTTACTTTCACTAAGGCAGAAGTTAATCTTCATTTTATCTTAAATACCTTGCCAATTTTTTAAATTTAGTCTTTTATTGCCTCTGCCTTGATTAAATTCTCTCTTTGTATCTTGTTTTCTGTTATTATATTTAGATCTCTTTTGGTCAACTCTGGGGGACAGCTATCTGTCTTTCTGGTATTGCTCTATTCATTTTATCTCTGTTCAGAGAATATCTGTTTGAAATAACCTGCCTTTCTATTAAATATACATAAGGAGCATTCATGTGGATTCAGCAAAAGTTTCTGTCTACCGGAAAAGGGTTGCATGTAATTCACATGCATTGGGGAGTAGATTATTCATCACAATTCTTGGAACACGAGGGTTTTTAATAAATTATGAGTCTATGTCTTGCATTTTTAATTTCATGGGCTAACTTTTGCATCAATACAAATTCACAAGTTATAAAGAACCTTCTCTGTTAGTGGCATCACTGAATCGCTCACCTCAACTCCCATAGTCATATATATTATATCTGAAAAAATGTTTTTTTTTTACTATGAACATTTAAATTTTAAAGGGGTATTTTTTAAGCATTAATAGACTGACCTGTACTTTCAAGGAACGCTGTAGCTACTACTTTACAGATCTTTATTCACTGCTAATAAAAGTCAGCAGTAACCACATGCTGTTTAGCAATTTGTTGTTTTGATAAGGGGCTCTACTTTGATTAGATGTTTTATGTAGTTAACTAAATTCTTCCTTCTGCAGTGACTGCACACCAGGTATCAGTCTATGTTATTGGGAATACAGAGTAAAATAGGCCACATTCCTGACTCTTAAGGGTGTGTCCTATGTAGGAAAAGGCAATATATTATAGTAGGTGCTATGCCCAGGGAGTTTTCTAGTATAGAAGTGGGTATGCAGATTCAAATTTTATACTATAGAATATTTTCTGGAGGAAGTGATATTTGGAATGAGTTTTGAAAGATGACATAATATTTTAATTTAACAAATACCATTTAGGTATAGTATAAGTGAATCACCAAATGTTATTACTCTAACCTGGATATATTCCACCCACACTGGTCTGGTTACCTTGTCTCCTTTTTTTGTGTCGTAATAAGGCATCATTGTGCCCTGGTGGAACCTGATTCTCAGTGTTAAAAAGTGTGACATATAGAGAGTAACTAATTTCAGAGTCTACGCTTCCTCAATATAATTTAATCTCAATCCTCAAATTCTGAACTTGTTTCCTTTATTCGGAGAGTGTGGTTTGGTTTGGTGTACATTGGTTATAGCCTGGCAAGTTATCTTTTCTGTTATACTTAAAGAGACTCAATCAACATCCGTATCAGGTCACCTTTGCTAATAGTTCAGATGTTCCCATCTTAGACCAAGTATGCCTAGAGATCAATGGGTGAATAAATGTCAAATCACGATTTGCTGTTTCTGTTAAAATTCCCAATGTAGAAAAGAGAATTAACTGGTTTACATATTAAAGCATTAATAAATTCCAAATATATTAAATTGGCAACAATGTCTTTATCTGCTAATCTTCTAACAACAAAGCAGCACTTCTCGACTAAGATTACCCCACACCACCATCACCCAACACACACACACACACAACTCAGGGACACCTGGCAATGTTTGGAGATAGTTTTAGTTGTCACAGCTCGGGGTGGTGTGCTACTGTCATCCAGAGGCTGATGCTCAACATCCTGTAATGTACCAGACAGCCCCTCAAAACAAAGACTTATCCAGTGCAAACCTTCAATAAGGTTGCAGTTGAGCACACCTGCAACAAAGTAATAAAGTGTTTCTTCTGTTTTGAAAAAACAACCACAGCACTTTCTCTTGCTCATGTAACATCATTAGCATAAGACAAAAACTAAGTTTACAAGCTATAACACATTTAGAATTTGTAAGATGGAGAGTGGGAAATAGTACATTGAGTGTGAATTTTTAAGTTTATGATGAGAGATGAAGCAAATCTTAAAGATTCTAACTTTTCCATTAAACCAAAGTTTTTTGCTACATAATCCATAATACCATGAGATTCTTGGCTACCTGCTTAATAATGAGATGAGTTCCTCGTAATACTGCTTTATAAACACATTAATTCCAGTTCAGATTGTGTAGATAACAGTGCAATATATAGCACTCTCATACACAAATACTTTTTACTGTGTTAGCTCTTTTTATAGGGTATTCTATATACATGTAATATGTCTTCTACGAGTACCAAAAAACACAAATAAAATAGTCATTTGAGTTTCATCTTGTACAGTAACAATCATTTTCATGATTATTTAATATGAGACTTATCAAAGAGACATTGCATCAGACACTTTAAAAAAGGCAAAAAAGACTTATTCAAAATTATTGTAATAGGGGCCAAAACCATTAGAAAAGGAGAGTCAGATTGAATTCAATTCCTCTGAAACAAACTGTGGGAGGATTTTTAAATACTAAGATGCACTAATGGAAAAGTACTGAAGGATGTTAGTCAGGAGGTTGGTCAATGTGATTAGTCCATCTGTATTTGTTAACTGTGGTTTACTGAAGTTAGAATCCAACCCTTCTACAGAAACTGGGAGACTGGGGTGATAGCTCCTTTGATTATTACTTTTTTTTTTTTTGAGACAGAGTTTCACTCTTTTTGCCCAGACTGGAGTGCAATGGCGTGATCTCGGCTCACTGCGACCTTTGCCTCCTGGGTTCAAGCAATTCTCCTGCCTCAGCATCCCAAGTAGCAGCTGGGATTACAGGCATGTGCCACCATGCCTGGCTAATTTTGTATTTTTAGTAGAGATGGGGTTTCTTCATGTTGGTCAGGCTGGTCTCGAACTCCTGACCTCAGGTGATCTGCCCGCCTCAGCCTCCCAAAGTGCTGGGATCACAGGCGTGAGCCACCGCGTCCAGCTCGATTATTACCTTTCAAAGGGATGGCTTCATGGTCCATGAGAAAGACATTTCTGGGTTGCAAAATATTTAAACCTCAAAGAGGAAGAGAATTTACAATAGCAAGTTTTCTAAAGTATTGCTAAAAGAAAAGAGAGATCAGGAGCATATAGTCTGAAAGAAACTAGTCTAAAAGTTTTATCAAGCTAACGGGAGTAATTTGGTCAGACTTTAGGAAAACAAAATTACTAGTAAGGAAGGATTGAATTAGCATTAAATGTAAATGTATTTTGTACAATATTAATTATGTTAATAATCCTAGTAATTATTGCAAATAATCTATTCAAAATTTTATTAATATCTCTACTATAAATATATAACACCTATTTCTGAATGTTTAAAAGAGTTAATATATCTAGAATTTGAAGTAAATATGCAGTTTTCTTAAAGGAAAAGATGCCTATCAAGTGAAACCCTGCCTTTGATGAAACATGAAGCGAATCCTAATTGGAAAACCTACATTTTTCATTATCTGCATTTGAGTAACAAAATTCTTTACATTATGACTTTCTATTGAGTTGTGAAAATTTTACCGAATCTTTTCCATGTTCCTGTGCTTTTCTTATTCCTACCTCTTGTAAAATAAAATGTTGTTTTCCAGTGTAGTAGTCAGAATTCTCAGATGGTCCCCAAAATTCTCATGCCGCCATGTACTCATGCTGTACATTTCCCTCCCCTTGAGAATGTATGGGACCTGTGCATATAATAGGATACTTGCTCCCTTGATTAGGTTATATCATAGCAAAAATGATGGAAGTCAATCTCATGATTACATTACATTTCATATACCCCCAGACCACATGTTACTGGACTAAAGAAATATTTTTCCTGCTATTTTTGAAGAAGTTAGCTGCCACATTGTGGGAGGGCCTGTGGTATCTCAAGATGTCATAGAGTTGAGAGCTACCTGTGACCAAAAACCACAAAGAAAACCAGGACCTCAGTCCCACAACCACAATAAACTGAATTCTGCTAATGACCGGTGAGCTTGGAAGAGAACACTAAGCCCCCAGTGAGATCATCCTTTGGCTAACATAGTAATTTCAGTCTGATGAGACCCTGAAAGGAGAACCCAATAACCTATGTTCTGATACTGAGGAATAATAAATTTATGTTGTCTTAAGCTACTAAATTTGTGATGAATTTGATGCAGCAATAGAAAACTAATACACCTATTAATCTTTTCTAATGCATAATGATTTTTCAGTATCTTTATACTGTATGCCAGTGTTCAGATTTTAGACATCAGCATCTTTATCAGCTGTGTTTCTAACAACAGTTGTTTTCTCCAATGAGGCCCACATAATGTTCCCTGCAGTAGTTATTATGCAAGGAGGACATTTTTTTCTGTTTTCATGGCCCTACATAATTAGCATTTCTGTCTGTGCGTCTCTTGCCCAGATGATTCTCTTCAGCATTCTAGCCACACTACTGTAGTAACAGAAGTCTTATAAATGTGTTTTGCTGACAAGAGTAACTTTCCCATTGTGGACCAAGCTAAAAGCGGATTTTCCCCTTTGGACCTAAACATGGATCCTGTTATAATTCATATGAAATACTATTAAATGTTCAATCAGGCACTTAAATTAACTCAGGATTTCTCTCTATATATAAGCTAGCAAATACCTTATGCTAAGGTCATAAGAAAAATAATACATGTTTCATAAGAAAGAAAATTTTTAATATTATATCACAGTTTCATACTTCATAATAGGAAAAATATATTTTGGGTTGTTAAAATACTTTGATTTTATCAAAATGAGAACAAGGAAATGAGATTGAATTTTTTTTTTTCTTTTGGGGAAATAAACTTATACTTGCCCGCAATTATGTGTGTTGCACTGTATTTTCTATGAAAATACAGATAATTACAAAGATAAGATTGATTTGAGAATGAATCAAGATCGTCTTATCTGATATCCAGAACCACTTACTGAGTAATGCTAAATTTGGTAACTAAAATGAAAAGAAATGCCATCTTCTTAGCTATGTGACTTGCTCATTTATTCCACCTCCCAATCTTTTACGTTTATACTTAATAGAATTAATGTCTGAGACACTGAATGAATCAATTTTGCCAAATTGAGATTTGCCCTAAATGTTTTAATGATATAATGCAGTTTATTCCAGAGAAGCTATTTCTGTACCCAGTAGAGCTGTGTATTTTCCCTGCTAGACAACATCAAAATATAGAATGTTTAAAATGATCCTCTTACCACTGCTTTTTCTTCAATTATAATTAGAGTGTAAATAAATAAACACAAGTATTCAGGTTCATACACACATGTAAGACTCATGGAGACATGAATAAGCACATAAACAAAGACATAAATATATTCACACACATGAGATTTATAATGTGTGGATAAATACAGTCTGACATATATAGAATGCCTTTAAAACTAAAAATAACAACATTTAGATAGCCTTCAAATTATTTATGTTCAAAGACAGGACATCCATTCCCATAATGAAACACAGTGTGAGATAGTAGAAATTGAAGTAAACTGGAAATAATTGGATTAGAATTATTTCATTTTTGTCACTAGCTTGCTATATGATTCGGAGCAACTATTTAACTTGTCTTGGGTTATTATCTAATTTATCTGGGTCCTAAATCTCCCCAACTATGAAATGAGAAGTTTGGATAAGACCGATATATTCCTAATAGTTCCCGTGGAACACACATTCTCCTCAAGATGGTAATAATGTTCTCTAAGGGAAGAAAAAAGTGTTCTCTGGTTAAATAGGTTTGGAAATGCTGAGTTAAACAAAGTAAAAGAGCTTTCTTTAGTGCAAGATAGCTTAGAGTCTTTAACATGCTAATGTGCACTGCAACTGTTAAGAGGAGAATTTTACTATTCAGTGATTCTCCAACTCATCCTAGCAACTTATTTCAACATATTCTTTTTGCATAAAATTAAATAAAATGCAGTGTGGTCAGTGTTTTCTGGGACATAATTTTGGAAAACTGCTCTGGAAATCTTATTAGTCAATTGTAAAAGACATATTATGCCATAAAATAATTATAATACAAATATATGACCTATGCAGTGAATGACTTCTTGTGTGTAAAATAAGTGATAAATTATGTATTCAGAGAATATTTTAATGTTCTTAAATATAAAAGATGTCTGCTATCATCACAGTAATTTACTTTTTAGTCTGTTTTAATGTATCTTTTTACATTGAAGCAGGACTTCTAAACCTTTAACATTTCTCAGCTAATGTAGGATTCTCTAAAATTTCTGAGTTCTTCAAATAACCTTTTTATCAGCTTTAGCTGTATACTTTAATCCAACCCTCAAATATGTATCTATCTATATCTATATATTACTAGTGTATTTCCATTTATGAGCACAATTGAACACAGTGATTTTTAGTGATTGCTTAATTACTGTTTATTCTAAGGGACTCATTAGCTGGAATATTAAATGATTCTTCAAAAATTTGCCTTTTAGTGTAGAACCAACGACTTAAGAAATTCTAAAGTAAAGTAAACTAATAAAGCAAAATTGCAAAAGGGACATTTATAGCCATCTATTTTTTTAAACAATTAATAGACTTTACTTTTTAGAGCAAGTTTTCGGTTTACAGAAAAATTAGGTAGAAAGTACAGACTTATTCTTTACCCCTATCTTCAGTTTCCCCGTTTATTAGCATCTTGCACTGGTGTGTTATGTTTGTTATATTTGATGAAGTAATATTAATACATTATTATTTAAAGTTCATGGTTTACATTAAGGTTCACTCTTTGTATGGTACAGTTATGTTGGTTTTTCCAAATGCATAACACCATGTAGTCACCATTATACTAACTTTACCATTCAACTCAACAGTTAGTGATTTTGTAAAATTTAAGAAAAGTCATGTCAGTACTCTATTCATAACCCTTCATTCTCTTTCTTCTTTTTATTAAAATAAAAATTAAAAGAGAGACTTTCAATTCAATAACACAAATAGAATCAGATTAAAAGTATGGAAAAATGTATACGATAAAAAATAACAAAAAGAGATCTGAAATATCTCTTAAAATATACTGTTTTTAAAAGTTTGTATAAATTTAAGAGGCACGAGTGCAATTTTGCGACATAGATATATTGTATAGTGGTGAAGTTTGGCTTTTAATGTAGTCATCAACCCAATGGTGTGCACTGTGCCCATTAAGTAATTTTTTATCCTTCCTCTACTTCCACCCTCCCACTCTTCGAAGTCTGCAATGACTATTATTACATACTCCATGTCCATATGCACACATTATTTAGCTTCCCCTTACAAATAAGAACATGCAGTATTTGATTTTCTGTTTCTGAATTGTTTCACTTTAGATTACAATCCCCAGTTTCATCTACGTTGCTGTAAAAGACAGAATTTAATTCGTTACTTATAGTTGAATAGTATATTATCATATATGCATATCTAAAACATTTTCTCCATCCTAACATTAGTTAATGAACAATTAGGTTGATTTCATGACTTTTCTATTGTGAATAGTGCTGTGATACATATATGAGGGCAGACATCTTTGTTATATAATGATTTCTTTTACTATGGGTATATAACAGTAGAAGGACTGCTGGATCAAATGGTAGTTCTATTTGTAGTTCTTTGAGAAATATCTGTACTATTTAATAGAAAAAGTTATTCAGGCATTTTATTGTGTGTGCGTGTGTACCCAACAACAAAGCTTCAAAATACATGAAGAAAACATTCACATAACTGACAGGAGAAATAGACAATACAACAATGATGATTAGAAGACTTTAACATCCTTCCAATGGATAGAACCTCTAGGCAGTAGATCAACAAGAAAATAGACTTGAAGAACACAATAAAAAATTAGACCTAAGAAACACTTATAGAACACCCTATTCAATATAAATACATAATTATTCTTATCAAGTGCATGCAAAACATTCTCAAGGACTGACCATATTGTAGGTAATAATATAAGTTTTAATAAATGTAAGTGAATTAAATTCATATGAAATATATTCTATAACCAGAAAGGAATTAAATTTGAAGCCAATTAAAGAAGGAAATTTGGATAATTCACAGACTTGTGAAAATGAACAACACATTTCTAAGTATCCAATGGTCGAAGAAGAAAATCAAGGGAGATTAGAATGTGCTTAGAAATAAAAACAAAAACACAACACACTGAAACTTACTGGGTGCATCTAAAGCACTACTTAGAGGAAATGTATAGTGGTACATTCCTAAATTAAAAAGAATGTAAATCTATGAGTTATTATAATCTACTTATCATCTTAAATACAGAAAAAACCACAGCAAACTAAACCCAAAGCATGTAGAAGGAAATAAGTAATAAAGATTAGAAAGGAAGTAAAAGAAAGACGGAATAGAAAACCAGTAGAGAAAAGCAACAATATCAAAATTAGGTTTTTTAAATGATCAACAAATTTGGCAAATCTATAGTTAGCCTGATGAATTTAAAACATGAAAGATTATTGAAAAAATAAAAAAATGCATCACTCTCAATCTTATAAAAATAAAAAGGATTCTAGAGAACAATATTGAAAAATTTTTGTCAAATTAGATAAAATTCAAAGAGAAGGGAACACTTGCTAATTTATTCTATGAAATCACCCTTACAATGACAAGTGTGTAAAGCCATCACAAGAAAAGAAAACCACAGATCACAATCCTTTACAAATTAAATGCAAAATTCCTCAATAAAACACTAGCAAACAAAATCCAGCAAATCAGAGAGGACTATTGACCATGAACAAATGAGATTTATCCTAATAGTGCAAGGTTGTCTTACCATTCAAAAAATCAATCAATATACTATGTTAATAGCATGAAGGACAAACTCACATGATCATCTAAACAGACACAGAAAAAGAATTAGACAAAGTCCAGTACCTTTTCATAATAATAACAGTCAACAAATTAGAAATGAAAAGGAACTTTCTCAACCTGAGTGCATATCCTGAACACCCACAGCTAACATCATATATAGTGATAAAATAATGAATATATTCGTGCTAAGACCAGGAAAAAAGTATAGATGTTCTTGCCACTTATATTCAACATTGCACTGGAGGTTCTAGGTAGGGTAATTATGCAAAAAGTAAGTAAATAAATAAATAAATAAATAAATTGTATTCATAAATAAATAAATAATTGTATTTATTGAATTGTATTCAATAAATAAACTGAAGAAGTAAAATTATATTTATTGGCCAGATGTGATGGTTCAAGCCTGTAATCCCACTACTTTGGGAGGCCAAGGCAGGTGGATCATTTACATGGTGAAACCTCATCTCTACTAAAAATACACAAATTAGCCGGGCATGGTGGCGAGCACCTGTATTCTCAGCAACTCCAGAGGCTGAGGCAGGAGAATCACTTGAACCCAGAAGCAGGGGTTGCAATGAGCCGAGATCGTGCCACTGCACTCTAGCCTGGAAGGCAGAGCAAGACTCTCTCAAATATGTTTGTAAGTTTCCTGAGGCCTCCTCAGCCACACTGAACTGTGAGTCAATTAAATCTCTTTCCTTTATAAATTACCCAGTCTCAGATATGTCTTTATTAGCAGTGTGAGAACAGACTAATAAAGAGATCTTTCACCTCCTTCGTAAAATGTATTCCTAGGTATTTTTTTCTGTGGCTGTTGCACATGCATCCATATACATATAACTAAATGATTGAAATGCATAAAAAGTTTGAATCCATGATTTAATAATGACACTGCAAAAGAATAAAAAGTGAAAGGGAGGAAAAATATTTTGGCAGATTCCAGGGAAACTTTATAGGATTTTGAAACTAGTGGGAAAAATTAATAAGTCTAAAACAAGCATATTACTGCCTTTTATACACAATCTGTGGTAACTAAGATTAAAAAACTAGTTCATAAAAAAAATTCTTTCATGAAAGTAATCTAGCACATAAATAAAGAAGAAGTAGCAGAACTAGAATATTGCCATTTTGAAACACCTAATCTTTTAATGTATCTGCACCATATTATTAATTGATGTTAATAACATGAAAATAGATAAATGATCTGACATTATGGGTCTGCAAATAGAAGTGCCCATCTTGTGCAAATAGAAGTGCCAAGAGAAAAAAAAAAAAAACAGAACCTAAATCTGGACAAGACTTTATATTTAATTACCAATTTACAAGAAATATAGGATATAGAAAAACATGTTAAATCATACTAATAGTTATGCAATCAGCAGGAATAGGAATCATACCAATAGAAAGCAATTAGCAAAATACACATATGAAAAATTGTGCCAGAAGAAAATCATACATTTTCTTCAATAAAAAACAAAGAGAGAAGCAGAAATTAGTAAAGTTTTAATAACAAAAGTTTTTAAATAGAGAGAAAAAGGAAATAAAATACCAATGAATCTGAAAGACTAAAAAAAAGACTAAATTCTCTAAATTCTTCTGAGATTCATCAAATATTAATGAAAGATGACCCACATAAATACTATTGTGTATGTAAAAGGGATATGCCTCTATCTCCAGAAGTAAAAATGTTTTAAAAATGCTATATAAGAAATTAATACAAAAATTCCCAGTATTAGACAAACTTATTTGCTTAAAAATATGAACTTATGAAGAAGGAGAATATTAAAAATATCACTTGTCTACCTTTTTTGTTCCAGCAAAGGATATTTTTAGTTTTTAAATCTCTGAAAATAAGATAGGTGAAAATAAACATTTCATCTTACTGTATATTTCCTTTGCCAACAGAGAGAGGATATCTTCATATATATTCATCATCAACTCTTATTCAATCTTTTAATTGCCTATATGCCTTCTTTGTTAAGGGTAATTTACAATAGCTCCTTATAGATTAATGCTATTAACATTTACTACAAGCATAGCTAATCTTTTGTGCCAAGTTCTCATTTGTCTTGTTGGAGGACTTACCAAAGGTAGAAACTCTTCACTTATTTATTCAAAGAAAAATTTATTTTATTTGTTTATATTTTATCTATTCTTCCTATGGAACTAATACAGGGGATTAAAAATACAATAAGTTTTAATGTTGAAAAACTCACTTAGTACAATTCAATTATTTAAATGTTCTTTTTGAATAAACAGTGAATATCTTCGTGGTTTAGATTGCTAGTGTTCAGAGGGGGTTTATGGTTACATAAGGCACAATGGGATTACTTTTGATGCCCTTGATAGGAGAAGTATATAAAAAATTCTTATCATTTCTTTCTTTGTCCTGGTCCCTTGGGCTATTCGTAGGATATTTCTATGAGAGAAGCTGGATGAAGAGGAATGGGGTGTTCTAGAAACAGGAGAAAGTCTGTGGGGCATCCCTTGAATTCTAAAACCCTCTGTCTGATATGGAGGCTGAATAGGGAGATGAGATGCAGGAGTCTTACTCAAAGGTAGAGATAGGCAAATTGGGTATTGGTTGGCTGATTCAAATTCCTTTTGGGTGTGCAACAGATATTAATCAGAATTGTTTTATTTTTTAATATTTGATGAACAAATCTCTAAGTTAAATGAAATGTGCAGATGGACTAAGGGAAAATGAAATATGCTGTCTAAAATTACCCAAACTAACTCAGAAACCTTCTGTCATAGCAACAAATACAGAATGAGAGCCAAAAGGGCCAGTCTTTGTTTAGTAACTATTTATTTCAGAACTTTGTTCAATAACCTATGAAGGATATGAAGCAATATAACTAGGTAATATTATCAATAATATTCCCATAAACTTATGAAAGAAATTTGCAATAACTTCTTTTTACCTTTATGGTATGTGTCACAAACATAATGAAGATCAACATGAATATGAGCAATGTATCAGTCTATTACAAATAATTAAAATTATGAAACACTTTTTATTTAAAATCTAGACCTCCAAGTAAAACTATTATGATGGTTAATACTGAGTGTCAACTTGATTGGATTGAAGGATACAGAGTATTGACCCTGGGTGTGTCTGTGAGGTTGTTGCCAAAAAGAGATTAACATTTAAGTGAGTGGTCTGGGAAATGCCTACCCACCCTTAATCTGGGTGAGCACAATCTAATCAGCTGCCAGCATGGCTAGAATAAAAAGTAGGCAGAAAAATCTGAAAAGAGAGACTGGCCTAGCCTCCCAGCCTACATTTTTCTCCCATGCTGAATGCTACCTGTCCTCAAACATCAGACTCTAAATTCTTCAGTTTGGAACTCGGACTGGCTCTCCTTTCTCCTCAGCCTGCAGATGGCCTATCGTGGGACCTTTTGATTGTGCGAGTCATTACTTACTAAACTCCCCTTATATGTGTGTGTGTGTGTGTATACACACACATATATGTATATTCCATTAGATTTGTGCCTCTAGAGAACCCTGACTAATGCAGATTGTGGTAACAGGAGTGGTTCTAGAGGAACATAATATTAAGGATGGAGTTCCTTTGTTGGTTTGGCTGCTTAATATGAATAGACCCAAAAATGCTAAGGATTCTACTTCTAATAATATGGGGAACACTGATAGTCCTTGGCATGAACTATTTAGAGAGTTATGCAAAATAAAGGCATTTGACACTCCTGATTCATTGCTTGTGAGAGGCAAGGAGTTTAGTCACTCTACACATGATACCTTTGACCATATGTGGAGAACCAAGGAATGTAATAAAGCTGGTTGGTTGCTCCTAAGTTCAATAGACAAAGTGATGAAAGAAAATGATGAACTTGGGGATTCTATCTCCCGGTTTCAACAACAGATACTGAGCCTCAAATCTGCTGAGATTGCCCTGAGTGAGAGTCTTATCTCCTATAGAGAAAGAGCTGAAAATTTGGAAAAAGAGACACAAGCTCTTATCATGAGAGTGGCTGACCTGCAATGAAAGGTGCAAGCACAGCCTCGCCAGGTGTCTACTGTTAAAGTGAGGGCATTGATTGGAAAAGAATGGGACCCTGCAACTTGGAATGGGAATGTGTGGGAGGACCCTTATGAAGCTGAGTTCACTGAGTTTGTAAACTCTGATGATCATTTTCTGTCAGAAGAAACAGCTTCCCCATCCCCAGTAGTGGCGACATCCCCTCCCTGACCCATGCTGCCATCAGTCTTTCCAGCTTTGTCTGAGGAGATAAACCCTGTGCTACCTGAGACAACAGTGATGGCCTCCCCTGAGGCAGTTACCAGGCAAGATAATGTTGATTCTCCTCAGGAGCCACCCCCAATTCTCCTGTTTGCTTCTAGACCTATAACTAAAGTCCCAGTAGGCCCCTAGAGGTGATATTGAGAGTCTGACCCATAAGGAGGTGCACTACACTAAGAAAAAACTGCTCAAGTTTTCTAATTTATATCAATAGAAATCTGGAGAACAGGCATGGGAATGGATATGAAGGGTGTGGGATAAGGATGGAAGGAACATAGAGTTGGATCAGCCTGAATTTATTGGTTTGGGCCCAGTAAGTAGGGACTCTGCATTTAATATTGCTTGGGGAGTTAAAAAAGGTTCCAATAGTTTATTTCCTTGGTTAGCTGAAATGTGGATTAAAAGATGGCCCACTGTGAGCAAGCTGGAAATTCCTGATCTCCCTTGGTTTAATGTAGAGGAAGGAATCCAAAGGCTTAGGGATATTGGGATGATAGAGTGGATTAGTCACTTTCGACCTACTCATCCCATCTGGGAGGGTCCAGAAGATATGCCCTTGAACAATGCTTTGCAAAATAGATTTGTGAGGGCAGCACCCGAATCTTTGAAGAGCTCTGTAATTGCTCTTCTCTCTATGTCAGATCTAACAGTGGGAACTGCAGTCACTCAACTATAAAATTTAAATATAATGGGAATAATTGGGTCCCTAGGTGGCAGAGGCCAAGTGACGGCATTCAGCTGTCAAAGACAAGGTGGGTTTAGTGACTGTAATGGACAGCAGAGACAAAGCAGCAATTAGAATAGTCTGACTTGTGTAGAGATCTGGCGTTGGCTAATTAATCATGGTGTTCTTAGAATTGATATTGATAGGAAGCCTATTGCATTCCTACTTAATTTATATAAACAGAAAACTTCCAGGTCAAATGGACAAAAGGCTAATCTGAATTATAAAAATGGAGAATCATGGCCCCTTAGTAAATTTCCAGAACTGAGCCAGTTTACAGACCCAGAACCCCTTGAACAAAAGGGATCCCAGGTCCACTTGAGAAAGGACCCACCTACATTACTGACAATTTATGCAGTGAATCTTTCTCCCATCACTCCCCAAAAAGACCTCCAGCCTTTTACCAGAATAACTGTGATTGGGGACAGGGAAATAATCAGACATGTCAGGGACTACTGGACATTGGATTTGAGACTATGTTGATTCCAAGGGACCCAAAACATCATTTTGGTCCCCTAGTTAAAGTAGGGGCTTATGGAGGTATAGTAATTAAAGGAGTTTTAGCTTATGTCTGATTTACAGTGGGTCCAGTGGGTCCCCAGACTCATCCTGTGGTCATTTCCCCAGCTCCAGAATGCATAATTGGCATAGACATACTTAGCACTTGGCAGAACCCTCCCATTAGCTCCCTGACTGGTAGGGTGAGGACTATTATGGTGGGAAAGGCCAAATGGAAGCCATTAGAGCTGCCTCTACCTAGAAGAATAGTAAATCAAAAAACAATATAACATCCCTTGTGGGATTGCAGAGATTAGCGCCACCATCAAGGACTTGAAAGATGCAGGGGTGATGATTCCCACTGCATCCCCATTCAACTCTCCCATTTGGCCTGTGCAGAAGACAGATGGATCTTGGAGAGTGACTGTGGATTATCATAAGCTTAACCAAGTGGTGATTCCAACTGCAGCCGCTACACCAGATATGGTTTCATTGCTTGAGCAAATTAACACATCTCCTGGTACCTGGTATGCAGTCAATGACTTGGCAAATGCCTTTTTCTCCATTCCTGTCCATAAGGCCCACCAGAAGCAATTTGCCTTCAACTGGCAAGGCCAGTAATATACTTTCACTGTCCTACCTCAGGGGACAACTCTCCGGCTTTGTGTCATAATCTTATTCAGAGAGACCTGGATCACTCTTCTCTTCTGCAAGATATCACACTGGTCCATTACATTGATGACATCAGGCTGACTGGATCCAGTGAGCAAGAAGTAGCAAACACACTGGACTTATTGGTGAAACATTTGCATGCTGGATGATGGGAAATAAATTTGACTAAAATTCAGGGACCCTCTACCTCAGTAAAATTTCTAGGCGTCCAGTGGTGTGGGGCCTTTTGAGATATTCCTCCTAAGGTTTAAGGGTAAGTTGTTGCATTTGGCTCCTCCTACAACCAAGAAAGAAGCACAATGTCTAGCGGGCCTATTTGGATTTTGTAGGCAACACATTCCTCACTTGGGTGTGTTTCTCCAGCCTATTTATTGAGTGACACAAAAGGCTGCCAGTTTTGAGTGGGGTCCATAACCGGAGAAGGCTCTGCAGGAGGTACAGGCTGCTATGCAAGCTGCTCTGCCACTTGGGCCATAAGACCCAGCAGATCCAATGGTGCTTGAGGTGTCAGTGGCAGATAGGGATGCTGTTTGGAGTCTTTAGCAGGCCCCCATAGGTGAATCACAGAGGAGGCCTCTAAGATTTTGGAACAAGGTCCTGTCACCTTCTGCAGATAGCTTTTCTCCCTTTGAGAGACAGCTCTTGGCCTGTTACTGGGCTTTGGTGGAAACTGAATATTTGAGTATGGATCATCAAGTCACTATGTGACCTGAACTGCTTATCATGAGCTGGTGCTTTCTGACCCATCTAGCCATAAAGTGGGCCATGCACAGCAGCATTCCATCATCAAATGGAAGTGGTATATATGTGACTGGGCTTGAGCAGGTCCTAAAGGCACAAGTAAGTTACATGAGGAAGTGGCTCAAATGCTCATGGTCTCCACTCCTGTGCCACCGTACTTTCTCTCCCCGAGACTGCACTGATGGCCTTATGGGGAGTTCCCTATAATCAGATGACAGAGGAAGACAAGACTAAGGCCTGGTTCACAAATGGTTCTGCACAATATACAGGCACCACTTGAAAGTGGACAGCTGTAGCACTACAGCCCCTTTCAAAGACATCCCTGAAGGACAGTGGTGAATGGAAATCTTCCCAGTGGGCATAACTTCTAGCAGTGCACCTGGTTGTGCACTTTGCATGGAGGAAGAAATGGCCAAACGTGCGATTATATACTGATTCATGGGCTGTAGCCAATGGTTTGGCTGGATGGTCAGGAATTTGAAAGAAACATGATTGGAAAATTGGTAACAAAGAAACTTGGGGAAGAGGTAGGTATATTGATGGGTCTCTCTGAGTGGTCAAAAACTGTGAAGACATTTGTATCCCATGTAAGTGTTCACCAAAGGGTGACCTCAGTAGAGAAGGATTTTAATAGTCAAGTGGATAGGATGACCCATTCTGTGGACACCACTCAGAATCTTTCCCCAGCCACCCCTGTCATCACCCAATGGGCCCATGAACAAAGTGGCTGTAGTGGCAGGGATGGAGGTTACACATGGTTTCAGCAACATGGACTTTCACTCACCAAGGGTGACCTGACTACGACCTCTGCTGATTGCCCAATTTGCTGGCAGCTGAGAGCAACACTGAGCTCTCCATATGGCACCATTCCTTGGGGTGATCAGCCAGCTACCCGGTGGCAGGTTGATTATATTGGACCTCTTCCATCATGGAAAGGGCAGAGGTTTGTTCTCACTAGAATAGACACTTACTCTGCCTATTTGCTTGCCTATCTTACACGCAAGGCTTCTGCCAAGACTACCATCTGTGGACTCACGGATGGCTTAATCCACCATCGTGATATTACACATAGCATTGCATCTGACTAAGGCACTCACTTTACAGCTAAAGCAGTGCAGCAGTAGTCTCATGCTCATGGAATTTACTGTTCTTACCATGTTCTCCATCATCCTGAAGCAGCTGAATTGATAGAATGGTGGAATGGCCTTTTGAAGTCACAATTACAATACCAACTAAGTGACATTCTTTGTAGGGCTGGGGCAAAATTCTCCAGAAGGCCGTGTATGCTCTGAATCTGTGTCCAAATATATGGTACTGTTTCTCCCATAGCCAGCATTCATAGGTCCAGCAATTAAGGGGTGGAGGTGGAAGTGGCACCACTCACCATCACCCATAGTGATCCACTAACAAAATTTTTGCTTCCTGTTCCTGCGACATTATGTTCCGATCACTTAGAGGTCTTAGTTCCAGAGGGAGGAATGCTGCCACCAGGAGACACAACAACAATTTCATTAAACTGGAAGTTAAGATTGTCACTTGGACACTTTGGGCTCCTCCTACCTTTAAGTCAACAGGCTAAGAAGGGAGTTACAGTGTTTGCTGGGGTGACTGACCTATATTATCAAGATGAAATCAGTCTACTACTCCACAGCAGAGGTAAGGAAGAGTATGCATGGAATACAGGAGATCCATTAGGGTGTCTCTTAGTATTACCATGCCCAGTGATTAAGGTCAAAGGGAAATTACAACTGCCCAATCCAGGCAGGACTACAAATGACCCAGACCTTTCAGGAATGAAGGTTTGGGTCACTCCACCAGGAAAAAAACCACGACCTGCTGAGTTGCTTGCTAAAGGCAAAGGGAATACAGAATGGGTAGTAAAAGAAGGTAGTCATTAATACCAGCTATGACCACATGATCAGCTACAGAAACGAGGATTGTAATGAGTATTTCCACTTTCTTTTGTTAAAAACATGTTTGTGCATGTATGCACTCACTCCAAGAAAATATGTTCATTTTATTTTCTTTCTCCTTTATCATGTGACATAAGATTTATTGACTTCACATCAGCATTTAAGTATTGTTAACTTTATGTAATAGTATTTGGGTTGGGGATTGGTGCATTTCTGGTTGTAAGGATAGCTGTATTATGTTAGGTGTAATTATGACCTTATGATTGTCTTTACCTGAAGATTATGCATGATCTCAGGAGATGTGTGTGGGATCAAGTTGACAAGGGGTGGATTTGAGATACTTAATACTGAGTGTCAACTTGATTGGATTAGAGGATATAACTTATTGATGCTGGGTGTGTCTGTGAGGGTGTTGCCAAAGGAGGTTTACATTTGAGTGAGTGCGCTGAGAAATGCAGACCCACCCTTAATCGGGGTGAGCATAATCTAATCAGCTGACAGCATGGCTAGAATAAAAAACAAGTAGAAAAATGTGAAAAGAGAGACTGGCCTAGCCTCCCAGCCTACAGCTTTCTCCCATGCTGGATACTTCCTGCCCTCAAACATTGGACTCCCAGTTCTTCAGTTTTGGAACCTGGACTGGCTTGCCTTGCTCCTCAGCCTGCAGACGGCCTATTGTGGGATCTTGTGATCATGTGAGTTAATACTTTATATACATATATGTATTATATATATAAAATATATGTAAAATACACATATAATATATAAATATATATGAAATATAATTATTTCTCTCCCTCTAGAGAACCCTAATACAACAACCCTAAATTTTCCCTCCTACCTATTTCTCTCAGAAATATGTATTTTTTGTTTGTTTGTTTAGCTATACATGGATACCTATGACTCTAGTTCTCTGAAATCGACCTAAGATCTTTGCAACTAGTGGAGTAAGAAAATAAATTTAAGTGTGTATTTGTGCCTGTAAATTATGCGGATGTATAAGTGCGTATAAGTGTATTCATGTCTATATGTGTATAGCAGCATACATGCTTCTGTTTGCATGTGCATGTATGTGTATGATTGTATGTTACCTCAAAGCTCATGTGAATTTGGCTGCCTTCAGTGGACATTGTAAAGCAACAAAAACATCTACTTGCCGTAATCTCCACTCAAGATGATCTAAGGCTATGTGTACAGTTGGTAAAACCAAAGCATTTTAGAGCTACACACAAAGATCGATCCTCATTTGATATTTAAACCTCAGTGGGGATGATATTCTTTCAACAGTGGCAGATGGATAATGATCTTTTCACATGAAATTCTTAGTATACTACTCCCTTGGTATCCATGGAGGTTAGGTCCCAGAATCTCCTGTGGATACAAAAATCTGTGGATGCTCAAGTTCCTGATATAAAATGATCTAGTTTTTTCATATAATCTACACACATCCTTCACATGCTTTAAGTTATCATTAGATTATAATATGTAATACAATATAAATGTTATGCAAATACCTGTTACATTGTTCAGGGAATAATGACAGGAAAAAGTTTGTACATATTCAGTATAGACACAATATGTTTTCCCAAATATTTTTGATCCACAGTTGGTTGAATCCATGGATGGGAAACCCACAGACAAAGGGCTGACTGTACATGAAAACAGTCTCATAATAATCATTTAGTAGATAACCACTAGAAAATAATAAGAAAAACACCTTAAAAATATTTTTGAGAAACGGCCTCTTTCTGTCACCTAGGTTGGAGTGCAGTAATGCAATCACAGCTCACTGCAGCCTCCATCTCCCATGCTCAAGGGATCCTCCCACTTCACCCTTACACATATCTGAGAGTTCAGGTTTAAGCTACCATGCCCAGCTATTTAAAAAAAAAAATGTTTTTTAGAGACAGAGTCTTGCTATGTTGTTCAGGATGACCTTGAACTTCTGGCCTCAAGTGATCTATCTGCATCAGCCTACCGAAGTGCTGGGATTACAGGTGAGCCATCGTGCCTGGTTGAGAAATAAATTCTTTTATTCATAAAGCATATTATCAATTTATATTAATTGGCATTTTAATGTTTAAAAATGTTAAAAGAATGATTGTTCTGATACTGAACCACTAATATCACACATTAATTGCAGAGGTTAATTTTTACTTGTGTGGTGTGTCTTCATATAATATGAGAATAAGTAGCATAATAAAAATCTGTCACATGGAGATTATGTTCTCTTTATTGAAGATTTTTCCATTGTAACATCTTAGGTTTGTCTAATTTTTCTATTAAAAAATAATCAACTTTACCTGTAGTTCAATCAAAACAATATCAATACAAATTTAGGTTTTTGCTTGCACTTACAAAGGTATGAAATTTTTCTAATACTACTTTTAGAAATGTGGTTCTCTATCTGATAATAGCTACAGATGACAGGGCTCAAAATGATCTGCAAATAATTTAATGCATAAATTTATCCTAATTTTGGCAAATATTCTTAAACTATTAAAATATAGAAGTATATGTTGTTTTGTTGCATAGTTATTAGTAGCCTTCATTGTAAGGAAAACAGAAAATACGAACATCACCTAAAATATACTCTGCCTGTTATACGTTATAATTCATATTATAAAGTTTTTAAAGATATTTTACGGGTATGCCATAAATTCTACACTCATGTTTCAAAGTGTAGGAAAAAGTCTAGTCAGTGTATGCAAGCTTTATGTAAGATTGGTAGAAGAGTCATGTAAGTGTTAAACTTCAGAGAGAAAGTTCTGGGTATCTCCAAGTGACATGGTTTGGCTGTGTCCCCATTCAAATCTCAACTTCTATTATATCTCCCAGAATTCCCACGTGTTGTGAATCCCACCAAGTGATTCCTACCCAAGGGGAGGTAATTGAATCATGGGGGCTGGTCTTACCCATGCTATTCTCATGATAGTGAATAAGTCTCTTGATATATGATGGGTTTATCCGGGGTTTCTGCTTTTGCTTCTTCCTCCTTCTCTTTTGCTGTAAGAAGGGCCTTTTGGCTGGGCGTCGTGGCTCGCACCTGTAATCCCAGCACTTTGAGAGGCCAAGGCAGGAGGATTAGGAGGTCAAGAGATGAGACCATCCTGGCCAACATGGTGAAAACCCGTCTCTATTAAAAATACAAAAATTAGCTGGGAATGGTGGCACCAGCCTGTAGTCCCAGCTACTCGGGAGGCTGAGGCAGGAGAATTGCTTGAACCCCGTAGGCGGAGGTTGCAGTGAGCCAAGATAGCCCCATTGCACTCCAGCCCAGGCGACAGTGAGAGACTGTCTCAAAATAAATAAATAAATGAATAAATAAATAAATAAATAAATAAATAAATAAATAAATAAAGTGCCTTTTGCCCTCCATCATGATTATGAGACCTCCCCAGCCATGGGGAAATGTAAGTCAAATTAAACCGACTTTTCTTCCCAGTCTCCGATATGTCTTTATCAGCAGCGTAAAAGCAGACTAATACACCAAGTGTATAGGAGTTGATCTCTTCTGTCACGATATTTATGACAGTGTGGGTACACATTCATATGCTTCTGAAGTAGGTGAAAGAGACTTTGAACATATGCTCTTGCACAGATGTGAGGAATTGTTAACATTTAGCCTTAAAAACCATTAGCCTAAGTTTAATATAACCTACGAATGCTCTACAGTGTTTCCTGCTCTCTATAAAAAATAAGAGTCCCAATGCAAGGTGCTCTAACAGTAAACAGCTCTGATAAAATTCTTCTTGCAACAGTGAACAGCAGCTGACAGGAGTGTAGTCCAGAATGCAAATCAAACAGAAACTTGGGTAAAAATTTGCCATTGCGACATGTATGCATGTTACACTTCCAGCTTAAGGAATAGATAGCAGCCATACAAGGGAGAATGTGGTTCTTGAAAACCTGGCTATAACCAACCCTACACTCTATATTGGTATCCTGGGACTAAGGGACAAACAGAGTGTTGCAAACCCAGCAGGAAAATGTTAACAAAGATGATCCACCAAATAATAACTAGTATTTCTCGGCATTTCATTTTCAGTATCTTTGAAACTACAATTTATATTCTCTCCTACTAATAACTATGTGACAGATTAGATCCACTATGGAATGTCTTGGTGCAAACAGAATCTGAAGACTAGCAGTTCTCACAAAGAAAATATTTATCTGAATTACAATAGCACATCTTGGAAATTCTACACGAAATCTCATCCACAATGTCTTCAAATAGTTTATTTGATTCTCCTGTTTGAGACATCTTAGTTAAGAAGAAAAAAATATGTGTGTATATTTCATGCCAACACATGGTTTTTCACTTTTGTATTTATGGGGCAGATGACTTCAGTTCATACAACAATTACTGAATGTCCACTCTGAGCCCAGGACTACGTGGGAATAAGGCTTATTATTATAATGATATAGTCCCTATCTTTAGGGAATTACTTTCTAATGGAATCAACAGTGGGTTGCAACATAATGTGTCAAGTGTAGAAGGTGCTGTAGGATCATAGAGGGGAAAAGATTTTATGACATATTTGAGTCGGAGGAGGTTTTGGGACCCAAGGGTTGTCAAGGAAAATTTGTAAATAATGTTTTGCTTAACTGGAGTTTCAGTGGATAATGGCAGAAAGTGATTATAGGCTGATGACATGCCAAATCTTCTGTAAGGCATCTTGTCATGTCATATAAATGACACTAATAAAATGTCAGCTTTTACATATTTGTGATTCAATACTATTTCCACTAACAGCACTACACTGTGTGTTTTCTATTAACGCTGTGATTCAAAAACTTCTCAAAAAATGTCTTAGAAGTGTGGTTTATTTAATTTGTCACATTATCTCTTAAATTCTTTGTAAATTTACATTTCATTTTCGTAAAGAAAGCATTGTATGTTTGTTGTGTTTTAATTAGTTTACATCATTGAAACAAGACATAGGCTATTAAAATTGAGATTTTATGTATCCAAAGTTCACAACAGTATATTTGAATAGGGCTTCATTTGAAAAATAAAAATTTAAGTGGACAATGGAATTCATTAAGAAAAGGCAGCATGTTCATTTTCACTTAAAGTATTAATATAAATTTGGAAATATTTAAAAGGTCAATAACATATTACTTGAAGTTAATTATATTTATTATAATCATATAAATAAATGTGATATTTCTTGCAAAAGTCATATAATTTCTCATTTTAACTATCATTTGATATTTCAGATTGAATATGCATTTAAAATCAAGTAATGCCATTAAATTGACACAATAGTTATCTTAAGTATACTGTATCATATAGGAAATTATAATCACACAAGATAAACTTTTAAAATATACATATTTGAATATAGATTTTTGATCACAATATTTTAAGCATATTTCATTGGCCCATAAATAATTATTTAATGATTATGTAGACAGTGTAATCTGTTTTTAATGAATTGAGGTTGACACAAATGTACAAAACACAGATATTTAAGTATTGATTTTGTTTTAACTTATTCATTAAATTTCTCTAAGATGCTTGGAAATAATGTACTTCCTATGCAAGTACATATGTATATGCTATTCTTTAAATTTTATTTCTTTAACTTATTTATTGTAGAAAAGCTCTTCCTACTACGTTTTTTAATTTGAAATTTACTAGGTATTTATCATGGCACTGGTAGTGTGACAGATGCCAGGAATTAAAAGTTAATTAATGCACATCCTTCCTCTCAAGTAGCACAGGATCTAGTGCAGACACGTCTGCAGCAGGAGGATAGTTAGCACATCATTTAATCATTTATCCACTAAGAACAGTATAATCCGATGAGTACTACAATGAATTTAAGAACAGACACAATCGGCCATGTCTTTTTAAGAAAAGTTGGACTAGGCTGGGCACAGTGGCTCATGCCTATAATCCCAGCACTTTGGGAGGCCAAGGCGGGGCGGGGGGGGGATCACCTCAGGTAAGGAGTTCAAGACCAGTCTGGCTAACATGGTGAAACTGTGTCTCTACGAAAATACAAAAAAAAAAAAAAAAAAATTAGCCAGGCATGGTGGCAGGCGCCTGTAATCCCAGCTACTTGTGAGGCTGAGGCAGGAGAATTACTTGAACCTGGGAGGCGGAGGTTGCATTGAGCTGAGATCGCGCCACTGCACTCCAGCCTGGGTGACAAGAGTGAGACTCTGGTCTCAAGACAAAACAAAAAGAAAGGTTGGACTAATCTTCAGGTGTGAGTGACCTCTGGAGTGCAGAAATAAAGAAGAAATTGGAGTTGGACCTTCATCCACCATCACACAGCAAGCACCTAAAATATTATAGGCACTGTGTCGATAGGTTTACATGGTTTCATAAGATATTACTCAACCCGTAGGGAGCTTGATACAGGCTACCAAGCACCTTGAAGGGTGAGAAGAATTTTATGAAATTTGACACAAAGAAAAGGGATAAAAATATGTTAGGCAAAGGTTACAGTTGAAATAAGGGTGCAAAGGCACCAAAATGCTTATATTTGCATTATCTAACTGATCAATCTTGCTGATGCTGAAGGCTGCAAGGCTTGAACCTCATCATTTAACATCTTCAGCCTTAGGAAGCCTTATTACAATTTCTAATGTAGAGAATAGTGGTTGTATATATATTTATATTTCACTCTGTATTGCAGTGCTTTTAAGACTCTGCAAAGGCCTTTTTAATTTTTCTTAATGAATTGAGATCATTTGAGCTAAACTAAAGATACTTGCTTTGCATTTCATAAAAAGTTGAATTGCCCGAGTCATATTTTCTTTTCTTATTTTTTTTTTTTGCTTCTATCAAACTGTTCCTCATTTTCCTCATTACAGTTTTTTTTTTTTTTTTTTTTTTTTGGCAATACTGTGTGGCCTTTACTACAGTGTCATATTCTTTTTCTGAGCAATGGAAGGAGAGATTCACGGAATAAACTTGTGCACTGATAATTCTGAAATTAGATTAAAATAAATGAGAAATTAGTAATTTAAAAAATACATTCAAAAAATTAAAATTGCTCATCCATGAACCAACAGAGTATTCCTCTATAACTACTGGCAAGATTTTATACTTTACCTATCTTTTGGCATGTATATTTTAAAATGAATTTGCATTCAGCAAAAGCTAGGGATTTTACAGATGACTGATGCCTGTGAAAATGAGATTTCTCCCTTGAACTTGCTTTAATTAAAATGCTGTAAGTAAAGGAACATTTTAATGTGCCAATCTCCATATTTGGTTAGGGTTGGCTTTCTAGAAAAAAGAAACATTGCTTTAGTTTGCATATCAAAGAGCTCTGGTGCACAGGTTCTGCACTGTTTATACATGGTCTGTTTGACACTCCAGGTAGTTTTTTATTGAATAGTGTTGCATAAATGATGGCCAAAGTAAAGACAAAGACTTTAGTATTACACTCCTTTTCCTGTTTTTGTTTTTGCCTTCTGGATTTTAATAAAGCATTTACTTCCATTGGTAATGATACATTTATTTACAGCAGAGCTTCAAATTGAATGTAATCTAGGTTTGTACACAAGAAAAACTGCACTTGAAATGACAATCCTTTTCTTCAAAGGAATGAGAACTCTGATAAGCAGCATGATCTCTTATGCATGGTGACATAGAATTTTTTTTCTCCATAGGAAATTTGTCCTATAGTTTCAGGTCACAGGACTGTTCATAGGCAGTTTGATCAAGAATGTCTAATCAAATCATAAATTTCATTGGTAAGCTGTATTCACATTTAATCCTCTTAATATATTATCAGTATATATTTAACAATGCGTAAAGTTTTTTGGCTAAAATCTATGTTCACTCTCTCCCCATCACAATTAGATTAGATAGTTCATCCACTAATCCTAACACTATGAGCAACAGTTTCTTTTTTTAATCATTTATATGATTAGAAAGACATTTCCATGAAATATCCTTTTTGGAAAAGGAAAGTCCTTTTAGTTCTTTGGAAACTAAAGAACCTATGAATTGGATACTTTAATTGTTCTCATTATAAAATTTAAAAAATGAGGCACTTAAAAGTTATATAACTTTGTTAGACATGATTAATCACTAGCTAAACTAAGGTCTGAATCCACACAAGCTGGTGGCTCTATAGCCTATGCTCTTACTTTCTTATTTCTAAGTTTTATTAATTGATTATTAATTTATCTATTTTTTCTCTCCCCCCACCACCAATAAAAATACAAGTCATAGACAGAATGTCATTCAAAACTTCATGCACTTAGTTACCCTGCTCTACCACATTTGACAATGAATGGGACTATATGAAAAAGGTCACAATTAATATCAGAGTATATTGAATAGAATGAGATATCCTAAATTAGGTAATTTCCCAATTATTTATTGATTTATTTTGTATTTTTAGATTGCCTTGCAATAACACTTTACACTTTTTATTTTAATATTGATTAATCTAAATTTTGATATTTATTAAATATTCTTTGTATATTTTCAACATGTTCTTTTAAAAATTTGTATGGTTGAAAGCAAAAATATTATAATTAAACAGTGTTTAAAGTGATTTTATGTTACCTTAAAGCAGAATTGTCTAATTTTCATGGAATTTTACTGTTAATATTACCAATGTATTTAACTGAATCATTAAGGTTTTATGAATTTGTGGAATACATTTCAAAAAATTGCAACATAACATTAAAATTATTTTTTCTCAATATTTAAACAGATTTAGGGAGTACAAATGTAGTCTTGTTACTTGGATATATTGCATAGTGGTGAAGTCTGGACATTTAGTGTACCCATCACTCAAATAGTGAACATTGTACCCAATAAGGTATTTTTTCAACCCTATCCCTCCTCCAGCCCTCCAAGCTTTTGGCATCTCCAATGTCTACTACTCTACACTGTCCATGGGTACCCATTGTTTAGCTAACACTTATAAGTGAAAACATGCAGTATTTGACGTTGTGTTTCTGAGCTATTTCACTTAGTATAATGGCACCCAGTTCCATTTATGTCTCTGCAAAAGATATAATTTTCTTCTTTGTGGCTGAGTAGTATTGCATCATATGTGTATACACATATGATGTATACCATATGTGTATACATATATGTATACCATAGTTTATTTAATCATCCATTGCAGGAAACATAGGTTGATTTCATGACTGCTATTATGAATAGTGCTCCCATAAACATATGAGTGCAGATTTCTATTTTATATAATTATTTATTTTCTTCTGAACAGATAGCCAGTTGTGAGATTGCTAGATACAAAGCTAGTTTTATATTTAGTTCTTTGAGAAATCTTCATATTGTTTAACATAAAGGTTTGCATTTGCATTTCCCCCAAAAGTGTATAAGCTTTCCCTTTTCTCCTCATCCTCAACAACATCTGTTGTTTTTTGACTTTTTAACAGTAGCCATTTTGACTGGTATAATATGGTGTCTCACTGGGGTTTTCATTTTAATTTTTCTGATAATTACTGTTGTCAAGTATTTTTATATGTTTATTGGCTGCAAAGTGAAATATATTCATTTGAATGCTTTATTTTGATATAAAATTACTCTATAACATTTTAAACAAATAATTTTCTTTCCTCTTTCTACTGAAGACTAGAAGGAAACAGGATAACTAATAGTTTCCTACTTGCTTTCTGTATTATCTTACCACCAAAATCACCTCTTTTCAGCATTATTATTTATTTTAAACATATCTGTTAATCTTAGAGAAGAAGCTAACTTTGAAGGCATTTTTAAAATAAGTGAAAAAAGGTAAACATTTGTCTTATAAAACATATCAAATACCACTTAAAATACTCTTCATTCAGCTGACTAATATTAGAGAATATAAATTTTCCCTGTAGATTAATATTAGGACATCAGGTAGAGTCAGAAATACAACTCAAAACTATGTTTCATAATACAAATTCCAGCACACTTTATTATAACAAAATGCAAAAAAAAAAACCCACTTCATTTTCTTCACAGGATTTAAGTGATACAACAGAAAGATTTACTTTCACTCTGGGCACATTTGGAGAACATATCACTGAGTCAAAAACCCTATGATATGAAGAATATCTTTTAAGAGATGTATTATTGCTATTGTTATTATTCTTACTATTATATGAATTCCATTTGTCATTAAATAAATTAGCATTCATTTATTGAGCAAGTGTTTTTAATTCTAGATATGGGGCTGACCCTAAGCCAGGAGAGGGAGATTTTTTAGAAGTCTATATATTTGGAAAATTAAATTTAATAAAGAAGAATTATTAAAATATATAACCATGACATTTGGGATACTAGTGAAACCAACTTCTCACAAAGAAATATAAAAGCAATGAGAAAGCAAATGCCTCACATGCTTTGCATCTTAACCTTCTACAGAAAGTGAAATATTCATATATAATAGTAATAGATAATAGACATAATTTTCTACAAATTAGCAATGATTATTTTTAAAATTTTACACAGGTCTTATTTTTTAGCATTTCTTTTTTGTTTAATAAAATTTAATGTTTTAATCATTTTTAAAAAACAAAACGTGCTACTTTTATTGTAAACATTTTTGAAAACATGAGTGTAAAGGAGAAAAACGTACATCATGCAACATAACTCTAATAGATGACTCCAGTTAATATGCTAGAATGTACACTTCTAGATTATTGTGTTTGAGTGTTTGTAGGTAAAAGAAAGAGAGAGAGAGGGAGGGGATTTTCACTTTATCAATTTATAACTAGGAATATGCAATATTAGTGAGAATATTACACTATTAACTGGAAACTAGGGAAGGAAAGGATTAAATTGTGAGAACATTAACAGGTTTCTTATCCATATAAGCATATGGGATAAGATTAATAAAGCACTTTCAAAAATGATTTAAAATCTCTACTGACCAAGTAAAAACCAAACCTTGAGATATTAAGGGTGTGGATAATCCCATATTGAAATAATTCTGTGTTGAAACGACGAGGGTGAGAAGACCTTCCAATTTGAAGGTATTTTAGTTGCCATTATAAGAAAGAAAAATTCGAAAGCCTTACTAGATATCTTAATTACTAGGTATCTTAATTTCTTGGGTATCTGATTCTACAAGGGCTTTGCACCTTTTATTATATTTGAGATATTTTACAACTCTACATATTGTAGACAACTTGAAATAGTGTAAGTTATTTTCTCCATCAACGTGTAAATTTTGTGTTAGAATGTAATTAATTATTGTCTTGTGGTTATTGAACAGTTTTATTAGTTTTTACTTCTATTTTAAAATTCACTTGTATTTTTATGAAAGTCATAGCATTACCTTCTTTCAAAATTTTTTATTAAAGGTACTATTCAGGCATAAAAAAGAATGAGATCCAGCCATTTACAACAACATGGATGGAACTGGAGGACATTATGTTAAGTGAAATAAGTCAGGCACAGAAAGACAAGCATTGCATGTTCTCACTTATTTGCGGGATCTAAAAAGCAAAACAATTGAACTCATGGACATAGAGGGTAGAAGGATGGTCACCAGAATGTGGGAAGGGTATTAGGGGCCTAGGGGGAAGGTGAAAATGGTTAATGGCTACAAAAATAGTAGTTAAAAACAGTGATTAAGACCTACTATTTGACAGCAAAATAGGATGACTATATTCAGTAAAAACTGTACTTTTTTTATCTTATAAGTGCTCTTTCAGCAGAATCAGATAATTGTATATTTTAAAATAATTTAAATAATGTAATTAGATTGTTTGTAGCTCAAAGGATAGATGCATGAGGGGAAGGATACTCCATTTTCCATAGTGATTATATCACACTGCGTGCCTGTATCAAAACATATCATGCACCCCATAAATATATACACCTACTATGTACTCACAAAAATTAAAAATAAATAAAATAATTATATTTTAATAAATAATAAACTATTAAATACTCAATTTTATAAATAATATATAAGTAAAATATTACTATTATTTAATAATAACTTTTAAAAGATTATGTAACAATTT
Source organism: Homo sapiens (assembly GCF_000001405.40). Classification (NCBI taxonomy): domain Eukaryota; kingdom Metazoa; phylum Chordata; class Mammalia; order Primates; family Hominidae; genus Homo; species Homo sapiens. The sequence continues at coordinate 41,222,686 of NC_000014.9, read as the reverse complement.
TGAGTGATATTAACTGAGATGCCCAGTGGATTTGCCTGAAAGGCCAAGGAAACTGGCTTGCTGGAGAAGTATACCACATGTGCAGTTCATCAGTCATAATTTTTCTGGGCTTCCACAAATGAGTTCAAGTACCAATAGAACTTTACCTTTGCTGCTTCTTGGTTTCTCTAGTTCTTTTTCCTTCTGCAGATTTTGTTTTTGTTTCTGTTCTGCTCATATATGATAAGCCATTCTCCAGTGTTGACAGCATTGATTATGAATTTGATTTTATGGTCTGACCATTTGGCAATCTATAAATGGATTAATGAATTATAGAGTTTTATTCTCTGTTGGGTGAGAGATGACAGAGAATTTGGGTTGTTTGTTTTGTCGTTAGTAATTGATTACTTGTATATTTGTCTATTTTGAGCACATATTAAGAAGTGAAACTGCTCTACGATATCAGGACAAATAAGTTTTTATACCTTGCATCTTTTGATCTGTGACTAAAATTGTAGCATTGAAATTGTCTGTGTGTGTGTCTGTAATTCAGAATGGCTTCTCCTAATTATGTAATTATAGAATGTTGTCCTCTGGTCAAAGGGTATTCATAAATATAATCATAAAGAAATTATTGTTCTGGTTGGCTTATACATAATTTTAATAAACCCAAATTGAGATTATTTATGAAAACCTCCAGACAGAAGTTAGTTTTGTGGTCCTATTAATTGTTTAATACTCTAAGACTAGATCTGAAAAACAGCCTAAAGAGCTGTATAAGATTAATCAATGTTCTTGTGGCACTTATGCAAATAATCAGTCCAAATCACATGAAACTAGCCTGATGTGCAATACTGCCGTCTCAAATATCCATGGGGTTGTGGGTTTTACAATAGCTGGGATTCTGGAGATACATAGAGAGAGAGTGGGCCACTCTACAGTTATTTCACTCACCCCTGCCCTAGGAGCCATTCACGACCAGGAATCTATTTAGCACTTGGTGACCCCGTGGTTGGTGTCCAGCCTCCTCCCCTTCAGTCCTTCAGCCCTGGTGTCTGCACCATCTTTCTATCCACCCTCAGTTGATTCTCTCAGAGGATCTGTTTGGAAATGCTGGTGTACTTCATATGTTGTTCTCTCTTTGTGGGAGAAGCTCTTCTTGGCCATGCCTATTTGGCCATCTTTACAAGTGTTCTAATATTTAATTTTGAATCTGATTTGTGATACATCTGCCATATTGTCTAGCAGTTTCTGAAAATGAAAAATAGGACCAGAAGAAAGGTCAGAGATGGAGACATACAATTTGTTTATTTACATATGAAGGAGAGATCAATACAAGAGATTGGAGAGAATGCCAATGAAAGTAGTTTAGAGTATAGAATAATTAGAGACACCAACATGAGAGAGGAAAACAAAAAACAAAACCAACAAAAAAGGCCCATTGTAGATTCTAAATAAGGAGAGGTAAAGAAGCAAGTTTTGGACCAAAGTATAATTTGATTTAGATGTGATATTTTGATTCAGTTTCATTTAAATGTGATGGACAATAAGTTAATTTTTAAGTAATCTGTAGCCTGTGGAAATCAAGTGTCTACTTGATATCAGGAGTATTTCTATTAATTTGGCAGAAAAATTTAGAAAATATACTGTAGTTATTTGTGTGAATATAGAGAATTAATTGTAGTTGAGTGAGACACATTCCTTTTGACAATGCTTAAGGTACTTAAAATTCATGATGTTATAGAACATACTTATGTAGTGAATATTCTCATTTCATTTTTGTTTCTTCAGAGTATTCTGTGGTGGACAAAATGTATCTAACCACATACAGAAAACCTTGATATATGTCATAATAATGGTATAAAGCCACTTGAACTCTAGGGAATATTGCCCTGAAGGTTTTTTTACCTGTGCTACATAGAGAGTGTAAAGTTTCAGCTAAATCAATTAGAAATTTGTTACCTAGCCATAAAATGCTAAACTGAAATGTGTTTTTAGATACTTAGATAGGAATTTACAATTAAATATACTACCAGTTTTCTCCCTAATTTTAATTCCAGAGGTATGTTTTCTCACAGCTAAGTATAAAGCATTTATATTTAATTACAATTGTATGAGAAATACATAATTATTTAAGTTCATACTTTTGAAATCATTTTATTTGTATGCTTATATATCTATGATAATTCCATGATATCAATAAAGCAATAATGCACTGCAATGATTTATATCTTTTTTAAATTTTATCTATTTTAAACATTTAGATTCAGGGTTACATGTGCAGTTTTGTTATAAACTATGAGACACAGGAGTTTGCTGTACAGATTATTTTATCATCCAGTAACAGATATAGTACCCAATGGGTAATTTTTTTATCCCCTCCATCCTTCTATCCTCCACCCTCAAGTAGGTCCCGTGTCTGTCATTGTCTTCTTTGCATCTATGTATTCTCATTGTTTAATTCTCACTTATAAGTGTGAACATTTGGCCTTTGGTTTTCTGTTCCTGTAGTAGTTTGCTTAGGACAATGGCTTCCAGCTTCATCAATATTGCTGCAAAGGACACAATCTCCTTTTTTGTAATGATTGATATCATAGTATTGGAGTACTCCATGGTGTATATGCACCACATTTTTTTTTTATCCAGTCAACCACTTATGGGCATCCAGGTTGATTTTACGACTTTGCTATTGTGAATAGTGCTGTGATAAACATTCACGTTCATGTGTCTTTATGGTAGAATGATTTATATTCGTTTGAGTATATACTCAATAATGGGATTGCTGAGTCAAATGGTAATTTTGTTATAAGTTCTCTGAGGAATCATCACACTGCCTTCCACAATAGCTGAAATAATTTACATTCCCACCAGCAGTGTATAAATATTTTCTTTTCTCTGCAACTTGACCAGCATCTGTTATTTTTTGAATTTTAGTAATAGCCATTCCGACTGGTGTGAGATGGTATCTCATTGTGGTTTTGATTTGCATTTCTCTAATGATTTGTGCTGTTGACCATTTTTTTGTATGCTTGTTGACTGCATGTATGTCTTTTTTTTATGTGTCTATTCATGTTCTTTGCCCACATTTCAATGGGATTGTTTGGTTTTTGCTTCTACATTTATTTAAGTCCCTTATAGATTCCAGATATTATACCTTTGTTGGACACACAGCATACAAAAAATTTCCCTTATTCTGTAGTTTGTCTGCTTAATCTGTTGGTAGTTACTTTTGCTGCCCAGAAACTTTTTAGTTTAATTAGGTCCCATTTGTCAACTTTTTTGTGTGTTGCAATTGTGTTGGGCATTTTCATCATGAAATCTTTGTCAGGTCCTATGTCCAGAAGGGTAGTTCTTAGGTTATCTTCCTGGGTTTTTATCGTTTTAGGTTTTACCTTTAAGTCTTTAATCCATCCTGATTTGATTTTTGTATATGGTATAAGGAAGGGGTCTGGTTTCAATCTTCTGCATATAGCTATCCAGTTATCCCATTTACTAAATAGAGAGTCTTTCCCCATTGCTTGTTTTTGTCTACTTTGCCAAAGATGAGATGGTTTTATGTGTGTGGCATTATTTCTGGGCTCTTTATTCTGGTCCATTGGTCAATGTGCCCATTTTTGGATCAATACCATGTTGTTTTGGTTACTGTGGCCTTGTATAGTCTGAAGTAGGGTAGCATATGCCACCAGCTTTCAATAGCATTGGATCTGTAAATTGTGTTGGGCAGTATGGGCATTTTAATATTGATTCTTCCTATCCATGAGCATGAAATGTTTTCCCATTTGTTGGTTTCACCTCTGATTTCTTTAAATGGTATTTTATAATTATGATTGTAGAGATCTTTCACCTCTCTGGTTTGCCATGTTCCTAGGTATCTTATTATTAATATTTTTGTGGCTGTGGTAAATGGGATTGAGTTCCTCATTTCCTGATTTGGCTCTCAGTGTGGATGTTGTTGGTATATAAGAATGCTACTGGCCGGGCGCGGTGGCTCATGCCTGTAATCCCAGCACTTTGGGAGGCCGAGGCAGGCGGATCACGAGCTCAGGAGATCGCGACCATCCTGGCTAACACGGTGAAACCCCGTCTCTACTAAAAAATAGAAAAAATTAGCCAGGCGTGGTGGCGGGCACCTCTAGTCCCAGCTACTCGGGAGACTGAGGCAGGAGAATGGCATGAACCCGGGAAGCGGAGCTTGCAGTGAGCCAAGATCGTGCCACTGCACTCCAGCCTGGGCGACAGAGCAAGACTCCATCTCAAAAAAAAAAAAAAAAAAAAAAAAAAAAAAAAGAATGCTACTTATTTTGTACCTTAATTTGGTGCCCTGAAACTTTGCTGAAGTTGTTTTTCAGATCAAAGAGCTCTTGGGTACAGACTGTGGGGTTTTCTATGTATAGAATCACATTGCCTACAAACAGGGATTGTTTGACTCCCTCTCTTTCTATTCGGATGCCCTTTATTTCTTTCTCTTGTTGATTACTCGGGCTAGGACTTTCAGTACTGTGTTGAGTATGAGTGTTAAGAGAGAAAGTCTCCTTTTTTGTTCCAGTTTTTAAGGGGAATACTTTCAGTTTTTGCCTGGTCAGTATGATGTTGGCTGTGGGTCTGTCACAGATGGCTCTATGACATTGAAGTATCATATGTTCTTTCAATGCATAGTTTGTTGAGGGTTTTTAATATGAAGGGATGTTGGATTTATCAAAAGCCTTTTGTGCATCTATTGGGATAATCATGTGGATTTTGCTTTATGTGATGTCACATTTATTGACTTGCATATGTTGAATCAACCTTGCATGCCAGATATAAAGCCTACTTGATCGTGGAGGAGTAGCTTTTTGATATACTGTTGGATTTTGCTAACTAGTATTTTGCTGAAGAGTTTAGTGTCTGTATTCATCAAGGATATTGGCCTGAAGTTTTCTCTTTTTTGGTTGTTGTATCTCTGCCAGGTTTTGGTATCAATGATGCTAGCCTCATAGAATGAGTTAGGGAAGGGATCTTCCTCCTCTATTTATTTGAAATAGTTTCAGTAGAAATGGTGCCAGTTTTTCTTTATATATCTGATAGAATTTTGCTGTGAGTATGTCTGTTCCTGGGCTTTCTTTGGTTGGTAGGCTTTTTATTACTGATTCAATATATAAGACATTACATAAATTTCTGTGATTATTTTGCCCTTATAGAATATCAGGTTAAAAATGACTTAATTTTTCAATGTATTATCTTTAATTAGACTTGTGGTTTAGCCTAGTACCATTTAATAATTGATATCAATGTACTCTGGAAACTTAAGAACCAATCTTTTCCCCGGTGGTTTTTGTGCACTTGCTTAATGATGTGGTTTCTTCAATAAATGATATCTTTAAAAATTTGTAGTGCAACCATGAAGCAAGGAAAATGCAGATCATAAAACTTCCATTCATTTACAAGAAGAAGAGTGGCATTAAAAATTTTAAATAACTATATGTTTCATAATTATTTAATATGTTTTACTTGTGTTCATTTGCTAATTCAATTTTTTTCAGTGACACATGAAATTATTAAATGAAAAGTATACAGTATCGATTCTCAAAGAAAAAAATCAAATGTTGGCAATACTTAAATTAGAATGTAGAAAAATAAAGTGGGAAAAATAATCCTGAATAGCCACAAGAGTTCGTGCTGATTTCCAGTAAGAAGACTGAACAAAACAGTCTCTTTGGCAGGATGTCTTCAGGCCATTGGCATATTTATATTCATTGTACTGAGGCAGAATCTCCACATGGAGGAATAAATTTTTCTTGTATATCTGCTCCAATGCACATTGTTGAATAGGTTTTAATTTACAATAGTCAAATGTCTCTGGATTAGAAGTAAACTATGTGTCAGTAACAAAAAGCATGGGTAAATACTGCACACACCAAATACTAAACATTATATACATATATATATTCATTATTTGTCCTCCAGTTGGAAATCTGCAAATAAATTGACTTTTATTTGAAACAACAGTACATCTGAGAATCCAAAACAGTGTATCTGCATGTTGCTCCAGCATCTAATATGGAAGTGTTTAAACAGGATGTTCTTTCAACAACAAAATGGGAAATAGTCTACATATTGACTAGAAGTATGTTTGGCAAATGTGGGAGAATAATCTGTTACAGTGGATTAATCAATTAATCGAATTTTTTTCTTCTTTTTATTATCATAATTTAAGTTGAATCAGAGTTTCACTCTTGTTGCCCAGACTGGAGTGCAATGGCACCATCTCAGCTCACTACAACCTCTACCTCCCAGGTTTAAGCAATTCTCCTGCCTCAGCCTTTTGAGTAGCTGGGAGTATAGGTGCCCGCCACCACACCCAGCTAATTTTTGTATTTTTCATAGAGACAGGGTTTCACCATGTTGGACAGGCTGGTCTCGAACTCCTGACCTCAGATAATCCACCCGCCTTGGCCTCCCAAAGTGCTGGGATTAAAAGTGTGAGCCACCAAGTCCCGCTAAAAATAATATTTTTAAAGATTTTTACATAACTACCTAATAAAGTAGTTGTCCCAAAAACATACCTTGACAAAATAAATAGTATGCTCTTTGGTTGCATTAATTTTTTGTTTTCATTAGTATGTAATTCCCCTATATCTGTCAATTTCCTTAATTTTTAAAGAGGCAAATAACCGTTCTTTGCAAGGTTCTCTAATTAATTAGGTATACAATTAGAAACAATCTTAATAGTATTCTGAATAAAAATAGTTATTACGATCTATAATGAATAGAAAGACAAATAGAAATAGATAAAAACAATATAAAGAACAATAAAACATTTAAATGATGTCAGTAATAGATTAAGAATTTACTCTGCTTGCATTGTTTCATTATTATATTGTGAATTTAATATGCTGTAACTAGGTCTTATTGAAGTACAGAATAAAAAATATTTTTGATTTTATATAATAGTGAAATGTGACAAATACTTTAAAAAATACCATACATCACGCATTTTATTTTCAATAACTTATTTTATCATCTCCAGTAGAAAACACACAAAACTGGGTTAAGTTTAGGATAGAGCATTTTTCCCAAATTATCTACTGTAGAGCTCCTGCCCCACAGATGGTTTAGGGTCAAATAATGTTGAGGTAATGCCTATAACAACTCTCTTTAGAAATTCACAATACGCCATATTCACATATTAAAGCCCAGATATTTCTTCCTGTATTAAAGATGCTGTTCAGTTTTTAAAATATTGTGTTTAAACATACTATACAAGAATTTTACTTATAGAAACACCAGAAATGTTTCAATAACTTTTATTTCAATTTTATTAGAAAAATAAGGGAGGTAGAAAGTTACTGATGTTTTCAAATATTAACTTAAACCAAGATGCTGAAGCCATAGGAACAGCTCCTGTCTACAGCTCCCAGCGTGAGCGATGCAGAAGACAGGTGATTTCTGCATTTCCATCTGAGGTACCGGGTTCATCTCACTAGGGAGTGCCAGACAGTGGGCGCAGGTCAGTGGGTTCATGCACCGTGCGCGAGCCGAAGCAGGGTGAGGCATCGCCTCACTTGGGAAGCGCAAGGGGTCAGGGAGTTCCCTTTCCGAGTCAAAGAAAGGGGTGATGGACGCACCTGGAAAATTGGGTCACTCCCACCCGAATATTGCCCTTTTCGGACCGGCGTAAAAAATGGCACACCACGAGATTATATCCCGCACCTCGCTCGGAGGGTCCTACGCCCAAGGAGTCTCGCTGATTGCTAGCACAGCAGTCTGAGATCAAACTGCAAGGCGGCAGTGAGGCTGGGGGAGGGACGCCTGCCATTGCTCAGGCTTGCTTAGATAAACAAAGCAGCCGGGAAGCTCGAACTGGATGGAGCCCACCACAGCTCAAGGAGGCCTGCCTGCCTCTGTAGGCTCCACCTCTGGGGGCAGGGCACAGACAAACAAAAAGACAGCCGTAACCTCTGCAGACTTAAATGTCCCTGTCTGACAGCTTTGAAGAGAGCAGTGGTTCTCCCAGCACGCAGCTGGAGATCTGAGAATGGGCAGACTGCCTCCTCAAGTGGATCCTGGACCCCTGACCCCTGAGCAGCCTAACTGGGAGGCACCCCCCAGCAGGGGCACACCGACACCTCACACAGCAGGATATTCCAACAGACCTGCAGCTGAGGGTCCTGTCTGTTAGAAGGAAAACTAACAAACAGAAAGGACATCCGCACCAAAAACCCATCTGTACATCACCATCATCAAAGACCAAAAGTAGATAAAACCACAAAGATGGGGAAAAAAATAGAACAGAAAAACTGGAAACTCTAAAACCCAGAGTGCCTCTCCTCCTCCAAAGGAACGCAGTTCCTCACCAGCAACAGAACAAAGCTGGATGGAGAATGACTTTGACAAGCTGAGAGAAGAAGGCTTCAGACGATCAAATTACTCTGAGCTACGGGAGGACATTCAAACCAAAGGCAAAGAAGTTGAAAACGTTGAGAAAAATTTAGAAGAATGTATAACTAGAATAACCAATACAGAGAAGTGCTTAAAGGAGCTGATGGAGCTGAAAACCAAGGCTCGAGAACTACGTGAAGAATGCAGAAGCCTCAGGAGCCGATGCGATCAACTGGAAGAAAGGGTATCAGCAATGGAAGATGAAATGAATGAAATGAAGCGAGAAGGGAAGTTTAGAGAAAAAAGAATAAGAAGAAACGAGCAAAGCCTCCAAGAAATATGGGACTATGTGAAAAGACCAAATCTACGTCTGATTGGTGTACCTGAAAGTGATGGGGAGAATGGAACCAAGTTGGAAAACACTCTGCAGGATATTATCCAGGAGAACTTCCCCAATCTAGCAAGGCAGGCCAACGTTCAGATTCAGGAAATACAGAAAACGCCACAAAGATACTCCTCGAGAAGAGCAACTCCAAGACACATAATTGTCAGATTCACCAAAGTTGAAATGAAGGAAAAAATGTTAAGGGCAGCCAGAGAGAAAGGTCGGGTTACCCTCAAAGGGAAACCCATCAGACTAACAGCAGATCTCTCGGCAGAAACCCTACAAGCCAGAAGAGAGTGGGGGCCAATATTCAACACTCTTAAAGACAAGAATTTTCAACCCAGAATTTCATATCCAGCCAAACAAAGCTTCATAAGTGAAGGAGAAATAAAATCCTTTACAGACAAGCAAATGCTGAGAGATTTTGTCACCACCAGGCCTGCCTAAAAGAGCTCCTGAAGGAAGCACTAAACATGGAAAGGAACAACCGGTACCAGCGGCTGCAAAATCATGCCAAAATGTAAAGACCATCAAGACTAGGAAGAAACTGCATCAACTAACGAGCAAAATCACCAGCTAACATCATAATGACAGGATCAAATTCACACATAACAATATTAACTTTAAATGTAAGTGGACTAAATGCTCCAATTAAAAGACACAGACTGGCAAATTGGATAAAGAGTCAAGACCCATCAGTGTGCTGTATTCAGGAAACCCATCTCATGTGCAGAGACACACATAGGCTCAAAATAAAAGGATGGAGGAAGATCTACCAAGCAAATGGAAAACAAAAAAAGGCAGGGGTTGCAATCCTAGTCTCTGATAAAACAGACTTTAAACCAACAAAGATCAAAAGAGACAAGGCCATTACATAATGGTAAAGGGATCAATTCAACAAGAAGAGCTAACTATCCTAAATATATATGCACCCAATACAGGAGCACCCAGATTCATAAAGCAAGTCCTGAGTGACCTACAAAGAGACTTAGACTCCCACACATTAATAATGGGAGACTTTAACACCCTACTGTCAACATTAGACAGATCAATGAGACAGAAAGTCAACAAGAATACCCAGGAATTGAACTCAGCTCTGCACCAAGCGGACCTAATAGACATCTACAGAACTCTCCACCCCAAATCAACAGAATATACATTTTTTTCAGCACCACACCACACCTATTCCAAAATTGACCACATATTTGGAAGTAAAGCTCTCCTCAGCAAATGTAAAAGAACAGAGATTATAACAAACTATCTCTCAGACCACAGTGCAATCAAACTAGAACTCAGGATTAAGAATCTCACTCAAAGCCGCTCAACTACATGGAAACTGAACAACCTGCTCCTGAATGACTACTGGGTACATAACGAAATGAAGGCAGGAATAAAGATGTTCTTTGAAACCAACGAGAACAAAGACACAACATACCAGAATCTCTGGGACGCATTCAAAGCAGTGTGTAGAGGGAAATTTATAGCACTAAATGCCCACAAGAGAAAGCAGGAAAGATCCAAAATTGACACCCTAACATCACAATTGAAAGAACTAGAAAAGCAAGAGCAAACACATTCAAAAGCTAGCAAAAGGCAAGAAATAACTAAAATTAGAGCAGAATTGAAGGAAATAGAGACAGAAAAAAACCCTTCAAAAAATTAATGAATCCAGGAGCTGGTTTTTTGAAAGGATCAACAAAATTGATAGACCGCTAGCAAGACTAAGAAAGAAAAAAAGAGAGAAGAATCAAATAGACTCAATAAAAAATGATAAAGGGGATATCACCACTGATCCCACAGAAATACAAACTGCCATCAGAGAATACTACAAACACCTCTACACAAATAAACTAGAAAATCTAGAAGAAATGGATAAATTCCTGGACACATACACCCTCCCAAGACTAAACCAGGAAGAAGTTGAATCTCTGAATAGACCAATAACAGGATCTGAAATTGTGGCAATAATCAATATTTTACCAACCAAAAAGAGTCCAGAACCAGATGGATTCACAGCCGAATTCTACCAGAAGTACAAGGAGGAACTGGTACCATTCCTTCTGAAACTATTCCAATCAATAGAAAAAGAGGGAATCCTCCCTCACTCATTTTATGAGGCCAGCATCATTCTGATACCAAAGCCGGGCAGAGACACAACCAAAAAAGAGAATTTTAGACCAATATCCTTGATGAACATTGATGCAAAAATCCTCAATAAAATACTGGCAAAACGAATCCAGCAGCACATCAAAAAGCTTATCCACCATGATCAAGTGGGCTTCATCCCTGGGATGCAAGGCTGGTTCAACATACGCAAATCAATAAATGTAATCCAGCATATAAACAGAGCCAAAGACAAAAACCACATGATTATCTCAATAGATGCAGAAAAGGCCTGTGACAAAATTCAACAACCATTCATGCTAAAAACTCTCAATAAATTAGGTATTGATGGGACATATTTCAAAATAATAAGAGCTATCTATGACAAACCCAAAGCCAATATCATACTGAATGGGCAAAAACTGGAAGCATTCCCTTTGAAAACTGGCACAAGACAGGGATGCCCTCTCTCACCACTCCTATTCAACATAGTGTTGGAAGTTCTGGCCAGGGCAATTAGGCAGGAGAAGGAAATAAAGTGTATTCAATTAGGAAAAGAGGAAGTCAAATTGTCCCTGTTTGCAGATGACATGATTGTATATCCTGAAAACCCCATTGTCTCAGCCCAAAATCTCCTTAAGCTGATAAGCAACTTCAGTAAAGTCTCAGGATACAAAATCGATGTGCAAAAATCACAAGCATTCTTATACACCAAAAACAGACAAACAGAGAGCCAAATCATGAGTGAACTCCCATTCACAATTGCTTCAAAGAGAATAAAATACTTAGGAATCCAACTTACAAGAGACGAGAAGGACCTCTTCAAGGAGAATTACAAACCACTGCTCAATGAAATCAAAAAGGATACAAACAAATGGAAGAACATTCCATGCTCATGGGTAGGAAGAATCAATATCGTGAAAATGGGCATACTGCCCAAGGAAATTTATAGATTCAATGCCATCCCCATCAAGCTACCAATGACTTTCTTCACAGAATTGGAAAATCTACTTTAAAGTTCATATGGAACCAAAAAAGAGCCCACATTGCCAAGTCAATCCTAAGCCAAAAGAACAAAGCTGGAGGCATCATGCTACCTGACTTCAAACTATACTAAAGGCTACAGTAACCAAAACAGCATGGTACTGGTACCAAAACAGAGATATAGATCAATGGAACAGCATAGAGCCCTCAGAAATAACGCAGCATATCTACAAGTATCTTATCTTTGACAAACCTGAGAAAAACAAGCAATGGGGAAAGGATTCCCTATTTAATAAATGGTGCTGGGAAAACTGGCTAGCCATATGTAGAAAGCTGAAACTAGATCCCTTCCTTACACCTTATACAAAAATTAATTCAAGATGGATTAAAGACTTAAACGTTAGACCTAAAACCATAAAAATCCTAGAAGAAAACCTAGGCATTACCATTCAGGACATAGGCATGGGCAAGGACTTCATGTCTAAAACACCAAAAGCAATGGCAACAAAAGCCAAAATTGACAAATGGGATCTAATTAAAGTACAGAGGTTCTGCATAGCAAAAGAAACTACCATCAAAGTGAACAGGCAACCTACAAAATGGGAGAAAATTTTCGCAACCTACTCATCTGACAAAGGGCTAATATCCAGAATCTACAATGAACTCCAACAAATTTACAAGAAAAAAACAACCAACCCCATCAAAAAGTGGGCACAGGACATGAAGAGACACTTCTCAAAAGAAGACATTTATGCAGCCATAAAACACATGAAAAAATGCTCACCATCACTGGCCATCAGAGAAATGCAAATCAAAACCACAATGAGATACCATCTCACATCAGTTAGAATGGCAATCATTAAAAAGTCAGGAAACAACAGGTGCTGGAGAGGATGTGGAGAAATAGGAACACTTTTACACTGTTGGTGGGACTGTAAACTAGTTCAACCATTGTGGAAGTCAGTGTGGCAATTCCTCAGGGATCTAGAACTAGAAATATCATTTGACCCAGCCATCCCATTACTGGGTATATACCCAAAGGACTATAAATCATGCTGCTATAAAGACACATGCACACGTATGTTTATTGCGGCATTATTCACAATAGCAAAGACTTGGAACCAACCCAAATGTCCAACAATGATAGACTGGATTAAGAAAATGTGGCACATATACACCATGGAATACTATGCAGCCATAAAAATGATGAGTTCATGTCCTTTGTAGGGACATGGATGAAATTGGAAATCATCATTCTCAGTAAACTATTGCAAGAACAAAAAACCAAACACCGCATATTCTCACTCATAAGTGGGAATTGAACAATGAGATCACATGGACACAGGAAGGGGAATATCACACTCTGGGGACTGTGGTGGGGTGGGGGGATGGGGGAGGGATAGCATTGGGAGATATATCTAATGCTAGATGACGAGTTAGTGGGTGCAGCGCACCAGCATGGCACATGTATACATATGTAACTAACCTGCACAATGTGCACATGTACCCTAAAACTTAAAGTATAATAATAAAAAAAAAGATGCTGAAGCCATACTACTTTTTTTTTGCACATTTTTATCTTGTTTTTTCTGAACATAGCCCTTATAAGTAACTATCTCTATTACAGTGCTTTCAGAAGTCTCTCAGGCTTACTGTGTCTATCATTTCCATTCTGCTGTCTTTCTACATCTTCTTCTGTATGCACTGACCTCAACTACCCAATCTTTAACATCTTATGCAAGTTTTTCCAGAGACTGTTCTGTCAATTCTATATATCTAGTTCTAAAAAAACTCTCCTCCCACCTATGCAGTTCAAAATATTATTGTGGAATAGAATACAAAATATCATTGTATAATAAATTTGTGTGGTATACTTAGTATTTCAATTTTATCATGATGACTTGGTAGAAATATGTGTTTATATTCTGTATTCTAAAACATTATGACATCTTTTGATTTTGATTTTGCTTTTGCTTTCCTAATTTGTGAATGAAATAATCCAGAAGAAGCTTAATGCATTTTAGGAAAAATATACTTTATAAACAATAATATTTGAAATAAAACTCTGTATTTGTAGACTGTCAGCTAACATATACTATGATTTTAATGTCTTTATAGAAGATATATTGATAGGTGAAGCCAGCTGGACTTCCTGGGTCAAGTGGGGACTTGGAGAACTTTTCTGTCTAGCTAAAGAACTGTAAATGCACCAATCACCACTCTGTAAAAACACACCAATCAGCGCTCTGTGTCTAGCTAAAGGATTGTAAATGCACCAAACAGCACTCTGTAAAACGCACCATTCAGTGCTCTGTGTCTAGCTAAAAGATTGTAAATGCACCAATCAGCACTCTGTAAAATGGACCAATCAGCACTCTGTAAAATGGACCAATCAGCACTCTGTGAAGTGTACCAATCAGTAGTATATGGGCGGGGCCAAATAAGGGAATAAAAGTTGGCAACCCAGGCCAGCAGTGGCAATCCGCTTGGGTCCCCTTTCACGCTGTGGAAGCTTTGTCCTTTCATTCTTCACAATAAATCTTGCTGCTGCTCACTCTTTGGGTCTGCACTACCTTTATGAGCTGTAACACTCACTGTGAGGGTCTGCGGCTTCATTCCTTTAGTCAGTGAGACCACGAACCCACTGGAAGGAAGAAACTCGACACCTCTGAAGGAGCAAACTCTGGACACACCATCTTTAAGAGCTGTAACACTCACCATGAAGGTCCGTGGCTTCATTCTTGAGGTCAGCGAGACCAAGAACCCTTCAGAAGGAATAAACTCTGGACACAATATTATTATCCATAAAATTCACCTGCTGATATTTGATATGATTTAATTCAACAGATGAGAAAAAAATATTCTGATGACCAGCACATCTTAAAACTCAAGGCAATCACACGAGGGCACAGAGGCTCTGATATAAATGACCAGTGTGAAAGATAGAATACTGTGTAAAATGCTCTGAAGTAAAAATTTTATGTAAAATATTGGCATTTTCAAGGTTGAATTTCATGTAGGTTTAATAAAGTTACTAATTATATTAAATATATCAATTTTTGGTCTCTTCTTAAGTTATATTTTGGATATCTTCTAAATTATATCTTTGTTAAACATATACACATATTTTGTATCAAACAAACCTTATGGTAGTAGAAAAGTCCAGTTTGAGGGAAGTTTCCCTGCAAATATTTCTTTGTGGATGTCTTTTTCTCATTTCTTTTAAAACTCCCAGTGGTAAAATTTTTACATGCTTCAGCTACTAACACAGTTTCTGAAGAAGATGTGTGTAACATTTATCCTTAATGGGCTATGGATGAAACACTGAACTTAGTCTCTGAGGAAAAAAAGATAACGGGGTTGATATAATTTAATTAGTTCTAATGTTGATATCAGAATGTGTAATCCACTGTTTTTAATAAATACTGTGTGAATTTGAGTTTTAAAATAAAGTCATTTCATGTTTTAGAGCTTTATTCTACTGAACAACTTATTTTTTCCCTCTCTCTCTGAATTTACATTCTACTTGTGCCTATTGAAGAATATGAAAATATACATGGAATTTATGTTTTTCACACAGAGAAAAACTGGCAATAGATTATTAACTTTTCCCTAAATAATAAGTGACATTCAAATATAAGATAACCAAAATTCAATGAATTCTTCACATAAACATAGAAGAATAATTCATATACTTTTGATGAAATTCTGAGCAGAAATCATAAAGATACTGTGAACTTGTGTTTAGGAAGCTAAATGCATGTAATAAAGTTGGCCAGAAATTTCAGGCATTATCATAATTCAGTATCTCTTAATTGTGGCATTGAGATCAACAATGTGCCACAAATAAACTTTTATACCTCTAATATTACTGAGCATTTAAAAAATAACCCATCAAATTCTTTAGGAACTAAAATAATGATGATTAATTATCTGTAGGGACTGCAGGAATATATAACAATCATTATTTTTATTCTGATCCATTCCTTACTATTAATTGGTTTTTCATGTCTTCATATAGCTTTTTGCAACTACAGCAGCTACTGATGAAGTTCATCTTTCCGTTTTATTTTTTGATTTGAAGTATTTTTTGAAATGAAGTAAATATGACTTTTAGTACACTTTATCATTGAAAGAGCTATACTAAAAGTAAATTTAGAAATATCAAGAAAATCTTCCAGAAAAGTTTTTCTAAAAAAATACTTTATTTAAAAATATACAACCATTCATATTTGCAATGTCTAGTCTTTCAAGAAAGACTATCATAAATCTTGTTAGCATCCACTAGATTTTTACTCTGACTCAGCTATCAGGAAACAGCCAATATTAGGCCCCTCTAATTTATAGAGAGTTGTGTGTTTATGTATTAATATACCCATATATGTGTATAGTCATTAACCTTCAATAATTCAGTATGTCGTGGGAAAGACAGACATTTGTAGAATATCATAGCTGGATACCGGTGGAATAGATGAAACATTACAGGAACGTTTGGGTTAGGTAAATAATTAAGCCTAGTTGGAAAACAAGCACAATGATCTGAATCTTGGTGTTCCCCCAGAATTCTTATGTTGGAACTTAACTTCCAAGGTGATGGTATTAAGGGGTGGGGCCTTTGAAAGGTGATTAGGTCATGAGGGCTCTGCCTTCATGGATGGTATTAACTCCCTTATCAAAGGGCTTCAGGAAACCAGTTTTATCTTTCCACCTATTCTGCCATGTGAGGATCCAGCAACAAGGCTCCAACTATGGAATAGACAGCAAGCCCTTACCAGACACTGAATCTGACAGTGCCTTGATTTTGGACGTCCCAGCTTCCAGAACCATGAATAAATTTCTAAATTACCTGGTCTGCGGTATTTTGTTATATCAGCAGGAACAGACTAAGACACTAAGTAATTGCTATCATTTTCCGAAGTTATAGGTATTTTTAAGAACTTAAAATAAAATGTATTTTCTAAGAAAATAATTAAGCCTGAAGAAAATACATTGTCCTTGAATGAATACTGACTAAAACACTGCCTTAACGTTTGCCTCAATTTGACTAAATTTTAGACAGGCTTTTTCCTGACCTCCTTTTCCTTAGATCATTTGCTACAGAAAAGTTGTAAGTTCTTTCCTTGTCCTTTTGAGATGTAAATCTATTTAAAAGGCTTATTGCCAGTTTTACAACCCAGTATTGTATTTCTCCGGGCTGTGGGAGGTATCCTTTTGAAATGTAATCATCAAGGAAAATATCACACCATCCTGCAATTTCTGTGGTAGGGTAGGAGCCTAACTTAGGTGGGCACCTTGATCACAGTTGTAAAACTATCTCCTACTGTGAAGATAGGAGAAAGTTTATTTTTCTTCTGGGTGAAGAAGATTAGCAAACACAGATGGCTTATGATCTCCCCATCTCAACTCTTAAAAATTCTCCCTCCTGTTATTTCAGCAAGGCTGTCTCCAGGCTTGGTCTGTCGTTTTTCCCTATTGCTGGCAATAGTATTAGAATAAAATCAACTTCTGTTTACTCATCTTTTCCGTGTGGATATTTTCTTTAACAATAGCTTTAGCTAATGAAGTGCTAAACATTCTCTTTATACATGATTTTTTACCTATAAAAATTTTCTGTAGCTGAAACTTCTGAATATGAGTTATGTCATACGAAGGAAGATATTAGAAGCATGAATAAGAATCTTGACATAATTTTGTCAGAATTTTTGGCTTCTGTTCTCTTTTACAAGAAATAATAGAGAAAATATATACAGAAAGAGATAAAACTAATATATTTTTAGATAAAGACAAATGACTGTGATCACTCATGTTTTTCTAATTAAGCATTTGTCTATTTAACATATAACTGTATACATGAGGAAATGAATTTAAAGTCCTTACTTACATGAAGTCACATTTTCATTTGCTATATGGACATACACAATACGAGTGTTAAATAAAATTCTAAAGCAGTGGACAAAATGAAAAATACAAATCACAACATTTTATAAATTTAAACACACGTATTAGAAGCTGAAAAAAGATTTGTGAAAACACAAAAATTACCTGCATCCTAAACTGTGAGAAGAAATTAAGAAAGTGAAAAAAAGGGAAATACATTCAAGAAGAATCTAAGTTAATAGCAATCTTTCAATCAAGGCTGACCGTAGTGTATTTTATGGACTACATAAAAGAAATAAAGAGAATAAGGAGATATTTGGTAGATTTTTCAAGAGTGGTTTTCATTACATATCGGATATAAGAATAAGACTTGAGGTACCTATGAAATCAATATTAACCATAGTGTGAGTGCTGGATTAGGTGAGTGCTGGATTAGAGATGGTGAAGAGCATTCGCCTGAGAGAGTTGCAAATGCCAGGCTAAGAGGATCTGACTGAATCCTGTACTATCTGATATAATGTGAGGAAATCAATTTCAAAAAAAAAGTAAATGATATAATTTTAAAATCTTAAATGGATATTTGTATGTTAATCATAAATATTTAATCTATTTTAATTAAAATTCATAGCAATATGTATTAGTAAATTATTTTGAGTAAAGCCAATTTCTGTATATAAAGAGATTCATACTGTTTTTAAAGTATTACAGAGAAACTTTTTTATTAACAGATGATTTATACAAACCTATATGACCAAATTTAAAACATGTCTTGGAATCAAACATTTAATTGGATTGACTGCTTCAGATGTTCACTATAGTTAGTGATATTTACACAGTTCAACGAATGCCAAGAGTTGCAATTATTAATTCCAGTAATTCAAGGTGAAACCCTCTGATGTTTTTATTCAACATCTATATTTTTTGATGCTTTCTCCAGCCTCTGGAGAAACACATCCAGCCTCTGGAATTTATGAATAGAATTTTCTTGGCAGTTTATTCTCCTCACCATATTAAGGTCTCTATGTCTCCTAATCTCAGGTAAATAGCCCCTCCTAAAAACTAGTTTGGCATCACAGATCATGACATCTGGGTGGTCCTTCTGCATCCCAGAGGCTCACACACCAATTTGGTTGGCAGTAAGTTCAAAACTTCTTGCTAAATCTATGAGACATACTTTGATTACTGGTTTTCCTGAACTTTGAGAGCAAATATCATCATGCTTTAAATAGCGTTTACTACAGTCAACCTGATACATTAACTTCCCCTAGGCCAAGAGTCATTGTATAGAAAATTTTCTCTATTATCTCTCCCTCACAATCCTCAGTGTTTGCTGAAATCATTGTATTGCTTCTGCTGGTATTCATGATATACCATCATTATACTTTTCTAAATCCTTGATTCCTTTTCCAGTTGCTTTTATCTCACCTTTTTGCACAAACTCAAACATTCTTGTCCTCAAAGGACAAGAATTTGATTTCCCCAAAATTATATGAATTACTGTGTGTATTCTTCTTACATCCCAAGGCCACTTTGAAAATACTTCTTATCTCTCTGACACTTTCTTCTCATTTGAAAAGCAAATGTTATTCGATTGAACACCATTGCTCTTTTTAATTGTCAATTTCTTGGCCACTCTCCTTAATTGTTGATGTATTAACTTATTTATGGTATCCCATTCCACACTATTATTTAAGTTATTTTTCATAATTATTTCAATATCCAAATATAAGATCTGTTTAAAATATCCAACATTCTGTGCTTGCAGTTCTTTGTGATCCTCCATTCAGTGGTGCCATTTCTCTAAGTTAAATTAACAACCACTATGGTCAGAAACTATGCTTTATCATCATTGATAACTACAGCCTCTCCACAATCTTAGTTTCAAGCATCTCAGATTCTAACCAGCTAACTGATCACCATATTTTTACATCATGCTGACAGGAACCAGAGAGCAGGTACCCTGGGCTTGATATTCTGAAAATAATCATGTCACAGAGAAGAGAAGTTTAATGCCACCATTTTACAAGACGCTGCTTGCTCAGGAAAGGTCTTGATGTGTGACGCTTCAAAGGGTCTTTACTTACTAAAGGACATGGAATAAGCTTCTTTTTTTTATCTCTAAAAATGAGGCAGGATACTTAAGTTGGTAACTTGAATTTGGGAGCACATACTATATTTCTGCTTCTATATTTAAGTAGAGGCAGAATAAATTAAGCTGTTCAATATCTCTTGCCAATATTGCAAACATATATACCATTTGGCACTCATATGCCATGTCTAATGGTGCCCAGAGTATTTAAACTTGATCAGGAAACTGTTACTGAACCTGTAGCAGGCTCTACAGTAGAGTCACAATGCAATCTCTTAGGAGTTTGTAAATGATCCAACCACCTTTTCACAAGTAACTATTCCGTTCTGGAAAAATAGTTCCTGCTTTTTACTGGGCTGAGTTTCACATTAAAGGAATGAAGAAAGGATATCAGGAGATCATGATACCAGAGCTGCACATCTTAAGAGGCATTAATGCATCTACCTAACCATAAAGCCAGGCATGCCTAAAAGTCCTTTATTATTCCATCATCAAGTGGAAGTATCACAGTTGAAAGGAGACCAAGGCAGAAGTTGATGGTGTAAGTTTATGAAGAGATGGTTCAAATCCCTAGAAAGCCTATTGGTGTCAAACTTTCAACTCTTTCTCAATCTACACTCTTTGCATCAGGAGGTATTGCTCATGTTTTGATAGCAGATTAAATTCTTCGGTCTGATAACATATGATTTGCATATTACCTATGTAATATGCAACACAGGTATATGTTATTTAGTAATATGTATTAGTACATACATATATACCAGTGGAGGGAGGCTTAGCGTGACTGATTCCATTCTTGCATCTGATCCCCTGCAGTAATTTCCTTTAGGTTAAAAGCTTCTGGTTAGCTCTGCACCTAGACCAGCTAATTACAGAAGGAATTTAGCTTACAGTTCAACTAAAAGAAATGATAAGACTCCTTTTACCAAAACTAACGCCTGAGGAGGTAAGGGAGTGTACCCACAAGTAACAGTGTTACGTTAAAGATTTATAAGAACAGTGACCTGACCTACATTATCTGAAGAGACTGAAGAAATTTCACAACCTCCCCAGACATTTGCTGTTGCTCAGATGTCTGTGGTCATCAGTCACGTCTTTATCTCATTTCATTCCTCTTGCCCCTTCCCTTAACATAAGAAGAAGTGTGAATTCATAGTAAGTTAACATGGTTTGGTACCAATTTTTCCCTATTAATCCATTTTGTATTGTTATAAAGAAATACCTATACCTAAGCAATTAATTTCAAATTAATGTCATGTTAATTGAGGCCAGATTTAAAAAGGAAAAAAGAAAAAAAGGAAAATTAGTAAAACATCTAAATTACTTTTGAAAATTATGATATTTGAGATAAAGTGATCTTATATTAAAAAGCGTTATTTTATCATCAAATATATATATTTACACTGTCTCTCTCTATATATACTCTATATATACTTCATTTTTGAGCCATTTAAGATTCACAGCTAAATTGAGCAGAAGCAGAGATTCATATTTTATTGTTAAATGATACTTGAAATACTAGTTAACTAAACATTTTGACATTTGCATTATGTATTTTATATTACATATATAAACTGATCTTTTATATATATATCTTTTACATATATGTATATATATATAAACTGAGCAAGTTTTTAATCCAGTAATATTGTTCCAGACACACCTAAACTTATTAATTGTTGGATCACCATTGGAATGTATTATGCTAAACACTGAAGGAATATCCTTGGAGTCTTAAATAATCCATTATATTATGCAACAGTTAAGTTTCACCACCAGACAATGTTGATCAAACATGTGTTCATACATATTATAAGAATGAGATATTTTAATACCAAATCATTTGATAGTGATTTGAAATGTTAAATTATTTTCAGTTAGTAGAAATTACTAGAATAACCTGTAATTTTAGGATACTAAGATTTTTCTCAATGAACATTCTAAGACACTAGACATTTTCCTAGATAAGATTTACTTAAAATATATAGTGGAGAAAAAACAATTAAGATGTTTAGAATTTGCAATAAGTGTCTTTCTAGAAAACTAAGACTTTTGGATGGAAAGTTACTAGAACAAAGAAGAGATTTTAGATTTTATTTTGGATTCAATTTCAAAATATAAAGATTGGCTTAGCTATCTCAAAGTTGCCATGTCCAATACATTGGCATATTGGCTTAAAAAGATACCAGAAGTAAAGACTTTGGAATTTGACATAAATGCAGGGACAAATTTTAAATTTTACTTTATTTTAGAGACATGGTGTCACTCTGTTGCCCAGGCTGGAGTGCAGTGGTGTAATTATAGCTCAAAGGAACCTCGTACTCCTGGGTTTAAACTATTCTTTCCGCCTCACCCTCCCGAGAAACTGGGACTACAGGTGCACAACATCATGCCTTGCTAATTTTTAAACAAAATTGTGTAGAGATGGAGCCTCACTATGTTACCTAGGCTGGTCTCAAATTCCTGGCCTCAAGCGATCCTCCGCCCTCTGCTTCCAAAAATGCTGGGATTACAAGTGTGAGCCATCCTACCTGGCCTTAATAACAAATTATGCAATATTGGCAGGTAAAATATGTTCCATCTAAAATCGGTTAAGCCACAATTCAATAATTTGTTATTGGGCAAGTAAGGAAAGAATTTTGTTGCCATTAAACTTTGGCTGTTTGATGGTAGAAGACATCATTATTTTCATCCTGTAGCAAGAGAAATGCTTATAAGCATATTATGTATAAGTAGTATATATATATTATAAATCCTAACCTTATAAAATATATATGTATAAACTTTATTTATGTAATAAACATGAAACTATTCTGTTTTCCCCTAATTGAATTTGTATTGAAGGTGATCAAATACCTTGTCAGCATGCGTTTTATTTTCTTTAATCTCTTACTTAGTTCAGTAGCACTAATTCACATGCTGATATTCCAATTATTATACCATCCTTGTTTTCCTGGGATAAATCTCACATGGACGTGATTAATCTAGATTGGTGAATTTCCAAACATGTTTTTAAAATTTGTATTAATATATTTTTCAAGGATTAGATGGGTGAATTTCCAAACATGTATTTAAAATTTGTATTAATATATTTTTCAAGGACTTTCCTATGTTGCTTTTCTTTTTTTAGATTTGATAACCTATTTCAGCATGCAGAATTATTTGAAAAACTAGTAATCTTTTAAATTTTTAAATGTGTATTTAAATATATGCATATTGAAATATTAAAAACAACTTTTCTTGAAATGTAATAGAACTTGGGCATATGATATCCCAGATGAGTACTTTTTATGAGTAAATATCTGATTATCAATTTAATTTTGAATAAATTTACTGGTCTGATCAAACTTTCCACCATTTATGTGACATTGTAAACAATTTAAATGTATGGGAGGATCATCATTATGAAACAACTTCAAAGTAATTAGTATAA
Organism: Homo sapiens; assembly: GCF_000001405.40. NCBI lineage: Eukaryota > Metazoa > Chordata > Mammalia > Primates > Hominidae > Homo > Homo sapiens. The sequence goes on along the minus strand of NC_000014.9, from coordinate 41,199,478 downwards.
AATTACATTCTCTTATTTTTAAAAATCTACTCCATACATTTTATGTTATCACTTTCTTTTTGTCATTTTTCTTGCCTTTTTTTTATTTTCAAAAAACTTGTATCAGGTCATTGACTAGTAAGTGTATTATTTTATTCTGCTTCATCATTTTCTTCTTTATTTATAAAATACGTTATTCTATTTCAGTTTTTTATTCTTTTGAGTCATTTGTTGGCTGCTTTTTTGTAATTTTAAGATATTTATTTCACTATATCTAAGAAGTCATTGTTTCAGGATATTAAATTAGCTGATTTTCTCCTCTATAACAGTTGTAGCTTATTTGGCTTCAAATATAGAGCAAAAGAGGATTGACGTGTATCACTAGATTTTTGCCACAATTCTTGTACATAAGTAGAGCTTTCTGTAATGTCATATGGGAAACTGTCTCAACACACAGCCAAGTACTTTGAAATTTCTTTCAAGTCAAATTTCTACCAGGTCACTACCTTTAATTACTATGATAGCTGCTACAGAGCCATTCTACTAATTTCACCTCTGATCATTTTATCTTAGTTAAGTCTTTTTAAAAAATTTTTAAATTTACTTCTGTGGGTACGCCATAGGTGTATAGATTTATGGCGTACATGAGATATTTTTACACATTATACAATGCATAATAATCACATCAGGGTAAATGGGGTATCCATCACATCAAGCAATTATTATTTTTTTGTGTTATGAACATTCCAATAATACTTTTAATTTTAGTTATTTTAAAATGTACAAGGAATTACTGTTGACTGTAATCACCTTGTTGTGCTATCAAATACTAGATCTGATCTTTTTTTGTCCTTTTTCTTTTCTTTTTTTTTTTTTTTTTTTTTTTTTGACAGGATTTCACTCTATCATCCAGGCTGGAGTGCAATGGCACGATCTCTGCTCACTGCAGCCTCAACCTCCCATACTCAAGTGATCCTCTAACCTTAGCCTCCCAAATAGCTGAGACTACAGTGGGGGCACCACGATGCTTGTTTAATTTTTGTATTTTTATAGAGATGTAGTTTCTGCATGTTGTCCAGGCTAGTATGGAACCCTTGAGCTCAAGCAATCTGATTGCCTCACACTCCTAAAATGTTAGGGTTACGTGTGTGAGCTACCAGAACTGGCCTCAAATACTAAACTGTATTCATCTATCGTACTATATTTTTGTATCCATTACCCATTCCCACATTTCTCCCAACTCTACTACCCTTCCCAGCCTCTGATAACCATCATTAAACTATCTATCTTCATGAGTTCCATTATTTTAATATTTAATTCCCACAAATGAGTGAGAATGTATGAAGCTTGACCTTCTATGCCTGGCTTATTTCACTTAACAAAATGTCATCCAGTTTCATCCATATCACAAATGACAGGACATAATTCTTTCAATCACTGAATAGTACAGCATTGTGTATATGTACCACTTTTTCTTTATCCATTCATCTGTCAACAGACACTTCCAAATCTTGGTAATTGTAAATAGCGCTGCAGTAAACATGGGAGGGTAGATATGTCTTTGATATACTAATTTCCTTTCTCTTGAGTGAGATTGCTGGATCATATGGTAGTTCTATTTTTAGCTTTTTGAGGGACATTTATACTGTTCTCCATAGTGGCTGTAGTAATTTACATTCCCAGGGACAATGTACTATGAGGGTTCCCTTTTCTCCACATCCTCATCAGCATTCATTATTGCCTGTCTTTGGATAAAAAGCATTTTAATCATTTTTTTCTCATACAGTAAGAAATCTCTCACTGTAATTTTGATTTACATTTCTTTGATGGGCTATGATGTTGAGTACCTTTTCTTATATCTGTCATTTTTACGTCTTTTGAGAAATGTCTATTCAGATATTTTGCCCATTTTAAAATCAGATAATTCGATTTTTTTTCCTATTGAGTTGTTGGGCTCTTTACATATTCTAGTTTTTAATCCACTGTCAAATGAATAGTTTGTAAATATTTTCTCCCATTCTGTGGGTTGTCTCCTCACTTTATTACTTGTTCCCTTTGCTGTGCAGAAGCATTTTTTAAGTTTTTTTTCTTTTATTATTATACTTTTAAGTTTCAGGGTACATGTGCACATTGTGCAGGTTAGTTACATATGTATACATGTGCCATGCTGGTGCGCTGCACCCACTAACTCGTCATCTAGCATTAGATATATCTCCCAATGCTATCCCTCCCCCCTCCCCCCACCCCACAACAGTCCCCAGAGTGTGATGTTCCCCTTCCTGTGTCCATGTGATCTCATTGTTCAATTCCCACCTATGAGTGAGAATATGCGGTGTTTGGTTTTTTGTCCTTGCGATTGTTTACTGAGAATGATGATTTCCAATTTCATCCATGTCCCTACAAAGGACATGAACTCATCATTTTTATGGCTGCATAGTATTCCATGGTGTATATGTGCCACATTTTCTTAATCCAGTCTATCATTGTTGGACATTTGGGTTGGTTCCAAGTCTTTGCTATTGCGAATAATGCCGCAATAAACATACGTGTGCATGTGTCTTTATAGCAGCATGATTTATAGTCCTTTGGGTATATACCCAGTAATGGGATGGCTGGGTCAAATGGTATTTCTAGTTCTAGATCCCTGAGGAATTGCCACACTGACTTCCACAATGGTTGAACTAGTTTACAGTCCCACCAACAGTGTAAAAGTGTTCCTATTTCTCCACATCCTCTCCAGCACCTGTTGTTTCCTGACTTTTTAATGATTGCCATTCTAAGTGGCATGAGATGGTATCTCATTGTGGTTTTGATTTGCATTTCTCTGATGGCCAGTGATGATGAGCATTTTTTCATGTGTTTTTTGGCTGCATAAATGTCTTCTTTTGAGAAGTGTCTGTTCATATCCTTTGCCCACTTTTTGATGGGGTTGGTTGTTTTTTTCTTGTAAATTTGTTTGAGCTCATTGTAGATTCTGGATATTAGCCCTTTGTCAGATGAGTAGGTTGGGAAAATTCTCTCCCATTTTGTAGGCTGCCTATTCACACTGATGGTAGTTTCTTTTGCTGTGCAGAAGCTCTTTAGTTTAATTAGATCCCATTTGTCAATTTTGGCTTTTGTTGCCATTGCTTTTGGTGTTTTAGACATGAAGTCCTTGCCCATGCCTATGTCCTGAATGGTAATGCCTAGGTTTTCTTCTAGGGTTTTTACGGTTTTAGGTCTAACATTTAAGTCTTTAATCCATCTTGAATTGATTTTTGTATAAGGTGTAAGGAAGGGATCCAGTTTCAGCTTTCTACATATGGCTAGCCAGTTTTCCCAGCACCATTTATTAAATAGGGAATCCTTTCCCCATTGCTTGTTTTTCTCAGGTTTGTCAAAGATCAGATACTTGTAGATATGCGGCATTATTTCTGAGGGCTCTGTTCTGTTCCATTGATCTATATCTCTGTTTTGGTACCAGTACCATGCTGTTTTGGTTACTGTAGCCTTGTAGTATAGTTTGAAGTCAGGTAGTGTGATGCCTCCAGCTTTGTTCTTTTGGCTTAGGATTGACTTGGTGATGCGGGCTCTTTTTTGGTTCCATATGAACTTTAAAGTAGTTTTTTTCCAATTCTGTGAAGAAAGGCATTGGTAGCTTGATGGGGATGGCATTGAATCTGTAAATTACCTTGGGCAGTATGGCCATTTTCACGATATTGACTCTTCCTACCCATGAGCATGGAATGTTCTTCCATTTGTTTGTATCCTCTTTTATTTCCTTGAGCAGTGGTTTGTAGTTCTCCTTGAAGAGGTCCTTCACATCCCTTGTAAGTTGGATTCCTAGGTATTTTATTCTCTTTGAAGCAATTGTGATTGGGAGTTCACTCATGATTTGGCTCTCTGTTTGTCTGTTTTTGGTGTATAAGAATGCTTGGGATTTTTGTACATTGATTTTGTATCCTGATACTTTGCTGAAGTTGCTTATCAGCTTAAGGAGATTTTGGGCTGAGACAATGGGGTTTTCTAGATATACAATCATGTCGTCTGCAAACTGGGACAATTTGACTTCCTCTTTTCCTAATTGAATACCCTTTATTTCCTTCTCCTTCCTAATTGCCCTGGCCAGAACTTCCAACACTATGTTGAATAGGAGTGGTGAGAGAGGGCATCCCTGTCTTGTGCCAGTTTTCAAAGGGAATGCTTCCAGTTTTTGCCCATTCAGTATGATATTGGCTTTGGGTTTGTCATAGATAGCTCTTATTATTTTTAAATACATCCCATCAATATCTAATTTATTGAGAGTTTTTAGCATGAAGGGTTGTTGAATTTTGTCACAGGCCTTTTCTGCATCTATTGAGATAATCATGTGGTTTTTGTCTTTGGCTCTGTTTATATGCTGGATTACATTTATTGATTTGCGTATATTGAACCAGCCTTGCATCCCAGGGATGAAGCCCACTTGATCATGGTGGATAAGCTTTTTGATGTGCTGCTGGATTCGTTTTGCCAGTATTTTATTGAGGATTTTTGCATCAATGTTAATCAGGGATATTGGTCTAAAATTCTCTTTTTTGGTTGTGTCTCTGCCCGGCTTTGGTATCAGAATGATGCTGGCCTCATAAAATGAGTTAGGAAGGATTCCCTCTTTTTCTATTGATTGGAATAGTTTCAGAAGGAATGGTACCAGTTCCTCCTTGTACCTCTGGTAGAATTTGGCTGTGAATCCATCTGGTCCTGGACTCTTTTTGGTTGGTAAGCTATTGATTATTGCCACAATTTCAGATCCTGTTATTGGTCTATTCAGAGATTCAACTTCTTCCTGGTTTAGTCTTGGGAGAGTGTATGTGTCGAGGAATTTATCCATTTCTTCTAGATTTTCTAGTTTATTTGCGTAAAGGTGTTTGTAGTATTCTCTGATGGTAGTTCGTATTTCTGTGGGATCGGTGGTGATATCCCCTTTACCATTTTTTATTGCGTCTATTTGATTCTTCTCTTTTTTTTTCTTTATTAGCCTTGCTAGCGGTCTATCTATTTTGTTGATCCTTTCAAAAAACCAGCTCCTGGATTCATTAATTTTTTGAAGGGTTTTTTGTGTCTCTATTTCCTTCAGTTCTGCTCTGATTTTAGTTATTTCTTGCCTTCTGTGCAGAAGCTTTTTAACTTGATGTGATCCCATTAGTCAATTTTCATTTTGATTGCCTATGCTTCTGGGGTATTAAGGATATATTGGCCCAGGCCAATATCCTGTAGATTTTTTCCCAATATTTTCTTTTAATAGCTTTATAGTTTCAGGTCACAAATATAAGTCTTTAATCTATGTTCATTTGATTTTTTTTATATAGTGAGAGATAAGTAACTAATGTCATTATTCTGCTATGGCTATTCAGTTTTCTCAGCCGCTTTTATTGAAGAGACTGTCCTTTCCCCAATGTGTGTTTTGGTCCCTTTGTTGAAATTAGTTCACTGTGGATGTATGGATTTATTTCTGGGTTCTCTCTCCTGTTCCATTGGTTTATATGTCTGTTTTTATGCCAGTACCATGCTGTTTTGGTTACCTTAACTCTATAGTATAATTTGAAGTCAGGTACTATGATTCTTCTAGTTTTGTTCTTTTTGCTCAGAATGGCTTTGGCTATTCTGGGTCTTTTGTGGTACCATGTAAATTTTATAATTATTTTTATATTTCTGTGAAGAATGTTATTGGTATTTTGATAGAGATTGCATTCAATCTGTAGATTGCTTTGGGTCCTATGGACATTTTAACAATATTGGTTCTTCAAATCCATGAACATAACATATCTTCACATTTTTTTCATCCTGTGTAATTTCATCAGTGTTTTATAGTTTTCATTGTAGAGATCTTTCATGTCTTTGGTTAAGTTTATTCATAGATATCTTAGTCTACTGTAGGTATTGTAAATAGGATTATTGTCTTTATTTCTTTTTCAGATTGTTTGCTGTTACCATATAGAAACACCACTGATTTTTGTATGTTGATTTTGTATCCTACAATTTTACTGAATTTGTTTATCAGTTCTAATAGTTTTTTTGGTAGAATCTTTAGGTTTTTCCAAATATAACATCATTTCATCTGCAAAAATTGACAATTTGACTTCTTCATTTCCAATTTGGATGCCCTTTATTTCTTTCTCTTGTTTTACTGCTCGAGCTATGATTTTTCAGTACTATGTTGAATAACAGTGGTGACAGGGGCCATCCTTATCATTTTCTGGATCTTAGAGGGAGGGCGTTCAGTATTTTTCCCCATTCAGTATTATACTCATAGTGAGTCTATAATATGTGGTTTTTTGTGTGTGTTAAAGCATGTATTGTCTATACCCAGTCTTTCAAGCGTTATTAACAAGAAAGTATGTTGAATTTTATCAAATAGTTTTTCAGCATCATTTGAACTGATCATATGAAGTTTGTTCTTTATTCTGTTGATATGATGTATCACATTGATTTACATATGTTGAGCCTTCCTTACACCCTTGAGATAAATCCCATTTGGTCATGATGAATGATCATTTTAATGTGTCATTTAATTCAGTTTTTTAGTATTTTTGTTGGGAATTTTTGCATCAATATTCTTCAGGGATATTGGCCTGTAGTTTTCTTTTTTTATGTGTATTTGGTTTTGTTGTCACGTTAATACTAACCTTATAGAATGAGTTAGGAAGTATTCTCTTCTCTATTTTTGGAATAGTTTCAGTAGAATTGGTATAGTTTTTTAAATGATTGGTAAAATTTATCAGCAAAGCAATTGGCCCAGGCTTTTCTTTTCTGGGAGACATTTTATTACAGCTTTGGTCTCAATTTTGATCTCATCTATTTAGGTTTCAGATTTCTTCCTGGCTCTATCTTGGTAGTTTGTATGTGTCTAGGAATTTATTCATTTCTTCCAGGCTTTCTAATTTATTGGCATATAGTTGTTCTTAGTAGCCTCTTGTAGTCCTTTGAATTTCTGTGGTATTTTTTGTAATGTCTCCTTTTGCATCTCTGATTGTATTTATTTGGGTCCTCTGTCTTTTTTTTCTTAGTGTGGCTAAAGGTTTTGCTTATCTTTTCAATAAATGAACTTTTTATTTCATTGATTTTTGTATTGTTTTAAAATTTCAATCTCATTTGTTTCTGCTTTAATCTACATTATTTCTTTTATTCCAATAATTTTGATTTTGGTTTGCTCTGACTTTTCTAATTTTTTTAATATGCATCATTAGGGTCTATTTAAAGATTTTACTTTTCGACGTTGGTGCTTATTGCTATAAACTTTCCTCTTAGTATTTCCTTTGCTATATATCATAGATTTAGATATGTTGTGTTTACATTTTCATTTTTTCAAGAAGTTTTTAAATTCCTCTTTTAATGTCCTCATTTACCCATTGGTTATTCATGAGTATGTTGTTTAATTTTCATGTATTTGTAGAGTTTTCCAAATTTCTTTAATTACTGATTTCTAGTTTTATTCTATTGTGTCAGAAAAGATATTTGATATTATTCCAATTTTTTGAATATTTAAATACTTGTTTTGAAGCCTAACATATGGCCTATCCTCAAGACTAATTCATGCTCTGAGAAGAAGAACGTGTAACCTGCAGCCACTAGATATAATGTTTTGTAAATATATATAAGGTCCATTTGGCCTATAGTGCAGAGTAAATCTGATGTTTCTTTTTTGATTTTCTGTCTGAAAGTGGGTATTGATGTCTCCAGCTATTAGTCTCCAGCTTATCTCTCTCTTTAGCTCCAATATAATAATATTTGCTTTATATTTCAGTCTATGTGTGTCTTTATAGGTGAAGTGTGTTTCTTGTAGAAAACAGATTGTTAGGTCTTGCTTTTCATCTATTCAACTACTTTATGTCTTTTGATTGGAAAGTTTAGTCCAGTTATATTCAATATTATTATTGACAAGTAAGGCCTTACTCCTGCCATTTTGTTATTTGTATTCTGGTGGTTTTGTGGTCTTCTCCTCCTTTCTTTTTTAATTCCTCTCATTTTTTTGTAAATGTAAATTTTTAATGGTATGTTTTTATTTGTTGTTTATTTTTTATGTATTGTATTTTTTATTTGATGTTACCAGGAGGCTTGCAAATAGCATTTTATGACCCATTATTTTAAACTAATGACAAATTAATGCTGATTGCAAAAGCAAAAATCAAGCTAACAAGCAAGAAAAAAAGAACACTACACTTTAACTTCATCCCCCCCGTTTTTTAATATTTTTGTTGTTTCTATTTATAGCTTATTATACTATATCTTCAAAAGTAATTGTAGTCATTTATTTAATTTTTAAATTTCCAAATGTTTTGGGGGACCAGGTGGTAGTTGGTTACATTAGTAGCAAGTTCTTTAGTGGTGACTTGTGATATTTTGGTGCACCCATCACCTGAGCAGTGTAAATTGTAGTCATTCTTTTTGTTAGACTCATCTTTTAGTCTTTCTAATTAAGATATGAGTAGTTTGCACACCATCATCACAATGTTATAATATTCTGTGTTTGTCTTTGTACTTACTATTACTAGTGAGTTATGTACCTTCAGATAATTTGCTATTGATCATTAATATCCTCTTTCTTCATCTTGAAGAACTCCCTTTACTATTTCTCCTATGACAGGTCTGGTGTTGATGAAATCACTTAGATTTTATTTGGGTAAACCTTATTTTTAATTCATATTTTAATAATATTTTTGCTAAATATATTATTCTAGGATAAAAGTGTGTGTGTGTGTGTGTGTGTGTGTGTGTGTGTGTGTGTGTGTTTTCCTTCAGCACTTTAAATCTATCATGCCACTCTCTCCTGGCCTGTCAGCTTTCCACTGAGAAGTTTGCTGCCAGACATATTGTAGGTCCTCTGTATGTTTCTTTTCTCTTGCTGCTTTTAGTATTCTTTCTTTCTTTATCTTTGACTTTGGGGAGTGTGATTATTAAATGTCTTGAGGTAATCTTATTTGGATTAAATCTTCTTGGTGTTCTATAACCTTCTTGTACTTGAATATGGATACCTTCCTCTAGGTTTGGAAAGTTCTGTTATTATCCCTTTGAATACATTTTTCTCCCCTAATCTCTCTTTCTACCTCCTCTTTAAGGCCAATAACTCTAAGATTTATCGTTTAGAGGCTATTTTGTAGATCTTGAAACACGCTTCATTGCTTTTTGTTGCTGTTCCTTTTTGTTTTGTCTCCTCTGACTGTATATTTTCAAATAGTCTGCCTTTACGGTCACCAATTCTTTCTTCTGCATGATCAATTCTGCTATTGAGAGACTCTGATGCTTTCTTTAGTATGTCAATTTAATTTTTCAGCTCCAGAAATGCTTGATTTTAAAAAATTTGAATCTCTTCTTAAAATGTATCTGATAATATTCTGAATTCCTTCTCTGTGTTATTCAGAATTTCACTGAGCTTCCTCAAAACAGCCATTTTGAATTATCTATCAGAAAGATCACATATCTCTGTTTCTCCAGGATTGGTCCCTGGTGCCTTCTTTAGTTTATTTTGTGAGGTTGTTTTCCTGCATGATCTTCATCCTTATGGATGATCATTAATGTCAGGGAATTGATGATTTATGTATTCATTGTAGTCTTAAAAGTATTGGCTTTCTTGTGCCAGTCCTTCTTGGGAAGATTTTCCAAGTAATGAAAGGGAATTGAGTGTTGTGATGTAAATCTTTGGTCATTGCAGTCATATGTGCATGAAGGGGCACCCCAAGCTCACTAACACTGTGACTCTTATTGAACGGTAGAGGTAACACCTTGATGATCTTCGGTAAGGCATGGGAGAATTCCCTTTATTACCAGGCAAAGACTCTTGTTCTCTCACCTTACTTTCCCCCAAACCAATGGAGTCTGTCTCTTTCCATGCTGAGTTACCTGCAGCTGATGAAAGAATGATCCAAATACCCCTGTGGCCACCACCACTGGGACTGCACTGGGTCAGACCTGAAGGCAGCACATCACTGGGTCTCACCCAAGTCATATAATGACCACTGCCTGTCTACTACTTATGATCTCCCAAAACCCTAGTACTCTTCACTCAGAAGGTGTCAAATCCACCAGGCTGTGTACTTCCCTTCAGTACACAGTGAGGGAAGACCCCCACCAGCCGAAGACAGGGCCAGAAACGCTGACCAAGAGCCCAGGCCTGGAGTCAAAAACCTTAGAATTTTACTTGGTGCTCTACTCTACTGTGGCTGAGCTGGCACTCAAGTTGCAAGACAAAAGCCCTTTCCACTCTTTTCTATCTTGTCCTCATGCAGAAGGAGTCTCTCCCCGTAGCGACCACCAGTCCAGGCTTGCAACGAGTACTGCTTGGCTACCGCCAATGTTCAATCAAGGATCAAGGGCTCTTCAGTTAGTGTGTAGTGAATGCTGCCAGGCCTAGGTCTCTCCCTTCAAAGCACTGGACTTCTCTGAGACTCAGAGGACCAATTTTTTTTTTTTGCACAGCTTATTGAATAATACTTTGGTTGAGTATAGAAGTCTAGGTTCAAAATAATCATTTTAGAATTTTCATGTTACTAAATTATTATCTTAGATCCATGGTTATTGATGAGTTTGTTATCTAACAAATTTAATTCATTGCAGAGAAACTGAGATTATATGTTTCTCTGAAAGCTTCTACTGCAGAAAATTCAAATTATTAGTAGATGTTGACCGATTCTTTTACTTAAACATCTATTTATTCATTTATTTGTACTCATTCTACTCATCATAAAATGAGCCCGGTTCATCATGAATTATCTTTTCCCTAGCCATTACATTTCTTCTTATTTTATTACCTTCTAAGCATTATTTTCCTTGTTTTCTTTTTACAAAATTAGTGATATAAACACTGCCTGTGTCAGCTTTTCCTTTTATAGCCCTTTTTAATTTTTTATTTTAGTACATTAAATTTCCTCATTAAAATATTCTAGAAGTGTATAATTTTTTCTTTTAACAAGTGTAATAAAACATACAAACCCCCAAAACATAATATTTGACATTTACAATTCAAAATTAATTTAGCAGAATATTAAATATTAAATAAAAAACTGTCTTAAAATATTTATAAAGTTACTTGCAAATTTGTAGAATTGACAAAAGAAGGGCTCAAAAATGCAATAATTTTTCTTCATTCCTAAAAAGAAAATATGTCAACAGAAGCTGTGAAAGTTCTTGAGTTCACAAAGTTTTCAATTTCAATACCAAAGCCTCCTCTTTTCGTGCATATGAGAACTACATGTGATGACACATTCATACATGTGTTTTATATGGCCCACAGGCAAAATTAGGTTTATATTTTTAAATAATTTAAAAAAATCAAAAATGAAATAACTTTTTAAAAAAATAACTTTTTGTTTTTGATTAAAAAATCAATAAAGAAAGAACTGGTACACACTCATGCTTGTGTTACAACACGTGAGGCTGGGGCTGATGGTCACTGCTCCCCTCCCTCAGTGAACAGTGTAGCAACATTGACCTTTGGCCTCAACCAGCACAGTGTAGGGTTTTCTAGACTATTGTTGAGTGTTGATTAAAGACACTCACTTTCATTCAGACCCTTGGGACTTTTCAACAACTCAGCCTCTTCAGAACGCATAGCTTTAAATGTCACCTGACTCATTCTTCAGGAGTCACCTACACTTTGAAAATGACAGCCGGCCCTGTTCTGGTTGCACAGGACTCTCCCCTGGGAGAGTGGTCATGTCAACCAGGGAGATGTCTTTCCTCCCAACCTGGAAGCTCTCAGCATGTGATGTCATCAGTCATCAGGATGTAAAACGAACAAGGCATAAAATAAAACACTAGGATGCAGGAAGAGTGATAAGAAAATGACAGTTAGTGAGGAGGGTGCAATCCAGTTCCCATTTGTCAAGTGCCTGTACACAATACTGGGGAGTGGTTCAGCTTTTCTTTCAACTTTTCCAAACTTTTTTTCTCTCTCTGTCTCTCTTGCTCAGCGTGTAGCCTGGATGAATTTCTCAGCTCACACATTTGTTCTTAGTTGTCTATTCTGTTATTTAGCACTTCTTCTTCTTTTTTTTTTCAAACATTAAATTTTAACTTCCAAAATTTTAAATTAATTTTGCTTTGTGGGTACCATGATCTCATATTGCTTTACTAAAGTCTAATTTATATTTTATACTTGCATTGCATAGTTATCTCTATATTTTCTCAAATTCCCATGATGATAAATATCATCTTGATGTTTAGTACATGATGAGACAGTGAATTTCAATTTCTGGGTCAAGCTCTAAATTGTTTTCTTTATTTTTCTTTTTAATAATGGTTACAGGTGATTTATAATCAGGAAAGTTTAGAAAATATAGTAATATGGTTGGAATGTGCCCCACCCCAATCTCATCTTGAATTGTAACTCTCACAATTCCCACATTTTATGGGAGGAACCCTGTGGGAGGTAATTGAATTATGGAAGTGGGTCCTTCCTGGGCTGTTCTTATGATAGTCAATGAGTCTTACAAGATCTGATTTTAAAAATGGGAGTTTTTCTGCAGAAGCTCTCTTTTTGCCTGCTGCCATTCACATAGGATGTGACTTGTTCCTCCTCGACTTCTGCCATGATTGTGAGGCTACACAGCCACGTGGAACTGTAAGTCCAATTAACCATCTTTCTATTGTAAATTACGCAGTCTCAGGTATGTCTTTATCAGCAGTGTAAAAATGGACTAATACAGTAAATTGGTACCAGTAGAGTGGGATGCTGCTGAAAAGTTACCTGAAAATGTGGAAGCGACTTTGGAACTGGCTAACAGGCAGAGGTTGGAATAGTTTGGAGGGCTCAGAAGAAGAAAAAAAAAATGTAGGAAAGTTTGGAACTTCTTAGAGACTTGTTGAATGGCTTTGACCAAAAGTATGATAGCAATATGGACAATAAGGTCCAGGCTGAGGTGGTCTCAGATGGAGATGAAGAACTGTTGGGAACTGGAGCAAAGGTGACTCTTGTTATGTTTTAGCAAAGAGACTGGTGGCATTTTGCCCCTTTCCTAGAGATTTGTGGAACTTTGAACTTGAGAGAGATCATTTAGGGTATCTGGGTGAAGAAATTTGTAAGCAGTAAAGCATTCAAGAAGTGACCTATGTGCTGTTAAAGGCATTCAGTTTTATAAAGGAAGCAGACCATAAAAGTTCAGAAAATATGCAGCCTGACAATGTGATAGAAAACAAAAACCCATTTTCTGAGGAGAAATTGAAGTCCACTGCAAAAATTTGCAAAATTAACAAGAAGCCAAACATAAATCCCTAAGACAATGGGGAAAATGTCTCCGGGGCATGTCAGAGGTCTTCACGGCAGCCCCTCAAATCACAGGCCCAGAGGCCTAGGAGAAAATTATTTTCTGGGCCAGAGTCAGGGTCCCCATGCTGTGTGCAGTCAAGGGACTTGATGCCCTGCATCCCACGCAGTCTGGCTGTGACTAAAACGGACCAAGGTACAACTCAGACATTTGCTTCAGAAAGTGAAAGTCCCAAGCCTTGGCAGCCTCCATGTGATGTTGAGCCTGTGGGTGCACAGAAGTCAAGAATTGAGGTTTGGGAACCTCCGCCTAGATTTCAGAGGATTGATGGAAATGCCTGGATGTCCAGGCAAAAATTTGCTGTGATGGTGGGGCCTTCATGGGGAACCTCTGTTGTGGCAGTGCAGAAGGGAAATGTGAGGTCAAGACCCCTAACAGACTCCCTACTGGGGCACTGCCTAGTGGAACTGTGAGAAGAGGACCACTGTTCTCTAGTCCCCAGAATGGTAGATCCACCGACAGCTTGCACCGATCACCTGGAAAAACCACACACTCAACACCAGCCCATGAAAACATCCAGGAGGGAAGCTGTACCCTGCAAAGTCACAGGGGAAGAGCTGCCCAAGGCCATGGGAACCCACCACTTCCATCAGCCTAACCTGGATGTGAGACCCGGATTCAAAGGAGATAATTTTGGAGCTTTAATATTTGACTGCCCTGCTGGATTTTGGACTTGCATGGATCCTGTAACCCCTTTGTTTTGGCCGATTTCTCCCATTTGGAACAGCTATATTTATCAAATGCCTGTACCCCCATTGTATCTAGGAAGTAAGTAACTTGCTTTTGATTTTACAGCTCACAGGTGGAAGGGACTTGCCTTGTCTTGGATGAGACATTGGCCTGTGGACTTTTAAGTTAATGCTGAAATGAGTTAAGACTTTGGGGAACAGTTGGGAAGGCACGATTGGTTTTGAAATGTGAGGACATGAGATTTGGTAGGGGCCAGGGGTGGAATGATGTGGTTTGGCTGTGTCCCCACCCAAATCTCATCTTGAATTGTAACTCTCACAATTCCCACATGTTGTGGGAGGAACATGTTGGGAGGTGATTGAATTAAGGGGGTAGGTCTTTCCTGGACTGTTCCTTTTTGCCTCCTGCCATTCACATAAGAAGTAACTTGCTCCTTCTTGCCTTCCACCATGATTGTGAGGCTTCCCCAGCCATGTGGAACTGTAAGTCCAATTAAACCTCTTTCTTTTGTAAACTGTGCAGTCTCAGGTATGTCTTTATCAGTAGCATGAAAATGGACTATTACACATATTTTCATCTTTTAAGCCAAGGTTGGCATCTTCAGTCCCTAAATAGCCGGACAGCAAATGTATTGGCTTGGTGTCCATGCTGCCTATCTCACAATCACACAACTCTACCAATTTAGTGAAAAATAGCCTTAGCCAATACGTGAAATATGAGAAAGGCTTTATTTCAATACAAATTTATTTTTTGGCATTCATGTTGGAACTTTAAATAAATTTCACATCATAAAAAGTTATTTCTGTTTAAAATTTTTTCAACCATTTAGAAATATAAAATGAATATAGCCTGGTGCTACATAAAATAGGTTGTGGGCCAGATTTGATTCCAGGGGAATGGTTTGCTGACCTCAGCTCTAAGTCATAGTACTCAACCCTTATGTCATATTATAATCAGATGAGAAGTTTTAAAACATATAGCTGCTTGCTCCAACCAAGTACATCATTAACTTTTTAGGAGTGTGGTCAAGGTACTAACATGATTTTAAAATTTCCCAGGACAGCCATGATGTTGACAGTTGCCCGAGACGAGTGATGCATAAGTTAAGGTAATCTTATTGCTGCTTTCCAAACAATGACCCTATTACTCCTTTGGAGCCACTGTCTGTTCTTGTCCCTCATCTTTGGATTTCTCTAAATCAAGAAACTTCTGCATGATTTCCATTTGTATGAATTTTCTTGTATTTCATATTCTTTGATTTAATTATTTTTCTTTGTAAATTTCATCATAATACTTTCTATTTTTGAATAATTGTTCAAAGTTTTGGGTCCATTGGTGCTTTCTTGTTTTCCTTCATTATTTTTGATTTATTATTTTCTCTCATAAATATCTTGTCTGTTATTTCTTGAGATCTTAGGAGTAGGTGCTATAAACATTTGTGTTCAGTCTTCCTGTTTGAACCCATTTTCATTGCTTTATATAATATAAAAGGCAATAGTAAAAAAAGTAAATTAAATTGTAAAAGAAATGACTCTTTTACGTTTTTAGTGACCTACTTAGCTACTTATTCTTTTGCCTTTTGAAACTTAGTCAAAAATAATTCTTCTAATAAATATTTCATGTATACAACACAATAGAGATCAGAAAATGTTACAGGGAATATTTTTAGATACATATAATTATTAAAGAATACCCTAGAATTTTGAAAATGAAGTAATTTGAGAAGACAAGAATAGCTGCTTTCTGAAGTTTACTTTGGTCTCCTGTGGTAAATTACTTTGGAAGTGGAATTTTCTCGGACAACTCCCCTATTTTTCTCATGCTGCAACATATTTTTTAAGAGCATATGTAGATGAGAAGACTTTTATCGTGGGATTTGTCAGTGTAGAGTAAAGAGGATTCCCTCTCCTGATTTACAATATACATTTGGGTGCAGTTAGAATCTTGCATCTTAATCAGGCATCACCCCTAGGAAAGTCTTTTAGAAATGTATCTTGTAAATCATTTTTAATGGAGGTGAGGTTTTATTTTTTATTTTTCTTGCATTTCTTGGAACTCAATATGTGGATGGGGATGTTCTCTTAGAAGAAGTGCTCAGTTACATTTTCTTAGAAAAAGTGCTCAGTTTTATTTATAATAAAATGGGTACATGAAAACAAAGCCAAAATCAAACAACAGTAATGACAAAAACAAAAATGTAAAACATTGCCTCATTAGGTCTTCTTTTATCTTCCCTGTGATAGTATAAACAGTATCCTAAAATATTCCTGTGTGTTTGTTTCACTCCCTTTTCTCTTTCCCAAATATACACAATTAGAGCTACACATTTGGTTTGTGCATTAGGTATGGCTTTTTGCTTAACAATTTTTCTGGAATATATAAATGCAGGGCATGATATGCAAGGGTAGATGACAGCATGACTATCAACCTATTTTCTACTTTAGCCCTGCTGTTTGGTTTTATGAATCCATTCAATCTTTGATTAGTAGTAATGTCTCCATGGTTTTGGAAATTGTTGATTGATACCTGCTTTATCTTATGTAGTCATTTAGTATTACTTTGCATGATTTTATGAGTATTTCAAAGAGGAGATGGAAACAGAGAGGAAGTAAATAGTTGTTAGCTTTTTAGTGTTTCAACATGGCACAAGAATTATGTTTTATTTCTTAATGTCAAAGATGAGTCTTTCTAAGATCACCAACCACATGAAAAAAACTGCAGGCTTAATAATAAATGATTTCACAAATAATGCAAAGGGTTAGAAATTGTCCACACTTAAGATATACTGTATTTTAACAAAACAATATGATTCAATGGAACAGCCTATTACAGTAAAATTAGGCATAAACAGAGTTCTAAGTTTTCACCTGCAGTTTCCACAGAATGATCTATCATCATCTAAAACATTTTTTCAAATAAATGCTGTGGAATTCTAATATTGATAAGTTAGGTTATTTTGAGTCACACTATAAAATCTTCAAAGCAGCTACCGGTCTTATTCTGCGAATGGCAACGACCAATTCACTTAACCTTTCTAACACTTTTCTTATCTAAAAAATGAGGTTATTAACTTCTAGTAATCTTGCGATAAAATATGCTGGAAGAATGAAAAATAAACATTATGGCATACAATTCTTATTATATTTAGGGGTTACTGTAATGAACATAAATAATTTATTCTTAGCAGATGCTGACAGAATATATCAAGATGAAGGACATCTGGGGAATTGGCTTCCTATGTTCCTGCAGTTCTCAATGGAAAATATTTGCTGGTTAGTAACTTTCAGTCTGACATCCTAGCAACAAGGAGCTTTCCAGGGCTTTATTTTATTTATTTATTTATTTATTTATTTATTTAATTTATTCATTTATTTATTTTTTGAGGCTGAGTGCAGTGGCCCCATCACGGGTCACTGAACTTCCCCATCTGAGCTCAAGAGATCCTCCCACATCAGCCTCCTGAGTAGCTAGGATGACAGGCATACACTACCAGCCCCACTAATTATTTACTTTTTGTAGATGCGGTGTTTTGTCATATTGCCCAAGCTGGTCTTGAACTCCTGAGTTCAAGCTATCCACCTGCCTCAACCTCCCAAAATGCTGGGACAGGTGTGAGCCATCGTGCCCGGACTCAAAGGCTCTTATATTCCAAGGAAATTACTCAAAGTTTCCAGAAAGTCAAAAATTTTTTGAGCATGTGTTTTCTTCTTAATATAAAATCTGACTTACAGCTCCAATGTGCTCCTCTGCCACCAATGCTTTCCATTATTCTACATTGTGCACATTTTATATTAAGTGACTATGGATAAAATATTATTCTGTAGTCATGCCAAATCTTAAGACCTTGAAAATTCTAACGCTGGTTTTCCTGCCTATTCATAGCATGTAATAGTACTGATATTAATGGAAAATTTCGATATAATGTGTACAAATAGCTGAGCAAACTTCCTAGTATATCAGGAATACTTAATTATTAGTAGTAATTATTAGTGGTTTGATTTTCTTTTAAGTTCTCTTTTTGAATTTTTTTTCTGACTTTTCATTCTCATTTGTTTCTACTTTTATCCATTCTTCAAAATAGTCTTTCCTATGGAAAATTTTTTTAAAATTATACAAATTTATATGAATATTTCCTGGCACTATGTTAAAGGTCAAATTTATTTATTATTATCAGTGTAACCCTAGCTTAATTTACCAATATAAAATTATGGAAGATTGCTTTTAAGTGGGGAATGATTTCGTTTTTCCTGGATGTATTTCTTCCTTAAATAAAACTAATGTTATTTTATTAAGGAGTACATTGACAATACGTGTTTGAATATACAACTATATTCTCTGCTATAGTCTGCTTCTTCAATTACCCAAACATCTGTACATATCCTTCTTCTTATTATTAAAATAATGTACTCAGCCAGCCCTCAAATAATGCAAGCCAAAAATATCATCTAGTTTCTCTATCCAGTTCTATATTTCTGTGTGATGTATAGGCCCCGACATCAGCAACTATTTGGAGTTTTGAGACCTATAAATACTCTGGAAGGAACTGTCATGCTGTTCTCTCTGGACTCTGGCTCTGCTCTTTGAGAGCCTTTTCTCTGTCACCTTCCCTATGAAGTGGACAGTATTTCCTCCTCATAACTGTGGGGGTTTTCACAAATTTCTTCTTGTGGTTCAGTTTTAGAGGCATATATTTACTTTATAGGAAAACAATAATGAGCTTTAATCCATATTTTAGTATGAATATATTCATTCCTTTCTTTGAGAAAAATAGGTATAGGTCTTTTCATTATATTGACTGTAATAAACCCTGTTTTTAAAATAGCCTGCCTCAATTGTTTTCTCTCTGAAACTCTTGGTGTTGTTTGCTAGTGTATACTAAACTGGTTATGTGCTCAAGTCTCTTAATGAATTTTGTGTATTTTATATTTTATATACATGTGTATATTTTATATGAACCTGTATACTGTATGTATATATGTGTGTGTGTGTGTGTGTGTGTATATATATGTTTGTGCATGTGTGTATTCAGTTGGCCCTTCATATCGGTAGAGGATTGGTTCTAGAACCCCTGTGGATACCAAACTATGTAGATGCCCAAGACCCATATGTGAAATGGCATGGTACAGTTGGCCATCTATATCCACAGGTTTCAATCCACGGCTGGTTGAATACATAGGTGTGAAAACTGTGAATACAGAGAGTTGACTGCACAGTTTGTGTGTGTGTGTGTGTGTGTGTGTGTGTGTGTGGTATGTATAGACTGGTGCAATTTTTAAATAATATTGATGTCTACCTATGATTAAAATGTCTTATTTTGTTTGTTTGATATTCAATGAATATTAGCACAGTGCTAAAGTACCTATGGAATGAAAAGGTATTAAATTATCCACCAAACGACTAAAGCTATTAGTCCTTAAGTAACTTTTACAACACAAAAACAAGAGAGGAATATGATAAACTTCCTATAAGTAAAAGTAAGCAAGTGTCACATTACAACATTCTGAGTATATTTCAGAAAAACAGTTGGAAATAATTTTGCATTTTGAATTGTGAAGAGTTTTCCCCATCTAATTAAGGTGCTCAAATAAAGCAGAATAATGGAAAATGGAATTAATGGAGAACTTAAATAATTAACACTTTCATTCTAATTTATAGAATAATTAATCATGTTCATATGTCCCATCTTACACAAATTACAGGGTATTTAAAAAATTATAATTTCTTGCTAAAATGTGGAGACAATCAGTGTGAAAATATTTTGAAGAAATTCAGAAGTGAAAGACTATATTACTTCTACACATTATTAAATAATGTATAACAACACAGACACTAACTAGTTGGTGTAGCTGAGACAACTAGCTACACCCCACTGTGTTCATTCTGCATTGTTCATGTGTTCATCTGGTAAAAGTGCATTTCACAGCATTTCCTGTGACTAAGTGATGGCAAAAAAAATATTGGCCAGAGGTGATATGTGCAATTGTAGCACATATTTTTAAATAAAAGAAGTATGTCTTCTCCCTACTTTGATCCCCTTCTTGTTGAATGGAATATGGATCCAGTGTGAGCCATTCTGACCATGCAGATAAGAAAAGAACAAAAAGCCAAAAGGAAATGTATCCCTTCAATATTCACCTTATTTAATTTCAATTAATGCATATTTAATAAAAATAATTAAAATGTTGTGTAAAATAAGTTATTTACTTAATTTTCCCAATGAATGTATAGCAGAATTTTGATTAAGCTGGATAAGTTAAAGAACAATAGCCGACATATTTACCCAGTTATAAGAAAGGTGAAGAAAAAAACTTTATATTTACTTGCAATTTACAAAACTTCTTTTTAGAGAATTTATTAATGCAGAAGGATGGCTACCAGAGACTAGGAAGGGTAGTAGAGGAGTGAGGAGGGAATGGAAAATATTTTCAAACATTTTTATTCCACTATTTCCATAATTTGGCTAATGTGACAATATGATTATGCAATAGATTATGGATATGAAAAATAAGAAAAATGGAAATAAATATATACTGCTGGTTATGGACTCAAGAAGAAAAGTAAAATTTCATGAAACAAAAAGCACTTTTGATGAAATACTCTTCATACCTATTTTAAAGTCCCATCCTTGAAATTATTGGAATGATTTAATTCAGAGCTTTTTAATTTTGTTTTGGGTACAAGTGGAGTCATCAGACAGAAAATAATAAGACAACTTAGTTTTATTCAAAAAAATAAGAGATAGGAAAAATGCTATATAAAATAGTTGAAATCATTCTAGAATTAAGTATTCAATAGTAGACAAATTAAGGACATAAGCAGAAACAAAATTTGAAGCATATTTTAAACAGATAATTTGGGAGTACAAAACTTATTTACAAAACAATCTATTTTCAAGTATTTAAAAGCTACTACTATACCTGAATAGGTATCATTTCTTTAAAAATAATTATTATCTTTCACTTCATCAATCAGCCCAGACACAGGTTCTGTGGACCTCTGCAAGAGCCTGTTTTCCTCCCCAGAGAGAATGAGGAAGCTGTAATTTTTGTTCACTCATTCAGTGTTGAGCAAGGGTGAGGATCAATGTTGTCTACCAGCCAAAGCTGTCTCCTCTATTCTCCCACCAAGTAACTAGACTGTGCTAGACACAGCAGACCTCCAAGATTAAAAAGACAGAAATCAGTAATTTGGGGAACTCTCTTCAAAAATTTGGGGCACTGGATGCATTAACCAATCCCTTCCCTCCCCTTGATAAAGCTGGGAGCTAGGGAGTCTCTTGTTGAGTATATAGTGCTCTGCCCGGACAAGGTCTCTGACAACAGTGTCCTGAATTTTCCTAACGGCTTTGGTGAGTTTGGTTTAGCATTCAACTGGGGTGCAAGAGTATTTCAATGTTTCTCATTTATCAAAATGGAATTTGTCCATAAATTGTTGCTGAATTGGCATGTTTGTGGGGAGAAGGTGGGTCCAGAGCTTTCTATATTGTCCTCTTGCTGACACCAGGATACATATTCAAAACTTTACCCTAATGAAACAGAGTTATATGACTCACCTGAAAAGGATTTAAAATAATCCTCATAATGATGTTACCAAGGTTAAGAGAACAATGCATGAAAAAGGTAATAATTTCAACAAAAAAACAGAAAATATAAATAAAGCCCCAGACATAAATCATGGAGCACACAATAACTGAACTAAAAAAATTACCAGTGGGGTTCAACAGCAGATTAGATCAGACAGAAGAAAAGATCAGTATACTTGGAGACAGGTTACAAGAAATAATTTAGTCCGAGAAGTAAAAGGAAAAAAATGTTTAAAAGAACAAAGTAAGCTTGAGGGAATTATGGAACATCATCAAGTGGCCCAATATATACATTATGGAATTTATAGAAGGATAAGAAAAAGGAAAAAGACCAGATAGATTATTCAAAGAAATGATGGCTTCCACTTTCCAAGGCTAGAAAAGAAAATGGATATCTAAATCCAAGAAGCTCTAAGGATACTAAATAAGATAAGCCCAAAGAAATCTGCACTAAGAAACATTATAATCAAATTGTTAAAATTCAAAGACAAAGAATTTTAAAAGCAGCATGAGAAAATTGACTATCTACAAGAGAACACTGTCCCCCCTCAGCTCCCAATAAGACTGTAGTGTATTCTTTAAGCAGGAACTTTGCAGGCAAGAACGGAATAGGACATTATATTCAAAGTGGTGCAAGAAAAGAACTTCCAGTTAAGAGAATTATATCCAGCAAACCTGTTCTTCAAAAATGAAGAAGACTCTCTCAGACAAACAAAAGCTAAGGGAGTTGGTCACCACTAGACCTGCTTTATAAAAAATGTTTTAAGGGAATTCTTCAAGTTGAAATGAAAGGATGCTAATAGTAACACAACGGTATAAGAAAGTATAAAACTCAATAAAGGTAATTATATGAAGAAATATAGTACACCGTATTACCAAAATGGTTAGTAAGTCACTAAGTCACTTTTATTGTACAAGTCAAAAAATCAGAAGCATTAAAATGACTATAGCTACAAAATGTTAAACTGTATACAACCTGAATAGATGTAAATTGGGACAATAATAATACAAAGTGTCAGGCGAAAAAGTTGAGGGTGTACAGTTTTTGTAGCAATTGAACTTAAGTTGTTATCAGTAAAATGAATAGCCTCTAAAGGTTTACTTTACAACATTTTTAGAAATAATGTACTGTATACTTAAAAATTTGTCAGCAGATCTTATGTTGTGTTCTTACAACAATAAAGTTTTTAAAATTAAAAATCCAGAAACTGTATTAACCAAAGAATGTTGCTGCCATATATGCGTTAGACTCTTACTTCATAGTTGAGAAGCATTTAATTGTCATATATTCAATTGAGTAAATTTATTTTCATTGATTTAATAAATTTTCATACAGAATTTTTTCTGTAATTTATTCACTTCAGATGAATTAAAAATTAATATGAGAAGATATGTGACAGACTTTACAAACACTTGTGTGCAAAATTTCAAAAGATAGAAATATCAGAATCTAAAAATGGGATTAGTCTGGAAAAAAACTTAATAATTTATATTTTTGCCTGTAGGCATGCATCATGGTAGTATTTGTGAAATATAACTATATAAATTGATGTATTTTTCAATAAATAGAGGATAAAATATTTTCATAATAGAGCATTGTCTTTTTTGCCCGCATTCTTTTCTTTCTTAGTAATACATAAAATAATGATTATCTTGTAATCAAGATCATTTTGAAATACATAAAATATAGCACATCTTGAACTTGCTAATGATATTGGACTGATATTACATATCTGTGCTTATTCTTGTTCTGCATGATGTATCACTTATTTAGGATCTTCCAGAAATTTTATTTTACTTTTTATTTTATTTTATTTTACTTTTTGAGACAGAGTTTCACACTGTTGCTCAGGCTGGGGTGCAGTGGTGTGATCTCGGCTCACTACAAACTTCTTCCCTCGGGTTCAAGCGATTCTCCTGCCTCAGCTTCCCGAGTAGCTGAGATTACAGGCGCCCACTGCCACGCCAGGCTAATTTTTGTATTTTTAGTAGAGACGGGGTTTCTCCATGTTGGCAAGGCCAGTCTTGAATTCCTGACCTCAGGTGACCCGCCCGCCTCGGCCTCCCAAAGTGTTGGGATTACAGGTGTGAGCCACAGCGCTCGGCCCAGAAATTTTAAATTGATCTTTTTCATAAAAATATTTATTTTTCATTTATACAATGTAACTTTGCTTATATGTCTATTTAGTGCTGGATGTTGATTACATTACTCAAATCCTCTCGACTTAATTATTTTTCTCCACTAGATCCTTTAAATTCTAAAGATAAAATTATGTCATCCTTGCTTCCTCTTTTCGTGCATTTGCCTTACATCTATTATCTTAAATGAGTTTTCAATGTTTAGTAATTTGTTTTAAAATATATATTTTTATAAAATGCATAGAAAAGTTTATTTTAACCAAACTTTCAAATATATCTTTTAAAATAAATATTTATTTGCATTTAGTATGATTTAAATTATTTCACCTGCCGGGCGCGGTGGCTCACGCCTGTAATCCCAGCACTTTGGGAGGCCGAGGCGGGCACATCACGAGGTCACGAGATCAACACCATCCTGGCTAACAAGGTGAAACCCCGTCTCTACTAAAAATACAAAAAAATTAGCCCAGGCATGGCAGCGTGCGCCTGTAGTCCCAGCTACTCGGGAGGCTGCCGCGGGAGAATGGCGTGGATGCGGGAGAATGGCGTGAACCCGGGAGGCGGAGCTTGCAGTGAGCCGCAGCCTGGGCGAAAGAGGGAGAATCCGTCTCAAAAAAAAAAAAAAAAAATTCTTTCACCTTAGTTATTTTTCTGTGTTTTGACAGCTTTATTAAAGTATGACTGATATAAAATAAGACTGCACACAGGGAACATATACTGTTTGATATTAGTTTGGATATATGCGTATACCCATGATGTCATCACTACAATCAAGGTAATAAGAATATCACCCTCAAAAGTTTTCTTGTGCCCCTTTGCTTTCTGAGTGTGTATGTAAGGAATAATTAATATGAGATCTACCATATTAACTTCATATCCATTAAACAACTCTGATGATTTTTCTCTTCCCAGTCTCTCACAACCACTGTTCTATTTTCGGCTTCTATAAATTTGACTATTTCATATACCTCATATAAGTGAAATCTTACAGTATTTGGCCTTCTGTGACTGGCTTTTTTCACTTAGTATAACGTTCTCCAAGTCCGCTGTGTTGTTTCTAATGATAGAATTTCCATCTTTTTCAGGCTGAGTAATATTCTATTGTAAGCATTTGTATTTTTGTTTTTGCTGCGTGTGTTTTTGTGTGTGTCATATCCAGGAAATGATTATAAAGATCTCTGTTATGAAGCCTTCTTCTTGTGTGTTTTGTTGTTGTTGTTGTTTTTATTTTGGAGCTTGACAGTTTCAGGTCTTCCATTTAAATTTTTAAACAATTTTGAGTTGATTTTGTTGGTGCTGTTTAAGGTGCAAGAAGAGGGTCCAATTTCATATTTTTCCACGTGGACATCTAGTTTTCCCATTACCATTTGTTGAAGAGACTATTCTTTCCCCGTTGTATATTTTTGGCACCTTTGTTGAAGATTGGCTGACCATATATCTATGAGTCTGTTGCTGGGGCTCTCTCTTCTGTTCCTTTGGCCAATGTGTCTGTCCTTATGTCAGTATCATACTCTTAATTATTATAGCCTTGAAATACCCCTTCAAATCAGAAAGTCTGATCCCTCCACTTTGCTCTTCTTTCTCAAGATGACTTTGGCTATTCTGGGTCTTTTGTTGCATATAAATTTTAGATTAAAAAATTCTGTAAGAAATCCCATTGTAATTTTTATTTTTAATATTATTTTTAAATAGTTGCATTCTCTTTTGCCTTTTGCTTATTTTTTGCTGGTTTTATTTTTATTCTTATTCACCTTACCCCAGTTAATTTGGAAGTTTGTTTAACCCTTTCTATTTGTCAATTTTTTATACTCCCCATTCCACGCATCAATTGATGTGTTTCTACCATATATAAATTTTTCAAATCTATCCTATAACCAATACACTCCATTTTTTTCATGCATCCCCTTCCCAGAATGTGCCATTATATAGACCTTTAGTCAATCAATCCCTGATGATAGAAAACCTTTATAATGCTTTTGCTTTTTTTTCCCCTCAATCTAACACTCAGGTCCTAGATTTTGCCGATATAGTTTGGTAATTTTACTTACAGGCTATTATCAGATTTCTTTTTCTTGCAACTTGACTCTTTTAGTTTTACTTTCAAATAGCAATTAAACCCTTCAATCAAGGAAAAGTAGATATCTATTATTTCGTTATTTACTTTTCTTGCTCTATTCCTTAAAGAATGTTTCTGAGCTCTGAGATCTCTACTGGTACAAGCATAAAAGATTTGTTATCTTTGTTCACCTTGTAGATACACAATCTGTTCTCCAGGATCAGGAAATTCTTATAGATTTCCTTAGCTGAAGACCCCAAATGGCAAGGTGCTGCCCTGCTCCTACAATGTGAAATGCTTTCTGAAGACCCACGTTTTCCTAGCATTAGAGTACTAATGTTACTAATTGTGTACTAATTATTAGTACTAATGTATGAATCAGTTTAGGTTTCATACCTCTTTTACTACCCCAAACCTTGGCTCATAGAAGAACAAATTCCTTTCTATATGGGCTTGTCTACAGACCATTACTTGCCCATTTACCAGCTCTACCTTCTTTCATTGACACACTTATTTTTTTATTATCAAAAGGAGAAATACATTAGGGAGAGTGTAAATAAACTGTGGAACTCAATAAGCAATAATGAGGTTAACAAAATTCCATTACAGGATACTATTTAATGTTAGAAAATGTGTCTTATTGAACATCTGTAGTCTCTGTTGACCAAAACACAACTAGACACAGAAGTTTTTGAGGGAAAATTTTGAAATATCTATAAAAATATTTAGCCTTTCACCATGAAAATGTTAATTTTACAGTCAAAAATTATATCAAAACATCAACACAGTGAAAGGAGATCCTGATAGCTGGTCAAGTTAAAAAAATATTTGTGACTCTCATAGATGCAAAATAAAAATTATATAGACTCTTCAAATATCTTCACCTACTTTTTACTTTCCCCTGGAATAATACATATTTTCTGAATCATACTTCACTGTTATGTGTAATTTGGATTAAAAATTATAATTTTATATTTCCAGGTGCTATTATTAAAAATTTTATAAATTAGCTTCTGTGAAATTAAAATGAACCTTCTTTTATTGATTATATTTTTGATTATTGGTATCTCAATGAAATGATTATGTACCCTTCATTATACCTATGACTTACCAATATTAATACTGATAACTCTGTTAAAACTGTCTTAGCCTGGATAATATTGCATGAAAATGTAAGGCAGGTATGCAGATTTTATTCAAAATGAACCAGGGAACATCAGATTCTACGTAATTAATGGCTACATGAGTTATTTTTAAGATTATATAGTGTGAAATTCTACCAGAATGTACCAAACCACTTATATGTGCACATGAAGATGAATAAATATAACATTTCTATTTTACTTTCTACAAATAATTTTGGCATATTCATCTTAAATAATACATTATATATGACAATTCATAAGTGCATATATTGAACTTCAAATTCAATATAAAATGTCAATTTTCAATATTGCCATTGCAGGTCATTCTAAATTTATAGCGTTAGGAATAAGTCCACACAATCAATGCCGTTCTATTGAATTTCTGCAACCTAAATATATTTTAAAAAACAATAGATCAAAGGTAGCAATACTTCCCCTACTTTGTCAGAGTAGAGAGTGGTACACTATAAAGGTCTAAATTATATGGCTTATGGGAGATGACAGGACACAGTATATTTCATTTTTCTTTCCTTTTAAAAATATGCATTTATAACATTTTTAGTCATCACACTGCTATAACAATATAGATTGGGTAATTTATAAACAACAAAAAATAATTGCTCACAGTCCTAGTAGATGGAAAACTGAAGTTCAAGGTGTCAGCAGGTTTGATGTCTAACAAGGGCTCACTCTCTGCTTCATAGATGTCTCCTTGTGGCTGTGTTCTTATATGAGGGAAGAAGCAACTTCTTTAATAATCGCTCCCATGATACATTTTCATAATAAATTCCCAAAGACTCTATGTCTTAATATTATCTCATTGGGTATTAAATTCAAAAATATGAATTTTAATGAGACACCTTATTCAGACCATAGCAATCTTGAAATGTAAATATTATAAAATTCAGGAGGTTACATATAAATTATATTTTAGAATGTAATTATATATTTGTGACTCCAAATGGGAGTGTTGATAGCAAGGTGGCTGGGGATTTGCAGCTGATATAAAGCAATTAATTCTTTTATGATTAATATTATTCTCAATAAAATCAAGACTTGTTTCTTGCTTTCATTGTGCATAAAAAGTAGGCAGTGATGAATCACATGAATGTCTTCTTGATTTATTTATATTACCAGTTAGTGTATCTGGTCAGTGGTGCCATATGACCTTTTCACAACCTAAATGTTCTCTTTTCTAAAGGACTAAGCCAAATGGGTGAGTGATTGTCTATTACTCTGAAACCAAGCGTCTGGGAAATAATGGAAACTTCTGAGGCTGTATCAGAGACTGAAGTCAAGCGGTTGATTCTACAGAACTTTGTCCTACTTCACTCAGGGGTCTCCCAGGCGACTGCTGCTTCTTTACACATACACTATCTTGCTTTGGCTACTCAGCAGAATTGAAGTCACTGCCTTGACAGGCTGGAACTAGATTTCCTCACTACCTGCATACTCTGCAAATGACATTTTTCATGAAATAGATTCCCTTCTCAGTGATTTGGGTCCTGGACTCCTGGGAGCTGCTATTCATAGAAGATTGAGCAAAAGCCTTTTTCAAATGCATTAGCACACATTTTCTTTCAAAATAGAAAGATGCTTAGAAATGTTACAATAATTAAAATTTAATTGTGTAACGAAAGGTGGTAACTATCTTTTTAATTAAACAGATTTGATTAGGTACCACCATAGGAAATTAATTGTTATAGTTACTGAGATACAAAAAAGAAAAAAAAACGGAATAAAAGAAAGAATATTTCTCTTGTGAAATATATTTGTGTTCAAGTGATTGTTTCTTCACTTACTGTTTGTGTAGATTTAGGTAAGTGGTTTAAAGTTTTTGACTCTTAATTGCTCATTTGCAAAATGCAGATAGTAACATGTATATTCAGGGATGTTATGAGAAAATGAGTGTATGTAAAATATCCAACAGAAATCTAGCTGCGTATTTCAGATGAACCCTGCAGAGCGTAATAATGTTCTACCAATGAGGTATACTTCCCAAGGTGTAAACAGAAGTCTTATTGGGAGCAACAAAGCAGGGTATGTACACTGACCATGGGATTCCTTATGGACACTGTTAGCTCCCAACACGAGAAACAGACATGCGGTTGAATAAGAAAACAGATAACACACTCTTGCAAAGGTTAAGAAAGTGAGAGTTACTGAATTGTGTCCTCATTATCTGGCAGAGAGTAGAGCTCAATGGTAGAGCATTTGACTGCAAAGTTTCTAACATTTATAAATCAGTGAGCAGGGAATCTGAAGTCAATTCTTAGAGCACTTAATCATGTTTAATTTGGGGATGGAGGGAGAATATCTACCAGCCTGGAACACTGTTATCATTCTTCTCAAAAGTGTATCTACAGCAAGGCCCAGGAAGAACTCATTGTATTTAACGGTAAGTAATAATGAGAAAAAAAATTAGCAGAGAATCTAAACACAGATAGAAACAAACAAATAATATTTTAAAACATTTCTTAAATGATACCAGGTAAACTTAAAGAAAAGGTTCACTGTGTCCTTAGGAATTCTCACTATTATAAAGATTCAAGGACGTACTGAATGGTACAACAATTGATCAACTCTTTAGGACATAGGACACATCAAAGATTCTGAAAACTACAATTTGTTCAGATAGATCATTTTGCAACAGCTCTAAGAAAAAAAAAACTCTCCAAAGAGATGAAAACGATAACCAACCAAACAAAAACACTCTATCTTACAAGTTTGTTCGCATAATATAGTGGCTAATCTATGGATTTAGCTTAGTAAGAATGAAAACACCCCAGGATTTCTTGGACTTTGAAATAAGATTTTAATTTTCCTGTGTAAAAAAATACATTTGTAATATTAGCAAAGAATGTACTAAAAGGAGACCATATATCAGCATCCTTGAAAATGTTTTATATACAATTTAGTTTAAAAATGCAGTATTGTTAAATAAATAGAGTTCAATGTAAAACAGAGTCTACAAATATACTCAAGTTGGTATATGTTAGTGGTATTGCTGCTAATCAGTGGGGGGAAAGAAGAATTGTTTAATAAATGTTGTTTGTAGAATTGGCCTTTCTGAAAAGAATGCAAATTTAGGAACCATGAATGAAAAATGTGTAAATTTACCTAATATTATTAAGAAGTTATTATATGACAGGCCAGGCACAGTGGCTCATGCCTATAATCCCTGAACTTTGGGAGGCTGAGGTGGGTGGATGACCTGAGGTCAGGAGTTTGAGACCAGCCTGGGCAACATGGTGAAACCCCATCTCTACTAAAAATACAAAAATTAGCCAGGTGTGGTGGTGCACTCTTGTAATCCCAGCTACTCGGGAGGCTGAGGCAGGAGAATCACTTGAACCCGGAAGGTGGAGGTTGCAGTGAGTGAAGATTGCACCACTGCACTCCAGCCTGGGCGGCAGAGTGAGACTCTGTCTCAAAAAGAAATTATTATATGATAAATTATATGAATGATATACAAAAATACCAAGGAAATTGGAAAAATTTTGCAATGTATATAACAAAAGTATACATTCTTGTAACAGGTCTTATGAATCATTAGGAAAAACAGGCCAAGAGGAATAGCCAAAGAATAGAAACAGCAAAGACACAATAAAATAAGTATAGATGGTCCTTAAACATTTGAAAAGAAGTATAAATCCATTCAAAATAATGTAAATGCTAACGAAAAAGGAATTAGAGAACTGTTTTTCTATGAATAGGATTGGCAAAGATAAATAAGTTAATGATACTTTTACTAAAGTTTTGTGTATAGAAACATTGTTACTGGGAGCAGTATGGTAATGTTTATCAAAATTTAAAAATGTATGCACTCTTTGATACGATAATTCCATTTGTGGTAATTTATTCCACAATTTTACCCACTTACATATACAAAGAAATATATACAAAGCTATTCATTATTTTTAATACTAAAAAGTGTATGTGTGTGTATCTCCAGGTAAGTAGGTGTATTTCAGCAGTCACATGAGATACTTTGCAGTTATAAAAAGAATGATGAGTCCTTGGAATGCTATGAAAATATCTCTGAAATATACTCACAAATAAAAGAACATAGAACAAAACAAACAAAAGTACACAAAACATGCTGACAGTGGAAAGAAAAAAATATGGTTGCATACCCTTAAAGTATATCTGGAAACAAATCAAAGAAATGGTTAACCATGGTTATCTCTGGGGAAAATTGTTGGCTATGGAATTTGATGGAAGGCTTTTATTTCATCTGCATTACCTAAAGTAGTTTAAGCAGCTTTATAAACAAATATTTTACCTAGAGGAAAATTTAAGTACTGAAAGTTATTTCCAATAACTAAAAATAATATATTTTTAATATACCTTAAGAAAACTCATTTCCCGATATCATAGTAGAATATCACACTGTTGCAAAATGTAAATGTAACCTACATTATGTAAATGTAAATTAGTCCAGCCACTGTAGAGAGCAGTTGGAGATTCCTCAAAGAACTGAGTTGAACTATCATTTGACCCAGCAATCCCATTACTGAGTATATACCCAAAGGAAAATAAATAGTTCTACCATAAGGATACACAGCCCATATGTTCATCAGTATGCTATTCACAGCAAAGACATGGATTCAACTTAGGTGCCCATAAAAAGTGGATTGAATAAAGAAAATGTGGTACATGTATCCCATGGAATACTATGCAGCCATAAACAATGAAATCATGTTCTTTGCAGCAACATGGATGCAGCTGGAGGCCATTATCTTAAGCAAATTAGAACAGGAGCAGAAGACCAAATATCCCATATTCTCACTTATAAGTGGGAGGTAAACATGAGGTACACATGGACGTAAAGATGGGAACACTAGACATTGAGGACTACCGGGGGCAAGAGAGGGAAAGAGAAAGGGCTGAAAAACTACCTATTGGATACTATACACCCTACCTGGGTGACAGGTTAAATGATATCCCAAACTTCAGCATTGTGCAACATACCTTTGTAACAAATCTGTATATCTACCTCCTTATTCTAAAATGAAAGTAAAAGTAAAAACAAACAAAAAAAAACATTTAAACATATATGCAAGGTAATAAAAAAAGCACATCATAATGTGTTTTTCCAGCACTCACATATTTTCAATCATTTCATTAGTTAATGTGATTTCCTCAATGATATATTGTTGAGTTGCCAATTACCCAGGTGGTCAATTAAGAAAATGAGACAAACTGAAAATAAAAGCCAAGGTTTATTTACATACTGAGAAAGGGCAAACAAAAGAACCAAAAAGACAGGTGCTGCTGGTTCTCTTATTTTTATTTTTTGCCTAGGGAACTTCCAGGTGAGGATTAGAGGACATCCAACACAACACAGACGGGAAAATTGTCTCACTGCTGCAGCGCCACGAACTAACTAAAGGTGGCTCTTGCCTTCTTATGGAGATTGGAGGTCAGGGGAAAGGGAGGGGAAAGGGCTAGGATTGAAAAAAATACTGGGTTGGAGTAAAGTACCTTTGCCAATCTTTCTAATAAAGAGGACTTCATAGAGGCACCTGGGTTAGTAATGCTGATATATGTAAGTGCATGACCGTCCTTGGATAGGGGAAGCTGAGTCCTCAGGTGCAACTTTCTCCAGAAAACTGCAATGGACTGGCTGTGCACCAAATTTGTGTATGGAGGACAGATTTCCTTAAATAGTCTTGCCACCCAACGTCTTGAAATTATCAACGGTTGGGCCTGAGAGATCACACATAGGATTGTGATTTGGAGCCTGACTCCTCATGTATATACTGGCTTAAAATAAAGGTGAAGACTATGATACCAGCGTTCATGTGACATACTTATAAATGTTTTTAAAAGTTTCGTATTTTTGAAAGTTTTTACATCCTATTGATGTAGTCTTAAAAGAGTATTTTTTTCATAAATTATTTTAAAACATTATTATCTTCAGAATACTAGGTCCCCTCTCTCAGGACAGTTATGCTGGCATTACGCAGGTATAAAGTTACCTTTGGGTTTATTAACCTGAAGGTCCAAAGTAACAAGATTTTTTAGAGTATCACAGATACATTTAATTTGGCAGGCTTCTTTAGAGTGAGTGAAGTATATTTAAAATATTTAAAATGATGGGAATTCAGTTTTTCAGTATTTAAATATCTGTACAATGTTAATATTTAAATTAATTTACAATTTCATTGGGATCCTTGAAATGGAACAACCATCTGGAAGATATGTTGGAAACCATAATTGAAAACTTTCACTCAACTTGGTTCATTCAATTGACCTAGAAACAAATTTTGACAAGAGCCACTGATGGTTGATGGCCACCTTCACCCTTGATTCCACACTTTTAGAGTGCTAGAATCTACACAGAACACCTAGTTCAAATAAGTTGTTAGCTGAAATACAGGATTCAGATTTTTTGATACGTTTCTGCCCTTTGTGTAAGGAGGACATTTTCTCTATAATGAGTGATCAAAGGTAAAAGAGCACAGGTAAATAAGGCTGGGAATTGGTGAATCTTTCTGTGTACTCACATTATAGCTTTGGTTTTTAGTTGTCTGTAACAACTGAAATGAACAAAACAACAAAATAAAAAGGAAGGCTATATTTAGGCAGTGTATTAGTTCATTCTCACACTGCTATAAAGAAATACCTGAGACTGGGTAGTTTACTTAAAAAAAAAAAAAAAAAAAAAGAGTTTTAATTGGCTCACATTTCCACAGGCTGTACAGGAAGCATGATGCTGGGATCTTTTCTTCTGGGGAGGCCATAGGAAACTTTAAATCATGGCAGAAGGTGAAGGAGAAGCTGGCACTTAGCAAGTTTGGAGCAGGGGGAAGAAGGAGGGGAGGTGCTACACACTTTTAAACAACCAGATCTCTTGAGAACTCACTCATTGTGATTAGAACAGCACCCAGAGGGATGGTGTTCAACCATTAGAAAACATGCCCATGATCCAATCACCTCCCACCAGGCCCCACCTCCATCACTGGGGATTACAATTCAACATGAGATTTGGGTGGGCACACAGATCCAAACCTTCATCAGGCAGCAATTTTAACACTTAAGTGAGGCAAAGTAGGGAAGAAATTTCAAAGGCCGAGTTTTACGTGGTCTTATCAAGATCCCAATACTCTGCCCAAGGTTTACTAACCCTCTAGAGTAACAATGTACCAATTTCTCTATAGTTAGGAGACAGTGGGAAAAGTTTCTGTTGCAGAGCTTCTGAAAGCAGGTGATTTACTAACATTTAAGTTATATTATCTGGCTTTGTGATAATAGATAGTAAATTGGTTTCAAATCATTATGAAATTGGTTTTAAATCATTGTGAAATTGGTTTTATGAGTGACAATCTGTTGTGAGTTCCTTGTGTGATAAATATCACAGTGGTAAAATCAAATACTGATATATATAAGGCTTACCCACATAGTCCGTTAGGAGAGCATAATTGACACTGAGCATTTGTACTATCCACCCCTTTACTCTAAAATTCATATACATATTGATTGGTGGGATGGGGTATGAAATCAATAGTCATGATCAGAAGTGTTTAGGCATCAGTTAATAATGAACAGTAACTTGGGTCTAAATGATTTAACCCCAAGGTTTCCCCTTTGAAGTAGTAAATGAGCTGCTCTTGATCTTAGTTGACATTAAACGCATCATCAGGCCTCTCTAGGAAGGCAGCAGGTTTCTATCCTGAGCCCACATGAAAGATATTAAATGATAATTGGTGCAGGAGATAGTACCACCTTCACCATCTCATGGTGATAACAGATAAGGACAATTTCAGTTGTATTAAAAATATTTTAATCATCTTACCTTTTCTCTTCCTCTTTTTCTTTGAACTACTCCCTCAGAGAGGAGAATGTGTGGATAAGATACAAAAAATATCTGCTATTACAGTAAGTCAATTTTAGGAATCAGCTTTAAATAACTTTTTAAAAAATTCTGGTTGAAAATATCAATAAGTTTTTAAAAAAATCCTGTTCATATCATTTCAAACCTGTTCCCCTGTTTCATTTCCCTCTTATCATAAAACTATATTATTTTTCAGACTTTTGATCATCACAATACTCTGCCTACCTTTAATTGCTTCTTTCTAATCTTTATTTATATTTACCTGGCACACACAATTGCCTTCATTTATAAATTTTCCCTGTTCCTTTTATTGCTCTCAGTACTATCTCATTCAGAAACACTAACTAAATATTGTATTTTAAATATAGTATTACAAATGTTATCCAAGTCACTCAAATACATATTTTGACATATAAAATGATTTTCCCCATTCATGGCAATTCATGGTATTTTCCCACATGCCTTCATGTTGCCTTATACTCATGACCCAAGCATTCCTGATTCATGAGTTTGGAAGGGGGATATAAAAACAGGCATGAATAGCTTGGCCGCTATATATTTTCCTAATTCTGAAACTGGTTTACCTGAAGAGAGCTTGTGGTCCCTTTCATTATTAGTCTACCAGAAGCATGTCCCTATCTCTGTGGGACAGGCCTGAGGATTGCCACCTGGGCTTGTGAATCTGTGGGAATATCAGTTTAATTGAAGTTCAGCAATTGGAAAGAATTTGTCCCATAGAAAAAAATCGCTTCTCTATTATCTCTCAGTTGATATTTGTCCTCCATTTTTAAATTTTTAAATTTACTTAAGAACTTGGGGAGAGAAAAATGGTGCTACTTATTAGATCCCTACAAACCTCCAAATATATAAATAATAATTGTGGAGGAAAAAAAGAACATATATTTTTAGTATCTTTTTTTGTGACAAGGCATTGAAATAGGTATTCTATATGCATTAGAATATTTAATTCTAAAAATGACATGAGATTTATTTATTATCTATATTTTAATGATGAGGATACAGAGAACTTAAGTAATTTGCCAACACAGGAAGAAATAGGAAGAACCAGGGTCCAAGCGGGAAGCCATCTCTGAGTGATACAACAGACCATGCTATTCCAACTTCATCTTCTCTAAGGATTTACTTATATTTCTGTTTTGAATCTTTCATAGTGAGTAGTTTTCTATATTGTTTATATAAACTTACAGTGTCTCACTCATTGTAACTCTAAACTTATATTCATGTAGCATTGTCATTAATTGATATTCTTTTCTCATAGACATCTGTATTTCCCTGAAATTTGTAAATTAATGTTATTTAAGTTGTCAACAGCCAATCTAAGTACAAAAACCTAACTTTTCAAGTAAAAATGGAATAAGTTGCAGAAAGAAAGTAATAATTGAAAGCCAAATCTCCATAATGCATACATCGAGAAGATTCTGGGATCTGAGCTACAATAATGTTTATAGACCTCCTCTCAAGGTAACTTTCAATAACAAGACTTAGATTCAAGTACTCTTATATTTTGTTTCTCTTTTGCAAGTTTTAAATTTCTAGGACACAGCATATAATTAACCAACCCTGAGTCACGCATTTGACCCTTGATCCATAGGTCACGGGAAACAAAATCATTTGTGCAGACTTAGCCACTGCATGTCCATCATACGTACTGGGGGCCATATCCAGATAAGGATCATTTCACTACAATTCAAGTAGGCACTTCAAGAAGGGACTAGTACAACCTGTATTGAATAAAACACCTTTGAGAGGTACAATCCAGTTATTACTTCAGACACATATAACTTTTAAAACTTCATTCTTTACTTAAATATCCATTGGTATGAGCAAACAGTGCTAGTTTGAAAATAAATTCAACGTATGATACAAAAGATGCATTGTTATAATTTTGTAAAGGCAGAGTAAAGTTCCTACATTTATGGAACCAAGTTTGATTGTTTATTTGAGTCTTTAGAGAGGTGTATTTTCTACATTTCATTTTCCTCTTAAATATTCATTGTGGCTTCAATGTTACACTAAGAATGGTATTATAAGTTATGAAAAAGTCATTATCAAAGACAATACACATAAGAAACCAAAGCAATCTGACCAGCAGCTACAGATTTGTTGTATTTTATTGCCCAGTCATACTTTTTATGATGTGGTAAGAAATATACCTTAGGGTACTCCACAAAAAAAAGAACTAGGCGTGTTATTAGTCAAGAAAGTATACAATGATATGACAATATTTTCTTTCTATATCATGTAAATTCTATCCTGTTTATCATCTAGACCAACATCCCACATCCCATATTGGCCATCTGGGTAAAGTCAAAGACATTATGTAAATTATTGACAGAACCTTTATTAC
Source organism: Homo sapiens (assembly GCF_000001405.40). Lineage (NCBI taxonomy): Eukaryota > Metazoa > Chordata > Mammalia > Primates > Hominidae > Homo > Homo sapiens. Next base: position 41,162,405 of record NC_000014.9, on the reverse strand, counting down.
CTACAGAATATATGCTTTCCTTGAAGGATATTTTGTATTCTTTATCTTATGCCATGTTTTTCATCTTGCTGACAAGTATTGCATTAAGGAAGAATGAAGTGTGATGATATGAAATTCTTTATCTATTTTAAGTCATTATTTGGAAATATAGGCAAAAATTTTAAAACCACACATGAAAATTTCTGGAATGCCAAATAATTTTTTCTACCTGGCACAGAATATTTTCATTATTACTATTGTCTCTCCCTACTCAGCTCTTTTATAATAGGGAATTACTGAAAATTTAGCTATTTCCCTAGGTACTTATGCTTTATTTATTTATTTTATTCCATAGGCATTTATATAGCATTTACTAGGTTGCCAGGTGCTATTCTTAGGGCTTCTTGGGTATGAAGATAATAATTATATCTATTCTGCAGGTGAGGAAACAAACAAAGAGAGAGCTTCATTGATTTGCCCAGTCGCCAAAATAGCACAGACATTTATTTAGATGTATAAAATACAAATTAAAGTAGAATTTAATATAGTTTAATATAAGTTAACAATATTATAATCATATTCATAATTTAACAATAGGCCTAGAAGAGGAAATTAAGTGTAATGAGGGTTCAACAATTTTTTTCTATTAATTTACATTTATTTCTCTGTAGGTGAATTATTTTGTTAACCTAAATAAAACTTTAGCATTGTAGTAAATTGTTTCTCTTTGTGAAATATTCCATTAAATATAAGTTGATATATCATGTGTTAAAATGGTACTAAATTTTTAATACAAAAAGAGCAAAATATTTATTTTTATGATAATAAATACAATTCCCCTACTTCTTGTAATAGGAAAAGAATACTGCCTTTAGCATGTGTCATTGAGAAATGTAAATATTACATATTTAAATGTTACTATAATTCAAAACTCTTTTGTTACATCTCTAATGACCGTAAATTTACCATTTCTTCCCATATCTTGTGTCTACTTGTTTTTAATAATATAAGCAAATATACACATAGATATAATTTCGTTCTTTTTAAATTTTTCTATCTAAACTCGTTCAGCAGTGTTTATTTCCAAAATTTCCTTTGTGCTTAAGAGACAAGAAATATAATGTATTTAAAATACTCTCTATTCAGAATTGTATTACTAAGAAAGTGAATTTATATTTCTTTAGAGTACCATAAAACTTCTGAACTTATGTTATTCACAAAATTTGTCCAAACCGGAGAAAATGTGCTTGTGTGCTTTTAGTATCTGAAGTCTTTTCATTATTAGTCTATCTTAAATCCTTTAAAAAACAATAGAATAAAGCTTTAGCCATCCCTTTAACATGGATAAGGGCATTATATTATGGAAAACCTGCCCTTCTTCCTATGCTATTGTCAGAATGATGTACTCTTAAAATTTCCAGTGCTTTTTTGAATTAAACTTTACCTCTGAATCTGTTTTCTCCTCTTCTAATCACTAGAATTCACTATCAATAATATGAAAAAAATCAGTTTCAATACTACAATTAATAATCTACTAAAGCCTAATAGATGTCAAAGTTTTTTTTTATTTTCCTTTTTGAAAGACACATTGAAATCTCAAATTAAATAAAGCCAGCATAATTTACCAGCAGAAACGCTAAATTTTAATTTTGCCAAGGGGTAGCTTTAGGGCATCATTTAATCCAATAACTTGCCATCTAAACAGCTATCAAATCAAAGCCTATTAGTTAATAGTAGGGCACTAAAGGTTTGAAAAGTTTCCTAAAACACCCATGAGGTGAAGATTAATGACTATTTTATTCAAATGAATATGAATAAGATTTACCTTTTTTTAGTGTCTATGTGACCAGAACATCAAGTTCTACTGATTCATTTACTCTGTAGTTTATTCCTGTATGACAATGTTATAGTGAGAAAATAAAGTTAAGAAATTTTTTAAAGAGAGCACTAAACTGCACTTGAGATCCTATGACATTTCAAGATACAGAAATTTCTAACCAGGACTTGTTATGTAAATGTATTCAATATGTAAATCACTGATATAAGGCGTATGTATACTATTGGTTTAACATGACACACTAAAATCAGCTATTTATTGATGTTAAGATACAATTTTTTGTATTCATATTTGATGTTCATCTATTTTTCTTTTCTATCTTTTTTTTTATACTTAAAGTTCTAGGGTACATGTGCACAACCTGCAGGTTTGTTACATATGTATACATGTGCCATGTTGGTGTGCTGCACCCATTAACTTGTCATTTACATTAGGTATATCTCCTAATGCTATCCCTCCCCGTTCCCCCCACCCCACGACAGGCCCTGGAGTGCGATGTTCCCTTTCCTGTGTCCAAGTGTTCTCACTGTTCATTTGCCACCTATGAGTGAGACTAAGCAGTGTTTGATTTTTGTCTCTGCGATAGTTTGCTGAGAATGATGGTTTCCAGCTTCATCCATGTCCCTACAAAGGACATGAACTCATTCTTTTTTATGGCTGCATAGTATTCTATGTTGTATATGTGCCACATTTTCTTAATCCAGTCTGTAATTGATGGACATTTGGGTTGGTTCCAAGTCTTTGCTATTGTGAATAGTGCTGCAATAAACATATGTGTGCATGTGTCTTTATAGCAGCATGATTTATAATCTTTTGGGTATATACCCAGTAATGGGATGGCTGGGTCAAATGGTATTTCTAGTTCTAGATCCTTGAGGAATCGCCACACTGTCTTCCACAATGGTTGAACTAGTTTACAGTCCCACCAACAGTGTAAAAGTGTTCCTATTTCTCTACATCCTCTCCAGCACCTGTTGTTTCCTGACTTTTTAATGATCGCCATTCTAACTGGTGTGAGATGGTATCTCACTGTGGTTTTGATTTGCATTTCTCTGATGGCCAGTGATGATGAGCAATTTTTCATTTGTCTTTTGGCTGCATAAATGTCTTCTTTTGAGAAGTGTCTGTTCATATCCTTCACCCACTTTTTGATGGGGTTGTTTGTTTTTTTCTTGTAAATTTGTTTGAGTTCTTTGTAGATTCTGGATATTAGCCTTACATTTTAATATTTTTAAATAAACATCGGTATTAGCGACCTTAAAATGCATTTTAATGAAACATGAAATCATGATTTGTTACTGCCATAGAACAATTTTCCTGATGACTTGGGAGATATGACAAAACTAATTTCTTAAGCATATCTGAACATATATTCTTTAATATTCTTAAATATCTACGTAAGCCTCTATAAATTTTTTAGTACTTTTAAAGCCCTGAATAGGGCTGGATTCGATGGCACCCCTGGCAGATTCTACTGGTGCTTCACCCATACCGTATTTGGGACTATGTTTCTTTGACTTCAAACTCCCACCATCAGTATCTCTTTGCCTTTTAGCCTTCTATGGCTGAGAGAGCCTGCTTTGCCCAAAGGCAAGGCATGCAGGAAGTGTCAGGGTTTAAATTCCCTATCTCTCAGAAGCACTCTACAAATGACTGACAGAATCCAATTTATGAAAGTACCCTATTAAAGGCAGTTGTTAAACAATTTTATTAGAGACCTGACCAAGAGAGCCTTAAAGTTGCCCTGTGCTTCACTAAATTTTAGACAGGCTTCTTCCTTGTTTTAGGCCCCTGACCTCCTTAGTGTATTGTTTAAATTTTTTTCTAATTAAAAATTCCTTTTATGACTTTTTGAGATGTAAATCTTTTCAAAAGCTTTTTGTCAGCTTTACTACCCAAGACTGTCTTTTTCAAGAACAGGGGACCATGCCTTTGAAATGTAATCATTAGGAAAGATAACCCCCCTGTATCCCAGTTTCTGCGGGAGGGTAAAGCCGAACTTCAGCCGGAGCCTTATTCCAAATAATAGAACTATCTCCTGTCCTGCAGATAGGAGAAAATGTAGTGTTTCCTTTGAATAAAGTTGATTAGCAAATAGGGATGGCCTAAGATATCTTTCTTGTCCCAGATCTTAAAAACCTTAACACCTTCCCCACACTCCACACATTTCATGGGAGTTGAACTCAGACTGAGCACTGGCTGCTCTCAGCTTAGTCTTCCTTGTCTGTTTAACCGAGCCTGGTGCAATGTTTTGCTTTGACACCCCCAACACAAGAAACATTTTTTTTTCATTTTCTATGTTTGTGTGTAGATGCATGAAGCCATGTTATTTTCATTATATTTTGCTGTTTGCATTTCTTTCCAATTTTTTATGAGACTCTACCTTGACTGTTTGATTCAGAAGAGATGTGTGTTCTAATGTTTTTTTAGAAGTCCTACAATAAAAAATAAGATATTTTGTACACCTAGGCCAATTTTCTCCTTCTTTTTAGAATTCTTACTGAGAAGCACACATTCCATGTGGAGATTGAATGTTCTTATAGGATGTAATTAAAATTTTTAGATAGGTGTTAATCCTGGCTAAAATAACATGATCTTTTCATTTACTATGTATTTACAATTATAATATGTTTTAAATATTACTTGGAAATTACAGGAATATATAAAATAAAATTTGATGTGGAGATATATCTTAATTGATCAATAGTTAATGACAATGCAATCACAAAATTTCAGAAAATATGTTGTGTCCTGGTAGAATAGAACACAATCTTATTAATAAGTACTAGAATTATATTGTTTAGAATATCTATTGCAGTTATGCATCATTTAACAATGGGGATATGTTCTGAGTAATCCATCATTAAGCAATTTCATCATTGTGCTAGCATCATAGAGTGTATTCACACAAAACTAGATGGTATAGTCTACGACAGTCCTAGGCTATACGGTATACCCTATTGCTCCTAGGCTCTGGACCTATACAGCACGTTACTGTACTGAATACAGTACAATTGTAGGCAATTATAACACAATGGTAAGTATTTATGTATTTAAACATATCTAAACACAGAATAGGTATGGTAAAAATACAGTGTTATAGACGTACAAAACCACCATTTTACACGTGATCTTTTGTTGAACTGAAAATTGTTCTGTGGTGCATGACTGTATGCCTGTGTGTTATGGGTTCAACTTTGTCTCTCTCAAATTTATATATCTAAATTCTAACCACCCCTTCTCCCAGTACCTCAGAATGTACCTGTATTTGGAGATAACATATTAAAGAGGTGATTACGGTAAAATGAAGTCATATGAGAAGGCCGTAATTCAATGTGGCTGATGTCTTCATAAGAACAGATCAGTACACAAACAAATACAGAGGAAAACCCATGTGAAGACAAAAGGAGAAGGCATCTATAAGCTAAAGGCAGAGGCCTCAGAATGAAATCAACTATGTGGACAACTTGGTCTCAGACTTCAAGGCTCTAGACGATGAGAAAATAAATTTTTGTTGTTAAGCCATCCAATCTGTGATACTTTGTTGCGGAAGCCAAAGCAAGCTAATAGATTGTTTTATATTTCATTTTAATAAAAGTAAATACATTTACATAGTAAAATAAATTTAGAATTGCATTCAATACAGACTATGTGTATTACAAAATTCTGTCTTTCCTCCTCACTAGGCCAATTTTTTATTTTGAAAAATTAGTGTCTTTAGTTCTCTATTGTATATCAGCATAAATGATAAGCTAAAAATCATACCCTTTCATATAAGAAATTTATTTCACATTAGCATCTCAGTCTTAAAAATGTGGAACATACCTCCCTTTGAAATATCTCCTATCACAAAAATTCAGATTACATCCATAAGATGATTGGTCTATTATCAATACCATTGGTTTTTCACGATACAGATTAAATTCAGTCATATGGCTTAACGGCGATGCCACGTAGTATGAACAGACAAATTTGTATCTATCCATCTTACAAATGCAAGTAAAATAAGGTTTTCGTTTTTAAAAAAATCATAAGATTATTGGGTGAATGACTAGCTGTATATTGCAAAATCACTTAGTTGTGATTTTCTGAACATTCATTAACTCATATAATTAAACTTCTGTAATATTGTGGCACCCATCTAGGCAACTCAAAAATGTTTTTCGAGTACTATGAAGAATGGGTAAGTGCCTATTCATAAGCTGCTAAAATAATGAAATAATTTAGTCTTTTTTTTTTTTTTAGACGAAGTTTTGCTGTTGTCACTCAGGCTGGAGTGCAGTGGCGCCATCTTGGCTCACTGCAACCTCTAACTCCCGGGTTCAAACAATTCTCCTGCCTCAGCCTTCTGTGTAACTGGGATTACAGGCATGCACCACCATGCTAGGCTAATTTTTGCATTTTTTAGTAGAGATGGGGTTTCACCATGTTGGCCAGGCTGGTCTGGAACTGCTGACCTCAGGTGACCCGCCTGCCTCGGCCCCACAAGGTTCAGTCTGCTTTTTAATAGGCAACACCTTGTTTGTAAATAATTTGTTTTTTCTTGAAATTTCCAATTTATTATTTTTTCTATTATCAAAGACACAGATGCCTTCTTCTAATTAGACCAAGCAGACTTTTAAAACATACAAATTGCTATACGGATTGTCCTTTCTTCTTAAAGATCTTAGTCTCAAAGTTTTGTTTTTTGTTTCAATATTAACTGCTTACTTTTGGGGCTAGCTGTCCTTTTGACACATTTTTTTCCCCAATGGAAACCAATTAGATTCATTACTTCATAATCACATTATCATTAAAACATTTTTAACATTAAAGTATATGTTACATACTATATAAAGTGCGGTCTTTTAAATCTATAATCTGCCAGTTTTGAGAAATATGTATGTTCATGTAACAATACCACCAAACTGAAGTTATAAAACAATTCCACAACATCAAAAAGTCCTGCATCTCCCTTTGTGGACAACATTCTACCCAACTTTAACTCCTGGCAACCACAAATCGGTTTTGTGTCCCAATCGCTTTGGCTTTTCCAGAATATAATATAAATTAAATTATACAATATTTAGCTTTGGGGGTCTGGCTACTTTCACTTAGCAAAACGCATTTGAGAAGTATTTATATTGTGGCATCTATCAGTTATTCGCTCACTTTCATTGCCTAGTAGTATTCTATTGTATGAATGTGCCACCATTGGCTTATCCATACACATCTGAGGGACACTTGTATTGTTCTAGTTATTGATAATGTGAATAAAGCCACTATTACATTCTTCGAAAGGTTCTTAAATGTTTTTATTCCACTTGGGAAAGTACCTTGGGGTAGAATTGCTGGATATTATGGTAATAGTGTATTTACCTTAATCAGAAATTGTCAAATTTTTTTCCAAAGTAACTATCATTTTGCATTCTCACCCTTAATGTAATAGAGCACCAGTTTCTTTACAACTTCATGATCACTTGAATTTGTCAGGCTGGCTTCCTCTCTCTCTCTCTCTCTCTCTGCTATTTTAATTGGAGTGTAGATGTGTCTTTGAAGATTAACTTTGCATTTTCGTGATAACTAAAGATGGAGGACATCTTTTCATGTGTTTCTTTGTTACTCTTGTATCTTTTTCACTGTCTGTTCAAGTATCTCCCCTTTTTAAACAGAGTTGCATATATTTTATTATTTAGTATGGAGAGTCTTTATATATTCTGGATAGAAATCCTTAATTAGGTACTTGATCTGCAAACACTGTGACATAACCTGTGGGTATTATTTTAATTTTCTAAAGAGTTTCTTACCTCAGATAGTGAGAGGTGACAACGTGCTAGCAGCCCTTGCTCGCTTTCCGCGCCTCCTGGGCCTCGGCGTCCACTCTGGTGATGCCTGAAGAGCCTTTCAGCCCGCCACTGAGCTGTGGGGGCCCATCTCTGGGCTGACTGAGGCCGAAGCCGGCTCCCTCTGCTTGTGAGGAGGCGTAGAGGGAGAGGCACCACCGGGAACCGGGGCTGTGCGCAGCGCTCCCGGCCAGCGCGAGTTCCGGATGGGCGCGGGCTGGGCGGGCCCCACACTCAGAGCGGCCGGCCGGAGCCGCCGGCCCGGGCAGTGAGGGGCTTAGCACCCGGGCCAGCAGCTGCGGAGGGTGCGCCGGGTCCCCCAGCACTGCCGGCTCGCCCGCGCCGCCCTCAAATTCTCGCTGGGCCTCAGCCGCCTCCCCGCGGGACAGGCTCGGGACCTGCAGCCCTCTATGCCGGAGCCCCTACGCAGTGGGCTCCCGTGGGGCCCGAGCCTCCCTGACGGGCGCCGCCCCCTGTTCCTTGGCGCCGGGTCCCATCAACGGTCCAAGGGCTGAGGAGTGCAGGCACTTGCGGGACTGGCGGGCAGCTCCACCCGCAGCCCTACCGCGGGATCCACTAGGCAAAGCCAGCTGGGCTCCTGAGTCTGGTGGGGACTTGGAGAACTTTTATGTCTAGCTGGAGGATTGTATATGCACCAATCAGCACTCTGTGTCTAGCTCAGGGTTTGTGGATGCACCAATCAGCCCTCTGTATCTAGCTAATCTGGTGGGGACTTGGAGAACTTTTATGGTCTAGCTAAAGGATTGTAAATGCACCAATCAGCACTCCGTGTCTAGCTCAAGGTTTGTAAACACACCAATCAGCACTCTGTGCCTAGCTCAGGGATTGTAAACGCACCAATCAACACCCTGTCAAAACAGACCAATCAGCGCTCTGTAAAATGGACCAATCAGCTCTCTGTAAAATGCACCAAGCAGCAGGATGTGGGGGGGAAGGGGGTGGGGGAGTCAGATAAGGGAATAAAAGCAGGCTGCCAGAGCCAGCAGCTGCAACCTGCTTCCATCCCCTTCCATGCTGTGGAAACTTTGTTATTTTGCTCTTTGCAATAAATCTTATTACTGCTCACTCTTTGAGTCCACACTGCTTTTATGAGCTGTAATAATCACCGCGAAGGTCTGCAGCGTCACTCCTGAGGCCAGCGAGACCACGAACCCATCAGAAGGAAGAAACTTCAAACATATCCGAACATCAGAAGGGAAAAACTCTAGACACACCATCTTTAAGAACTCTAACACTCACCACGAGGGTCTGCGGCTTCATTCTTGAAGTCAGTGAGACCAAGAACCAACCAATTCAGGACACAATAGTACCTATCCATATGTATATATATATATATATGGATATTATGGATATATGGTGTGTGTGTATATATATATATTTATATGCAGGTTTTTTTCTATGCATCCATACATATGAAAAAGCTTAATATCACTGACCACTCACTTCTGATACTGTGGAGGGGGTTTCCAGCATATACCTATTAATTCAGTTCAATTCAATTCAATTCAATTCTGACACCGTCTACCTGGAGATAGCATCAGTTTCCACAGGGTAAAGGACAATCTCACAGGACAGTCATCACTTCAGATGCCAGCTGCAAGTAATAGGTTTTAATCTTCTGACTTATGGCTATTAAGTTGAGGTTCCCATGACCCTCTCACATTAGATTAATTTGCTAGGATACCTCACAGAATTCAGGGAAACACTTTCATTTACTGGTTTATTATATTAATAAAGGATCTGATAAATAACACAAATAAACATCTGGATGAAGTAATATATAGGACAAAGTGCAGGGAAGGGGAGAGGAACTTTCATGTCTTCTCTGGTCTTTCCATCGTCCAGGGACTTCCATGTGTTCAGTAATCTACAAGCTCTCTGAACCCTGTCTTTCTGTGCTTTGATGGAGACTATATAATATATAGACATAATATATAGACATAATTGATTACATCATTGGCATTGGTGATCAGCTTGATCTACATGTAGCTCCTCTTCTCTCCCCAGAGGTTGGGGAGGTGGGCCTGAAAGTTCCAGCTCTCTAATCATGTGGTTGGTTCCTCTGGCAACCAGCTCCCATTCTGGAGCCCACCAAGAGTTGTCTCATTAGAATAAAAGATGTTACTATCACCCAGGAAATTTCAAGGCATTTATGAGCTCTTTGTCAGACACTCCTATACCTCAGGAAATTACAAAGGTTTTAGTTATTCTTTGTCAGGAATGAGGGTAAAAGACCAAACGTTAGAACAAAACATTATCCTAGCAATCTTACCTACAAAGGCCTTAGGAGTTGTGAATTGTGTCTGGGGAACTGGAGGCAGATAAATATGTGTGTAATAACAAACATATAAATGTTCTTATTACTTTACATTTTGTTATATATGAAGAAATGTTAATATATTTTTTGGTGAATTGACCCAAATAAGATTTCTTATTGGTAGTATTACAGTATATAATTTTCTATCCTTTTAATCTACTCATGAAATATTTTTTCTTCTTTTTCTAGTTTTATTTTTTTTAATGGTTATAAACGAGATGGCATCACAATAAATTAAAGAGAGCAGTGTAACAGGAGTCAACTGTCATGGTTCTAAGTTCTGAATCAGTTCTCATTTCTTTTCATTTTTAAATTGAAGTAAAATGCACATATAAAAAATTGGCCATCTTATTCAATTTTAGTTCATAGTTTAGTAGTATTAAATATATTCGTAATGTGCAACCATCACCACCATTTATTTCTGTAACTCTTTCATCTTATAAAACTGAAACTGTACATATTGAACAATAACTCCCTCTTTTCTCTTTCCCCCAGCCCCTGTCAATCACTACTCTTCAATCTGTTTCTGATTTTGACAACTCTAAGTACCTCATGTAAGTGAAAACATACAGTATATGTTTCTTTGTGACTGGCTTGCTTCACTTAGTATAATGTTCTCAAGGTTCATCTATGTTTTAGCATATGTTAAAATGTTCTTCCTTTTAAAGACTGAATAATATTCCATTGTATGTTTATACCACGCTTTGCTTATTCATTCATCTGTTGCTGGACATGTGGTTGGCTCCCATGCTTTAGCTATCATGAATAATGGTGCTAGGGACATGGATGTACAAATACCTCTTTGAGATCTTGCTTTTGAGTCTACTGGATCCTACTGTTATTCAATAAGTGGAATTTCTGGACCATATGGTAATTCTAGTCTTAATTTATTAAGGAACCACCATACTCTTTTCTCCCATTGCTGTACTATTTTACATTCTCACCAAAAAAGAGTCCAGTTTCTCCACATCCTCGCCAACAGTTGCAATTTTCTATTTTTTTTTTAATAGCAGCCATCCTAAAGGGTGTGGGTGATAGTTCACTATAGTTTTGATTTGCATTTCTCTAATAATTACTGATTTTGAGCATCTATTTATCTTCTTATAGGTCATTCCTAAATCTTCTTTGGAGAAATGTCTATTCACACCCTTTGTCCACTTTTGAAATGGCTTGTTTGTTTTTTGTTGTTGAATATTAGGAGTTCTCTATGTGTTATGGACATTAATTCCTTATGAGATATATGATTTGCAAATATTTTTTCCAATTTGTAGATTTTTTTTTTACTCTGCTAATAGTTTCTTTTGGCATATACAGTTTTCAAATTGCCATGAGGTCCAGTTTCCAATGTTGTGAAATGTTTTGCCACGTGCTTTTTTTTTTTTCCCAAGACATTTATAGATTTAGTTCTTATGCTTAGGTCTTTAATCTGTTTTGAGTTAACATTTGTATATGGTGTTAGGTAAGGGTCCAGCTTTATTCTTTTCCATGTGGATATCCAGTTTTCCAGCATTTGTTAAAAAGACTACCCTTTCGCCCAGTGCATGGTCTTGAAATCCCTGTGTAAAATAATTTGGTCATATATGCAAGGTTTGGTTTCTGAACCCTCTGTTTTACTCCATTGGTCTATATATGTCTGTATTTATGCAACTACCACAGGATTTTGATGACCATAGCTCTGTAGTACATTTTGAATTCAGAGTGTTAGTCCTCCAGATTTATTCTTTGTGTTTTTTTGCTTGTTTGTTTGTAGTTTGACAGTCTCACTCTGTCGCCAGGCTAGAGTGCAGTGGCACGATCCCGGATCATTGCAACCTCCGACTCCCTGGTTCAAGTGATTATCCTGCCTCAGCCTCCTGAGTAGCTAGGACTACAGGCGTGTGCCACCATACCCAGCTAATTTTTGTATTTTTAGTAGAGACGGAGTTTCAACATGTTGGCCAGGATGACCTCGATTCCTTGACCTTGTGATCCCCTAAGATGTGGCACCTGTAATCCCAGCTACTCACAAAGCTGAGGCAAGAGAATCGCTTGAACCCTGGAGGCAGAGGTTTCAGTGAGCCGAGATTGTGCCACTGCACTCCAGCCTGGGTAACAGAGTAAGACTCCCTCTCCATAAATAAAATAAAATAAAAATAAAATAAAATAAAAATGTTACTTTACTTTGTACTTGCATCATTTCTTTGTTGGTTTTATTTTGTAGAAATATAATATCTTTTTGATATTTAATAGTTATCTTTCTTGCTATTTTTAGAGATACCTGTATCTATAATTTACCGTCTTCCATTCATTTGGGGAAATTCTCAGTTACTGTTTTTGAAATATTTCAACAACTCCATTCAGCCTCTGCTTCTTTATTATTATTCTTATTTTATTTTATTTTTTAGACTTCATGCAAGTTGATTGCTCTCTGTCTTGGTTCTTTTATGGTTTCAAGTGAATGTGTAAATTTAAAGATTATCTAGTGTTTTGTTTAATTTTTTTCCTTTTTTTAAACTATTGTTGCTCTTTATAGTTGGGAATAATACCGTCATTCCAGCTTTTAACACCCTCAATGAAGGTTAGAAATAACCTTTGTAGTTTTTCTTTTCTTTCTTTAATTTAGGATTTGGAAGTCTAAATATAACTTTACTTTCTTCTATCCTGGCTCTTGACTTTCCGACTCCAAACAATTCTGTGTTAAAATAATTTGCCTTCAGAGCATAGAAATCTTTAGTCATTTATCTTTTCCAGAGATTATTTTTGAATTTTCTTATTTTAATATTAGTTAAGGTTGTAAAGTTTACGGCAGATCCAGAATTTTTTGTAGCATTATACGAATGCACAGGAATTAACCGATTCAAAGAAAACAACTCATGATTATAAATTCATTTATCTAATCATATATTCAATTTTTTATAGTATTTAGTAATTTATGGAAACAATGATTAAATCCTAGAGCACAGAACAATTGTAGCAAATTAAATTTTTCATGTCTTTGCTATTTGAAGTGGCTTAACAATTGGGTGATGAAATAATCTGCACTGCAAACCCGCATGACAAAAGTTTACCTTTGTAACAAAACTGCACTCATACCTCTGAACTCAAAAGCTAAAAAATAATTTTCAAATTGTGAAAATGTAAATTCAAGTTTTTTATTAACGCAGTAATGTTCTAACATTATATTTTTATAGTTGTAAATCAGGGAGAAATATAGAGTTAGAGTTAAATTCAACAAAATATATTTTTCCAGTGATCCATTTACACAGAACATTTCTTACCAAAATTTAGAAACATTAGTATTCATACATACAATTTTAAAGACTGTCAATCATTCTGAAATTTTATGTCTGTTGATCTTTTCTTCTTCTCCTGTAACCTAGAAATCAAGAACATTACTTAAACTTATAGTTGAATCTATTTTCTTTTCTTTTCCTGAGTTAATACTTTTGGCAAGTGAATAATAACAAACAAGTAAACTTTTTTATTTATTTATTTATTTATTTATTTATTTATTTATTTATTTGAGACAGTCTAGCTCTGTCACCCAGGCTGGAGTGCAGTGGCACAATCTGGGCTCACTGCAACCTCTGCCTCCTAGGCTCAACGAATTCTTTAGCTTCAGCCTCCCAAGTAACTCGGACTACAGGCATGAGCCACCAACGCCTGGCTAATTTTTAAATTTTTTTGTAGAGATGGGGTTCCACCATGTTGCCCAGGCTGGTCTCAAACTCCTGAGTTCAAAGTGATCTGCCTGCTTTGTCCTCCCAAAATGCTGGGATTACAGGTATGAGCCACTACATCCATCCAGACCAAACAAACATTTTAAAGAATAAAAAAACCATTAAATTTATTTTTTATTTTCTTTTGGAATTATTTACTGTATATTCAGACTAAATTTTTGATATTAAACACTTAGTAACAAAACATTTTAATATGACCAGTTAATCTTCAAAGTTTTCCAGAAGAAGAAAGAAATGAGAAAAGATAAGCATAAAGGAGAAGTAGGGGAAGCCTGCTACAAGCAAGTAAGAAATTACAAAAAACTAATAATTATATTCCTTCTGCAAGGAGAGAAGATGCTATAAATGCAGGAAAACACATTTTGAAATCAAATAACACACAAAAAATAAGAATTAGTAAGCCATTTAAAAACAACCTGGGTCCTTGAGAATTCCTTTAAGCCATACAAAAACAAAACTAGTAACAAATAATCAGGGAGGTGCAGAACCAAATGGAAGTCTACGTAAATTGAAGTAAGTGATCTTTCATCTGGACAAATAAGTCAAAGAGGTCCCTCTTCAATGTTGCTCCCATCGTTGTACAAATAGGCCTCTCGGTGAACAATTGTTTTCATGTCAAAATTTCACCAAAGTGGCCAATGTGATTTCAAATTGTCCTTGATGAAATTATTCCAATTAGAGATATTTGTACATATAATAACAAGGGAACAGATTATTGGTTCAGAAAGAAACAGATCCAGAAGATTCCATAAGAAAAGAAAATGCTACTGAGTATGCTTGCCTAAATTTGTGCTTCTGGAACCTAGTCAAATATTGTCATCATCAACAAAAGACCCAATAAAACCCACAGATCTTCCAGGTGAAATTTCATAATGCAAGTCTCAGGAACACAACAACAAAATTGTTGGAAGTCTCACTAAGTTCTTATAGATTACCCTGAATATTTCAGCCTTGGGTACCATATCAAGAGAAAGAAAGATTAAATCTAGAACTGTTCTCTTCCTATGAGTTTCTAATTATAGACTCACAGTCAAGAACTATTAAGGAGACAAAAAGTAGTATTGTTAAAATCCAGGCAGGTTCTCACTAAGGACAACAGTTTTCAAATATAATTATCTCTTCTAAGAGACAAAATAAACTCAACATTTGGAAACTCACTGAAAATAAGTCAGAATTTAGACCTACTATGTGGCTTTCTCACATTATTCTGGAAAGACTTGCAAGCTGGAAGCTTAATGGTACTCCGGTTAGCACAGTGTTTCTGAGTTAAGGGTTTTTGGCTGTGTAATGAGAATTTCTCAATTAAACCTCTGTTCAACATTCAGAAATGATAACTATTGACCCCTCCACGAAGACTATAAAAATAACCTGTTGATCAAACAAAACTAAATTTGCTAAACTTGACCCACCAAGGGATAATTTCACAAAACAGAGGCTTATTAGTGTCTAACAAGGGTAAATTTAGGGTAGATATGTATAAGTTTAGGGTCTGAAAACAAGTTGTTTACAGAGGGTCTTTGAAGTGAGAATATTGATTGCAGTTGGGTAAGGTTTATGACATGGTGTTTAAGACTGGTGAACTCAGTGAAATGAGGATAATAAAACTAGAATCCTGATAAACTATCTGTCCAGATATGAAGACAATTTTCCTAATATGTCCTCTACCTGTTCAGATAAGCAAGGAATTTGCCCATACAAATCAGTTTATAAGTATTTTCTGAAACAAAAGATGAGTTATTTATTGGATTTTCAGACATCCTGGTCAAGAACTTCCTGAACAATTAGAATGATGGTATGCGTGGTCATAAACGGATATAAATTATTGTGCATTTATAAATGTGACAGTTTTACAGATGTGTCTAAATTATTTCAAATTCTTTTAATTTAAAGATGGAGTCTTTCTCCCCTCTCCTCAATATAGGTTGGCCCTAGTGTATTGGTACTAATGAACAAAATGTGGCCTAAGTCACTAGTTTATTAGGCTATATGATAATCCAGTGGGACTTTAGGTAAGCTTTGTCTTTCTTTAGGTGCCTTTCAACCCATTCACCATGTTGTAAAGAAAGCCCAGGCCACATGGAGAGGTCACATTCTCATCTTATTGAGTCACTGTCATTCTTTGAGTTCTCTAGTTGAGGTCCCAGACATTGGGAAACAGGCACAAACTATCCCTGGCATGCTTCATCCGAATTCCCAAACCACGTATTTCATGTGGGTTGTTAAACAGTGGTCTTCTCCTTATCCCCAGTTTTGCTTTCCATGTTATTATTTACCCCTGATTAACCATTATCTGAAAGTATTAAATTAAAAATTCCAGAAATAAACAATTGATGAGTTTTAAATTTTGCACCATTCTGAGTAGCATAAGGAAATTTCACACTATCCTGCCCTGTTCCAGCTGGGGCATGAATCATCATCTTTTTCCAGCCTATCCATGCTGTATACACAGCCCATTAGTTACTTATTTGCTTTGATTATCACGTTGAAAAAACAACGGAATATATAAAGTTTAGTACTAACTGCAGATTCAGCCAGCTACTGGGATTTCCCCGTGGATAAGGGGGTACTACTATACATCATTAGATTTTGTGGAAAATGTGTTATACAACAGTTCGTAAATGAAACAGATATACAATGCATATCCTTTGATAAAAAGACTTTTATTAAGATATTTTATTAACCTAAGTATAATCTTCTTAATAGACGCTGAAACACATTTAGTAAAATGCATCAATCATTTTTTAAAAATAAAAACAAACGTATTAAAAGTGAAGACCAAAATATCTGAACAAGTGATGGCCATGGTGGAGAGGCAACTGAAAAGATGCTGGATGCAGAAGGAGAGGCATGGCCAGGGCTCTGTGCTCCATGCAGCAGGAGCAGGGAACAAGTGGGAGCCCCACACCTTCCCAGTTGGCAGGGCAGGAGCCCCACCCTCCTTGGCACAGCTACAGCCATTCAGCCCTGGCTGCCAACCTGGGCATCCCTGTGTTCTCAGGGGCCTGGGAAGTCCCCTTGCCTCTGCAGGCTCGGAAGTGTCTACTCCCGCTGCCTGGCCTATCCCCGTTCCTGCTCCCAGCACCCACTCTGATTTCGGAGTAAAGCTGAGGCTGAACGCAGGTATCATCATGACCTGGCCAGGTGGGCAAGCCCTTGGAGCTGCACTCACATGCCAGCCCCCAGCTGCCTAGGTCCCCTCTGCACTTTGGGCACCAACAAGCATGGGAGGGAGGTCGAGGGAGCACTGAAGTCAACTTGGAGTGGGCCTGCAGGCACCCTTCAGCACAAACAGCCTGGGCAACATTTATAATATGATTGATGGTGGCAGTCTCCTGAGCGGAAATGGGTGGTTCCCTGGTGAGGCCTCACTGTCAAGCTAGGGACTGCCTGAAGCGTGGGAGCCAAGCTGTAAGTTCTGGGTGAAGTCTGCAGCCCAAAGTGAGAAATTATAGTGCTATTTCCAGGCCTGCCCATGGTTGCCCATGATTCCCATAAAAACCCTGGACTCAGCCAGACTCAGTTATGTCAGGACTACCTGTCTATGGAAAGAAGCTGTTCGCTCCTGGTCTCCTCTCTACTGACAGCTGGACACTCATCAGGATGACCTGCCTGTTGAAAGGAGCTACCTCTTTGGATATTCTGAGAACTGTTCTGCCACTCATTGAAGCTCCTCTCTGCCTTGCTCACCCTCCAGTTGTCCACATACCTCATTCTTCCTGGACAATGGACAAGAACGTGAGACCTGCAAAATGGTGGGACTAAAAGAGCTGTAATGCAAACAAGGCTGAAATATGCCCCTGCCCCCACCATGTTGCAGGTCAAGAGAAGGAGGGAAGAGCTGTGGCCCTTCAGGGAGTCGAGACTTAGGGGTTCCCAAGCCAGGGCTGTGACAACATCTTTGGGGCTCTGTGGTTCCTGGTGTCTCCAAGCTTCCAGGTGCCACTATATTCCCCTTATCCAGATGCGAGTGCCTGCAGCAGAAGTTGTGTGCAGTGCAACTGGTCCAGGTGCAACTTCCCATGGAGCCAGCACCTGTGCTGGGGCCTGGAGTTGCCTGCCCCACCGCGGCAGCTGGAGTTCCTTGCTGTGCGCAGTGGCTGGACCTCATGCTTGCTCACCCACACACCCCTCCCTGCTCCACACCTGGCTCACCCTTGGCAGGTGTGGAATCTAGGCTGGTTGCACAAACTGACTGTAGCCTGCCAGGCCAGGTGGGTGAAATGAGCCCCGCGGGCATGAGTATTACTCGGGCCAAAGGAGCCGCCGGCCACAGAGGTTTCTGGCTGGTGAAGCGACACCCCAAAGATCCTGTGACACAAGCTTAGTCACACACTTCCTAAAGTATGAAATGTCACCATTCCTCAAAAAGAAAGCATTATGATGAATAATGAAACACAAAATATTTCCAAAAATAATTTCTGCAGAATGCCACTTATAATGTTAATAAATGATATGTCAAAATATGGGAATATTTAACTAGTTTTCTCAAGGAGGCACCATTTTAACAAAAATTATTAAAAATTAATGAGAAGTAATATTAACCAATTTTATTATATATTGTTTAACATTGTCTTCCAGCTCCCCCATCTACCCCCAAAAAAAATGGAAAATATTTGTAAAAATTACAGCTTGCCATTGATGTTCTTACAGAGCAATAGAAATAAATATTCCAACAGAAAAATAAAGAAAAGGACAAATGCAGATTACTTACATAAGAAGGATATAATTAATAAATGTTTTAAGTATTAACATCAGAAGTAATAGAAAATCCCCACAATTAAACCAAAGTAAATTTTTTTTTCATTTTTGCTTGTGAACTATTCTTGTACATTATTTTGGAAGAATACATTAATTTAGTCCCATAAAAACTTTGTAATACAAATTAAAATCAATAAGATTTCAAAAATTGATCTTTTTTGTAATTTTTAAGTCAATTTTTAGTGAAAATTGAGATATAATCAAGATAAAACAGATTTATTTGTAATCTACATTCTCAAAATTTTAAAAATTGAAAGTCAAATATAAAAAAATGTTTAAACCAATTATTATGCACCTATACAAGAGAATAATATAGCCACTGAAATCTGGTAATTTTATTTTTTATTTTTTTGAGACAGGGTCTGACTCTGTCACCCAAGCTGGAGTGCAGTGGCGTGATTTCTGCTCACTGTAACCTCCACTTCCCTGGTTCAAGCCATTCTCCTACCTCAGCTTCCTGAGTAGCTGGGATTACACTCATGCGCCACAAACACCTGACTAATTTTTGTATTTTTATTTGAGACAGGGTTTCACCATGCTGGTCAATCTGGTCTCAAACTCCTAGCCCAAGTGATCTGCCTGCTTCACGCTCCCAAAGTGCTGGCATCACAGGTGTGAGCCACAGTGCCCAGGCTTATTTTAATGAGAAAAAGATATATCTATAACATAATAAAAATAAGAGTAAAGCAATATAATTTACTTGGAGTATAAGATCTTAATTTTGTTGTGTGTATATATATGTACACACTATATATAAATATATATATGTACACTCTCTATATATACACACACAGTGTATATATACATATACTATATATACACACTATATATATACTATATATGTATACTATATATGTGCGTGTACAGGAAAAACTTTATATCAACTACATTATTTAGGGACTCTATATTTTTTGTCTTAAAAAGGTATTTTTAAATTCCATCCAACTTTCTCCATATTCCAAATTATAGAAACTTAACAAGTATTACACTTTTAATGAGAAAAAAATGTTAAATTTTCTAAAAACCTAAAATTTTAGAAAAAGAAAAATATCTAATAACCATAGAAATGTTTAGATCAGAGATATTTGCATGATTATCAAACCAATATGTGAGATTTAAGAGCTGGATTTGTATTATAAAATAACTACATATGTATTTTTAAATTACTGACATTTTTAAAATTAGGCATACTAGTATTTCTAATTTTTTTTTTTTTTTTTTCTGGAGATGGAGTCTCACTCCATCAAACCAGGCTGGAGTATGGAGTGCAGTGGCATCATCTTGGCTCACTGCAACCTCCACCTCCTGAGTTCAAGCAATTCTCCTGCCCTAGCCTCACAAGTAGCTGGGATTACAGGTACACACAGCCATGCCGGCTAATTTTTTTGTATTTTTAGTACAGACAGGGTTTCACTATGTTGCCCAGGCTGGTTTCAAACTCCTGAGCTAGGACAATCTGCCAGCCAAAGTGCTAGGATTACAGGCATGAGCCACCGCACCCAGCCTTTAAATTTCTTGTAAGTAAAAAAAAAATAAAATAAAATAAAAAATACTGGTCAGGTCCATAACACAGCAGGAAATTAAACTAATTACCACACCCAGCATGGAATTGTTTCAAATGATACTTTAAAAGTTAGAAAGTATTTTAAAGTGCATTTCAAAGTTTTTTCATAAAACATAATACACAAGAAAATAAAAGCCAAAAGCAATGCTTGTACTATGATTTCTTTGTATATTTTAATGTGTTTGGAATAAAAACTGTTTTTGTTTAGCTGATCAAAGCTGTTTTGGTTTTCTTATTAAGGTGATAGAACATCACCTGTGAATTTTTATAGACGCCTGGGGAAACACTCAGCAGGATCTAACTTTTTGTTGTGAGTAAAAACCATTTTTCCTTTTATGTGAAAGTTTGCTCTTTATTTAGAAGAAGGAATCCCCTGGTGAGGTGAGTTTTAGCAGAAAAAAATACAATAAAACATACATCTTGAGAGTGGAAGGCATCTGTGAGGAATGCACAATTGAAGATCTATTCATCATTTATATTATTAGAAAAAGTTTTTATTTGAAGTAGATGATAGTTTTGCAAAAATATACTTGTACATGTAACATTAACTTTGTATTCATTTTATAATAGAGTTTATAAATCTTAGGTAATGGTAGGTTTAAAACTTCTGATTGCATTCTCCCTCCTATATAATTTAAAGACTGCACAGTACTATCCACTTTATATCTAATCCTGTATGCTTGATATGATAATAACTTAAGCCACACAGGAATCAAAATTTACAAACAACATGTTTTCAAATTGGATGGCAGTATTTTTTGTTTTGTTTTATTTTTGTTTCAAATAAAAATTATCTTTAAATTGAAGTTAATGTTTTTGTAAGATGCTTAAGGAAGTAAGCATTTATATTACTATTATAAGTGAATAAGTTCCCTTAAATTCGTAAGTCAATGTCCTAAGTCAAAGTACCTCAGAATCTTATCTTAATTGGAAATAGGATCATAGGGTCATTTCAGATGTAATTACTAAGATGAGGTCATATTGGTATATGGTGGTTCCTAGTCCTGTATAACTGGTGTCCTTATACAGAGAGAGGTTGGACGTGCATGGAGAGAGGTGGCCATATGAAGACTGAAATTATGCTGCCATAAGCCAACAAGCACTAGAGATTGCTGGAAAACTACCTGACACTAGGAGAGAGGCATGGAACAAATTCTTCTGCAGAGCCTTCAGAAGGAGTATGGCCCTATTGGACACCTAATTCTCAAACTGCTAACCTCCAGAAATGTTTGACAATAGATTTATGTTGCTGAAGCCACTCAGTTTGTGGCATGTTGTAATTGTAGACCCAGAAAACTACTACAGTTACCAGCAGAACGAAGTGTCAGAAAATGTTTTTTTAGCAATAGTTTTCATTTATTATCATACGATAACTTAAATAAAATAGCATTTGCAAATTTATGTTTCCCTTATTGAAGTTGCTTTGTAGGATTCTTCCTCTAAGTTCTGTTTCCCATCTTGCATTTTCAATTCTTCAGAGATATAGACCAGTGGAACAGAACAGAGCCCTCAGAAATAATGCCACACATCCACAACCATCTCATCTTTGACAAACCTGACAAAAACAAGAAATGGGGAAAGGATTCACTATTTAATAAATGGTGCTGTGAAAACTGGCTAGTCATATGTAGAAAGCTGAAACTGGAACTCTTCCTTACACCTTATACAAAAATTAATTCAAGATGCATTAAAGACTTAAATGTTAGACCTAAAACCATAAAAACCCTAGAAGAAAACCTAGGCAATACCATTCAGGACATAGGCATGGGAAATGACTTCATGTCTAAAACACCAAAAGCAATGGCAACAAAAGCCAAAATTGACAAATGGGATCTAATTAAACTAAAGAACTTCTGCATGGCAAAAGAAACTACCATCAGAGTGAACAGGCAACTACAGAATGGGAAAAAATTTTTGCAATCTACTCATTTGACAAAGGGCTAATATCCAGAATCTACAAAGAACTTGAACAAATTTACAAGAAAAGAACAAACAACCTCATCAAAAAGTGGGCAAAGGATACGAACAGACACTTCTCGAAAGAAGGCATTTATGCAGCCAAAAGACACATGAAAAAATGCTCATCATCACTGGCCATCAGAGAAATGCAAATCAAAACCACAATGAGATACCATCTCACACCAGTTAGAATGGCGATCATTAAAAAGTCAGGAAACAACAGGTGCTGGAGAGGATGTGGAGAAATAGGAACACTTTTACACCGTTGGTGGGACTGTAAACTAGTTCAACCATTGTGGAAGACAGTGTGGCGATTCCTCAAGGACATAGAACTAGAAATACCATTTGACCCAGCCATCCCATTACTGGGTATATACCCAAAGGATTATAAATCATGCTGCTATAAAGACACATGCACACATATGTATATTGCAGCACTATTCACAATAGCAAAGACTTGGAACCAACCCAAATGTCCATCAATGATAGACTGGATTAAGAAAATGTGGCACATACACACCATGGAATACTATGCAGCTATAAAAATTGATGAGTTCATGTCCTTTGTAGGGACATGGATGAAGCTGGAAACCATCATTCTCAGCAAACTATCACAAGGACAAAAAACCAAACACGCTCATAGGTGGGAATTGAACAATGAGAACACTTGGACACAGGAAAGGGAACATCACACACTGGGGCTTGTTGTGGGGTGGGGGGAAGGGGGTGGGATAGCATTAGGAGATATACCTAATGTAAATGATGAGTTAATGGGTGCAGCACACCAACATGGCACATGTATACATATGTAACAAACCTGCACTTTGTGCACATGTACCCTAGAACTTAACGTATATTAAAAAAATAAAAAATAAAATGAAATAAAGTAAAATAAGCCAAGCACAGAAAAAAAAAAAAGCCCATAGACATGGGGACATGAGAAGTTTTTCCACTTAAATACATTTTCTTTTTGTTTTTTCAATAATGTTTGTAGTTTGTAGTGTGCAGGTCTTTCATGTTTGTCTTTGTATCTTAAATCTTAAGCATTCATATGATTCTTACTTTATTTGTAAATTTTAAATAACCTTCGACTATTAGCAATTAGAAATAAAGTCTTTAGCATGCTAACTTTTCTGCAACCCCTTCTCTCCTTCCTAACTTTGCTTCTTGTGTCATTTCCACATCATTAGAGTAAATACGTATATATACTGTGTTGTTAGTCTAATCACCACGTTTGTTTTAGTTTCAGTTCTGTGGTTAAATGTATGTAATGAACACAGAAGGCATTTTTCAATTGGATGAAGTCTATTTTTTTCCAGAACGGTATTCCTTGGACTTTTGGAAGTTAGCATCTAGGTTTATAAGTGAAATAGGCTTATAGTTTTATTTCTTATATTTCCATTTGGACTTGTAACCAAGGTTATAGTAGCTTATAAATGAATTGGATGGCTTTCTTTTTTATATTTTCTATAATTATCTGCATAATATAGAGATATTCTATTACTTAATTTTTTGGTAAAATTCTTCTATCATCTATGAGATTTTCCAGGGGAAAGTCTTTGATCTCTATTGCCATTTTTTTAAATGATTATCAGTGTATTTATTTTCTTTTTCCTCATATCAATTTTGGCATTTTCAGAAAGCACCCATTTCATCTATGCTTTGAACTGTCTGCATATATTTTTATAATATTTTTCTTGTTTTAAATCCTGTGATATCTGTAATTATTTGGCAATTTTTTCTGTACTTTGGCAATTTTTTCTGTACTTTATATATTTTTTTCTCTCTTATTGTCTAATCTAGATCAGTCTCAATAGAGGTTTGTCTCTCATAAATCTTTTAAAACCAGTTCTTAATTTTGTTCTCTACTAGAGGCCTTTCAACATCGATTAATAATGCTAATGTTCTCCAGACGCTTTGGTTATAAACATTTTTTCTGTATATATAAATTCAAAATATAATAAAGCAAATCAATTTTTTTTACATGTAGATAGTGCACAAGACCAATGGGGTTTCTTTCTTATTATGACCAGTATTTTCATTTGTCTGGCCCTCTTATACATATTTAGTGCCTAAATCATGTCATTGTTATCACCGTTATTATGATGGACAAATCATTAGAACCTCAAAGTGTCTGAGTCGCCCATGCAACAGCTATCTTCCCAGGGGTCACCACATCACAACAAATAGCATTCTCCCTAATATAAATCATGTTTCCCAAGAAAACAAAAATACTCCTATTGATAAAAATGCATGCCGTGACAGAACTTCCTATACTTACTTGTTTTGTCGTGGTGGTTGTTAAAAAATAAAGGGAAAGCCAAGTGAACTCTTTCAAAAATTTTTTATTGAGGCAATGAAACTAAACTTAGAATCACATGATTTAGTGTGGTTTGGTGTTAAAAGTGACCATAGAAATAAAATAGTTCATTGCCCTCATTTTGCAATTGAGAAAGGCTTGGCCTGGAGAACTGACATGTACTGACATGTACAAGATGACGCAGTGAGAACCAGAACTCTTTCAGACCACTGATTACAGCTTGAGAATAAACTGATTTTTTTTTTCTTACTGGAACACACTAGAAAAGAAGCAAAATTTCCAGAAACTATAAACTTAGTAGTGATGGTAATGACAGGAGAAAATAATGTTTTTAAAAATTCAGCTTTATAAGTATTAAATAAAGTAGATGTCAATGTTGATAAAACAAGTTTGCTGTGGGTATTTAATTCAAGACAGGTCCGGTTTATAATCACTTTCAGAATACTATCTGGTTACACTTGGGCAGATGCAATGCTATATGTAATTATATTCAGACAATTACTTTATGAGTCCCACACAACTATATTCAGGCATACCTCATTTTATTAGACTTCACTTTATTGCACTTCACTGATATTGCATTTTTTTGCAAATGGAAGGTTTGTGGCAACCCTGTACTGAGCAAGTTTATCAGCATCATTTTTTTAACAGCATGTGCTCACTTTGTGTCTCTGTGTTATATTTTGACAATCCTCACATATTTCAATTATTTGTTTTCATTATTATTATATCTGCTATGGTAACCTGTGATCAGTAATCGTTGATGCCACTATTGTAATTGCTTTGGAGTGCCACAAACTGCAATCATATATGATGGTAAACTTAATTAACAAATGCTGTATGTGGACTGACAGCTTCACCAACCAGTTGTTCCCCCATCTGTCTCCCTCTTCTCAGGCCTATTTCCTGAAATATAACGGTATGAAAATGAGGCCAATGAATAACCCTACAATGGCCTCTAAGTGTTCAACTGAGAGGAATAGTTGCATATCTCCCACTTTAAGTCAAAAGCTAGAAATGATTATGTTCAGTGAGGAAGATATATAGAAAGCTCAGATAGGATGCAATCTAGGCCACTTGTGCTGAATAGTTAGCCAAGTTGTGAAAACAAAGGAAAAAATTCTTGAAGGAAATTAAAAGTGCTACTCTCTTTAATTCTGTGAAGTGTCAGAGGGATGGCAAAGCTTCAGAGGAAAAGGTTGAAATTAGCAATTGTTGGCTTATGAAGTTTAAGGAAAGAAGTCATCCTCATAACATGAGTGCAAGGTAAAGCAGCAAGTGCGGATGTGGAGGCTGCAGCAAACTTTCCAGAAGATCTAACTGAGATAATGGAGGAAGGTGGCTATGCTAACAACAGATTTTCAATGCAGATGAAACAGCTTTCTGTTGCAAAAATATGCCATCTAAAACTTTCATGGCTGGAAAGAAGTCAATGTCTGGCTTCAAAACTGCAAAGGATTAGTGCAGAGAGGCAGATCTCTTGTGAGGGACTAATGCAGCTGATGACTTTTAAGTTGAAGCCGATTCTCCCTTACCATTCTGAAAATCCTAGAGCTCTTTGCCTGTGCTCTATAAATGGAACAACAATTTCCATTTTGCTGGAAATGGAAGAGAGAGCTGGATTATAGCATATCTATTTACAGCATAGTTTACTAAATATTTTAAGCCCACTCTGGAGACCTACTGCTCGGAAAAAAAAAAAAAATTTCTTTCAAAATACTACTTACATAACAATGCACCTGATTACCTAAGAGCTCGGATGAAGGTGTACCAGGAGATTCATGTTGTTTCCATGCCTCATAATACAACATCCATTCTGCTACACATAGTTCATGGAGTAATTTTGACTTTCAAATCTTTTTATTTAAAAATACATTTTATGAGGCTGTAGCTGCTATCCATAGTAATTCCTCCGACGGATCTAGGCAAAGTCAATTGGAAATCTTATGGAAAGAATTCTCACCTGTTTAGATGGCATTAAAATATTTGTGATTCATGGGAGGAAGTCAACATATTAAAGTTAACAGGATTTTTGGAAGAGGTTGATTCCAACTCTCATAGATAATTTTGAGGTATTCAAAACCACAGTGAAGGAAGTAATTGCAGATGTGGTAGAAATAGCAAAATAAATAAAATTAAAAGTGGAGCCTGAAGACGTGAGTGAATTCCTGAAATCTCATGATCAAAATTGAACAAATAAGATGTTGATTCTTATGGATTGGCAAAGAAAGTGCTTTCTTGAGATGAAGTCTACTTCTGGTGAAGATGCTGTGAACATTGTTGAAATGACAGCAAAGGACCTAAAATATTATATAAACTTAGTTGATAAAGCCGCACCAGGGTTTGAGAGGACTGATTCCGATTTTGAAATAAGTTCTACTGTAAGTTAAATGTTATAAAACAAAAGTGTTTGCTACCAAGAATTCTTACATGAAAGGAATAGTCAATTGATGCAACAAATTTATCGTTGTCTTATTTTCAGAAATTTCTACAGCCACCACAAACTTCAGCAACCTTTACTCTGATCAGTCAGCAACCATTCATATTGAGGCTAGACCCACCTCTAGCCAAAAAATTACAACTCACTGAAGGCTCAGAGGAGATGATCGTTAGCATTTCATAACAGTAAAATATTTTTCATTAAGGTATATGCATTTTTAGACACAATGCAGTTTCACAGTTAATAGACTACATTATTGTGTAAATATAACTTTTATATCTACTGAGAAACCAAAAATTTGTGCGACTCGCTTTATTACAATATTCACTTTGTTGCCCTGGTCAAGGAACTGAACCTATAACATCTCCGAGGTATGCCTATATTTCAAAAAAGAAGTCTTAAGAACATTACCCAACTTCCTGAAAAAATGTTAGATTTTAAGCTTTGCATCATTTTATTTGCTGTGACTCGGCACATAATAAATGTGTCTCTTGATATGATTTTCTTCCCAAATAATGTAGAATGAAGTTTCTTTCATGTAGATGGGTAGTAATTATGTTAATGGTGATAAAAATGCTGATCAGGAAGAGATGAGTCAATCAGCTTCAAAGAAACTTAAGAAAAATCAATATATTTATTAAAAATGAGCAGTTCGCTGTAAGCACAGATGAAGAAGAATTATTCTGTGTTATGTGGAATATCACCACAGGGAACAATTTCACTGAACTGTAAGAGTGGTGGGGGATGAGGAGGGTGTCTCTTGGGGACCCCTGGTGTTTCTATAATTGAATAAAAGATAAAGGATTGATAAATGACTCAGATTTCTTAGTGTAAGATGCTCCTATTTAACCAGTAATAATTTTTAACAATTCAATTTTCTTTTTTTTTTTGTACTTTAAGTTTTAGGGTACACGTGCACAACATGCAGGTTTGTTACATATGTATACATGAGCCATGTTGGTGTGCTGCACCCATTAACTCGTCATTTAACATTAGGTATATCTCCTAATGCTATCCCTCCCCCTTCCCCCGACCCCACAACAGGCCCTGGTGTCTGTTCCCCTTCCTGTGTCCCTGTGTCCATGTGTTCTCATTGTTCAATTCCCACCTATGAGTGAGAACATGCAGTGCTTGGTTTTTTGTCCTTGCAATAGGTTGCTGAGAATGATGGTTTCCAGCTTCATCCATGCCCCTACAAAGGACATGAACTCATCCTTTTTTATGGCTGCATAGTATTCCATGGTGTCTATGTGCCACATTTTCTTAATCCAGTCTATCATTGATGGACATTTCGGTTGGTTCCAAGTCTTTGCTATTGTGAATAGTGCTGCAATAAACATATGTGTGCATGTGTCTTTATATCAGCATGATTTATAATCCTTTGGGTATATACCCAGTAATGGGATGACTGGGTCAAATGGTATTTCTAGGTCTAGATCCCTGAGGAATCGCCGCACTGACTTCCACAATGGTTGAACTAGTTTACAGTCCCACCAACAGTGTAAAAGTGTTCCTATTTCTCCATATCCTCTCCAGCGCCTGTTGTTTCCTGACTTTTTAATGACCGCATTTCTAACCGGTGTGAGATGGTATCTCATTGTGGTTTTGATTTGCATTTCTCTGATGGCCAGTGATGATGAGCATTTTTTCATGGGTCTTTTGGCTGCATAAATGTCTTCTTTGGAGAAGTGACTGTTCATATCCTTCTCCCACTTTTTGATGGGGTTGTTTGTTTTTTTCTTGTAAATTTGTCAATTTTCTAAGAAAAAATAATTCACCTTTTCCTGTCCACATTATTTAGCATGATATTTATGTAGTTTTCCAAAATATTCTATTTTTAAATGCACTGACTTTATTTTTATATCATAGATACATTTATATATAAAGTATTTCAAGATGAATTTGAGACAAATTGAAGTAACAAAGCTTGATTTCCCTTCTGCATACAATATTCTCTATAATTACAATGTAGGTTTTGGCGACTTGTTTTGACTAACATAGCTATGCCATCATTTAAATATCTGTATGCCTTTGTTTTCTGTAAATTAAAATTCAGACATACAAATAAATATAAGGAGAGTTAGGAGAACAGTGATAAAAGATAAAATGGCACCACAGTAATTCCTAAATAAGGGATGGTGGTTTTTCTCTATTTGTTTGCTTCTTATAAACAGTATTTTCTTATATCCTATTTTTTCTTGCAAAGATGTTAATATAACTGCAGAGTGGATAATTTAATTTTGTTTATTCACTCTCTGATATCAATGTTTCTTTGTTCATTAGGAAGATCCTTCTTCTAAGCCTTTTAATTTTCTGTTAGGCATAGAGGTTTCCTATTATTTGCAAATCTGTGCTAAACTTATATTTCTACCTAAGGAATAGTGTATCCACTAAAAGCCATTCAAAAGTATGCACATTTTAAAAATCTACAACATACACATGTATATATTTGAGAAAATATATACGTATATATTTGAGAAAATATATACGTATATATTTGAGAAAATATGTATGTATATATTTGAGAAATATGTATGTATATATTTGAGAAAAAATATATATGCATATATTTGAGAAAATATATGCATATATATTCTGCTTTGGTAGTGATAATACTACTAACTTTTTTTAAAGAATTAAAACTCAAAGCCAAAAATTAGTACAATTTTCCAGGATATGTGAAAAATTGTCTTCCAAATAAAAAGGTAAAATAGTTTAAAAATATACCTAACTTGTTTTATCATGGGTAATACATACTTCTAAAATTGATCAAACTTAAAATAGTTATTTTTATTTACTTTTTTTCTTTTAGAGATGAGGTCTCATTCAGTAATATTTTTTAAAATGTTTTCTTTCTAGCTTCAAAGCTACTGGAGTAATAGTAATGGTATTGATTGTACTTTGAAGTGAAATAGTTCGACTACATAATAATTTTAAGTATTTACGTAAGGATGTTTGCAATTTTAAAAATAATTTGTTACCATTACATTGTCTTAAATCTTGAATTTTCAGTTAGCTAAATGCATCAATATAGGAGACAAAAAATGTGATTTAGTTCAGATCAGAACAAAAGGTATTAACCTGTGTATGCAACTCTTTCTCAAGATACTCTTATTGTCCACTTTTTAGTTTTTCTATACTTAACTATTTTCTTTTTCTCTATCTAAAAGAATGAATTTTACTCTTACACTAAAGAATAAATGGTGTAAGTATTCTCACTCTTTTCTGAAGTAACATTTATTGCTAAAACCTGTTTCACAGGATTCTAATTTTAAATAGAATCTATAAAATCATGTCTTTCATGGGTATCTTTTATATAGTAAATTAATAAAAAGAGAGATCATGTAAAAATTAGGAAATATGTTAATTGAAATAAAATGTTAACAAGTCAAAAATCATACTAGGATGTTTATAACTAATACGAGTACAAATAATGAGAGATACAAATATATTGTGCATGTATAACTAGCAGTTCTAAATAAAGGATGTTTTGTTGGTTTACTCACTTAATATTTTATCTTTTATGCTTTTTGAGAGTAAAAAGCATATGCTTTTATGCTTTTTCAAGAAGTAAAAAGCACAAGTCCACAGCTTGATTAATATTTACATATTTAATCACAACCTAGATAATGATATAGAGTATTTCACCCAATAATGTTCCCTTATGCTCAGTTTTAGTCAATATCCACATCTGCCCCTCTTTGAAAAGCTTTCTTTCACTTTCTAGCACCATCAATTAGTTTTGCCTATTCTTGAACATAATCTTTACCAGGACAGAGAAAGCTGTGTTAGCGTTCTCATCATAGAACAATTTATTATCAGTCATACTTAATCGCAAGCTTCTCTAGTAAAATGTGTGGCAGTGCTACTCCAGCGATAGCACCGACAGAGTAAAATGTCAGATCATAACACCTATATGACTATATGTTTTGCTCCATGGAGCACTGTAATTTGTGTACAAAGAAGCAAAAGAAAAAAACAAACTGGAGAAAGTTGCAGCTTTTATAGGACAAACAGACAAATGATTATTGGTGGAATATGCCCAACTATAAAGAAGTTCACCTTGTGTGCTTTATAGGACATTACTCTCAGAGAGAAGACTTCCTTGTCTTCATTTACTCACAGAATCCTCAGGAAAAAAATCAAAGAGCCTGCCTTTATGAATGCTTTGTGTATATATACTTTGGATTAACATACATAAGGAGTTATGCTGGAGCTTTAATGTACAAGCAGAGATGGAAAATGCAACCTTCAACCTGTTCAAGGTAAATTTAGATCCTTTTATACAGTCTCTGGAAATTCTGCCCTTTTAAGAAAAGAGACTTTAAGAATCCTGTACATTTGACCAGAGAAGCAACAAAGAAACATTCTCTCCAGAGTTTTTGATGGAAAGAAAAGCTAACTTTCCCTTAAAGAATCAATAAATAGGCTGGGTGCGTCTCACGCCTGTAATCCCAGAACTTTGGGAAGCTGAGGCGGGAGGATCACTTGAGGTCAGGAGTTCAAGACCAGCCTGGCCAACATGGTGAAACCCTGTCTTTACTAAAAATACAAAAATTAGCCAGGCATGGTGGTGGGCACTTATAATCCCAGCAACTCGGGAGGCTGAGCAGGAGAATCACTTGAACCCAGGAGGCAGAGGTTGCAGTGAGCCGAGTTCATGCCATTGCACTTCAACCTGGGCGACAAGAGCGAAACTCCGCCTCAAAAAAAAAAATCAATAAATATGCCTGCATATACATACATGCACACACCAAATTTTCATGGATTTTGATGTGAGGGCGGTCCTAGTGTAGAAATTAATATTAAAATACTACCTTAAGACTAGGAAACTCAGGGAAAATGCAAAAACATAATCCATACTATTGCAACATCTTTTCAAACCTTATAAACACACAAATAAATACTCACTAGAACAGCTCTGTTAGGTAGTTTATTCTAATCCCCATGAATGTGAATTTAATGTGATATCATGCTCTAATTTTGTTCCATCATATGACAAAAGAGATTTTGCAAATCTAATTAAAGTTACTAATTAATTTATTGTGAGTTTTAAAAAGAGAGGATGTCTGCCTGAGATTGTCTGTGTGAGGGATATTGCAAGTGTGAAAGATTTAAAACTCCATTGCTGGTTAGAAAATATAGGGAGTTACATAAGGAGAAATATGAGCTGCCCTTCAAGGCTGAGAGCCGCCCCCAGCTGACAGTCCTCATTAATTGGGGTCCTCAGTCTCACAAAGACTGAATTCTACCAAAAAATTGAATGAGCTTGGAAGTAGAATTTTCCCTAGGTCCTATTGATGAGTCTGGTTATGCCAACACTTTGGTTCCAGCCCCCTGAGACCTTAGCAAAGAATGCGCAGGAGCCTGTATTAGAACAATTCTCCAGGAGACCTTGGACAGACTGAGTTTTTCCTGCTTTCTTGCTTGTAGTTCTCAAGAATAACTGTAAATGTGCTGGCAACGCAGTATCTTGAAATAGGGGGAACTTTCTGAAACAGCCGGAGCCTTGTTCCTGTCCCTCCTAGGGGACTTCCAGAACAGCCCCAATATTGTCCCTCTCTCCCCAGGGAGCAAGATGTCCTTCAAAGCTTTGCCCAATGAGTCATGTGACCCCTGAGTGTATAACCTAGGGTGGGCTGCTTTTTCCGGGTCTCTCAGCTGTGGTGGAAGTGGGGCACCTGCAGTTGAGACTTCATCCACCCTGGGAAGCTGTCTTGAGCCTTGAGGACTGCTTGCAATGAATCCTGGGCCTCTTTTGTCCCTTGCTGCCTACCTATTAAGTAATAAACCCACTTCATGTAGCCCGTTGCATATGAGTGTGTTATGTCTCACTGAACTCAGAGAAGTTGGTATTAGGTTGGTGCAAAAGGAATTGCGGTTTTTGCATTGTTGGAATTTGCCGTTTGATATTAGAATACATTCTAAAATAAATGTGGTTATGTTATACATCATTTTAGTGGGCATTTCTTGTTTTATGTCTTTTTTGCTAATGATTTATTATTTGCTGTCTATTTTATGTTTATTTTGGACTACAGAAATCATGTTGGACAAAAAGCAAATTTGAGTTATTTTCTTAATCGAGTTCAAAATGGGTTGTAAAGCAGCAGAGACAACTCGCAACATCAAAAACACATCTGGCCCAGGACCTGTTAACAAAGGTACATTGCAATGGTGGTCCAAGAAGTTTTGCAAAGGAGATGAGAGCCTTGAAGATGAGGCACATAGTGGCCATCCATCGGAACTTGACAGCGACCAATTAAAAGCAATCATTGCCAGGCGTGGTGGCTCATGCCTGTAATCCCAGCACTTTGGGAGGCCGAGGCAGGTGGATAACTTTGAGCTTAGAAGTTCGAGAACAGCCTGAGCAACATGACGAAACCCCATCTCTACTAAAAATACAAACATTAGCTGGGCATTGTGGTGCGCACCTGTAATCCCAGCTACTCAGGTGTCTCAGGCTGAAGAATCACCTGAACCCTGGAGTCAGAGGTTGCAGTGAGCCAAGATCGCCCCACTGACAGCCTGGATGACAGAGCAAGACTCCATGTCAAAAATAAATAAATAAATAAATAAATAAAATAAAAAAAAACAAAGACAAGAAAGTAATTATCGAAGATGATCCTCTTACAACAAAGAACTCAACATCAACCATTCTATGGTTGTTTGGCATTTGAATTAAATTGGAAAGGTGAAAAAGCTCGATAAGTGGATGGCTCATGAGCTTAGCAAAAATAAAAAAAAATGTTTTGAAGTGTCATCTTCTCTTATTCTACCCAACAAACCATTTCTCAAGGAGATTGTGATGTGCGACGAAAAGTGGATTTTATATGACAACTGGCAAGGACCAGTTCAGTGGTTGGACTGAGAAGAAGCTCCAAAACACGTCCCAAAGCTGAACTTGCATCAAAAAAAAAGTCGTGGTCCACTAGGGCCTGTCGGGGGCTGGGGGGCTGGAGGGCTGGGGGAGAGATAGCATTAGGAGAAATACATAATGTAGATGATGGGTTGATGGGTGCAGCAAACCACCATGGCACGTGTATACCTATGTAACAAACCTGCACGTTCTGCACATGTATCCCAGAACTTAAATTATATTTAAAAAAAAAAAAAAAGGTCGTCATCACCGTTTGGTGATCTGCTGCTGGTCTGATCTACTACAGCTTCCTGAATCCAGGTGAAACCATTACATCTGAGAAGTATGTTCAGCAAATGGATGAGATGCACCAAAAACTGTCCTGCAGCCGGCATTGGTCCACAGAAAGGGCCCAATTCTTCCCCACAACAATGCTCAACTACATGTCGCACAACCAATGCCTTGAAAGTTGAATAAATTGGGCTACAAAGTTTTGCCTCATCTGCCATATTCACCTGACCATGCTACAGTTTAAACAAAACTTTCATGTTACATAACATGGCTTGTTATTTTTCTAACATTCATTAAGAGTTTCATCACCCTTTCTACTTAGCACCAAAACTAGCACCATAATTTTTGTTATAAAAGTACTCATTCCTGGTATTAATTCTTGTATCTGTCAATTTACCCAAGCTATGCAGCCGTAAAAGGGTCCTAAAATTTCAGCATCTTACAAGAACAAATATTTATTTATCATTCACGTTACATATGTGTTACTGATTGAGTTCAGTTAACTCTTCTACTTCTTCATGAAGAGGCATAGGCTGAAGAAATAGCTTAAGACACATTGCAGGCTATTCTTTTGCCAGAGGTAAAGGGGAGAATACAGAGGAACCCAATGATGGCTGTTCTTCTAGTAAAATTTAATCTCCCCCATTTATATTTCTTTAACTAAAGCAAGTCCCACAGTCAAGCATATGATCAATGAACAAGCATGTATAATCTTCCCACAAGAAAGGGAAGTTCATATTTTGCGCATTATAAGCTATCAGCAGCAGTGTTTTTCACTTTTTCATTCCTTTTTTTTTTTTTTGTCTTTGATGGATATAATTCCTTCAAATATTCCTGAAGTAGATACTTGGGATTTTGTGTTGTACAAAAGAAGCCCATTCCTTGTTCTGAGTAAGCTCATAATTTAATGCATAATGCAAGCTTACAAACTGAGATAAATGCTTTGAAGACAAGTGGGAATGATGTGATTGAAGATGAACAGATTTTAACCAAGTGAAGAGTAGAGGGGAGTTCTTTCTCCTAAGACAGAATAGATGTTATAAGAACAACCCTCCTACCAAGTCCTACTTAGGATAGCTAGATAAAGTTCAAAAGCCACCTGTTTGGAGTTACTACAGAGAAACAAAGGCAGCTGAGTCACAGTCTTCTTCAAATCACCAGACAGAGGGGAAGTACATTTCGGTGAACCTAACATTTCACCAACTTTGCCCTCAGAGTTTTTGCCAATTTGTATGCAGCCTGTGTATGGCTGAAAGGCAAGCAGAAGGTGCTACAAGTGGCTGAAAAGTTTGGTAGTTTAGGCAGTTTCATGAGGCTGATAAGGCCAAAAAAAAAAAAAAGTCACAATTTCCAAAGCAGCCAGAGTATAAAAATTAAGAACCCAGAGAGAATGAAAGACAAAGAGAATAAAGAGTGAACACCGCTTTCATTCTTGAGCCATTTCTTAATTGGTAAGCAGGGCGGGACTGAGGAAGTGAGGAGAGTTTCCAGCAGTCTCATAGAACAATGGAAAAAGTAAGCAGATTTCAGGGCTTTCCAAGAAGACGATTGAGTTGAGATCCTTGAAAATTTTCCTCTAAAAGTAAGTAGCACTGGGAACACAAGGATTCTATAATGAACAAAATCCATCTCGGCTTAGCTCCATGCTGTGATAAAGTGATTTTCTCCTGCTTTAATTGCATACTAGACATAAAGATAACTTTTTTTTGGTAGAATGGTAACATCTTGCAGAATTGGCAATATTTTTTTTTTCACACAATGTATAGTATTTAATACAAATTTACCAGTCAAGTCCGGGTGTGGTGGCTCATGCCTGTAATCCCAGCACTTTGGGAGGTCGAGGTGGGCAGATCACGAGGTCAGGAGATCGAGTCCACCCTGGCTAACACGGTGAAACACCTTCTTTACTAAAAATACAGAAAAAATTTAGCCAGGTTTGGAGGCGGGCACCCAGCTACTTGGGAGGCTGAGGCAGGAGAATGGCGTGAACCTGGCAGGTGGAGCTTGCAGTGAGCGGAGTTCGCGCCACTGCACTCCAGCCTGGGCAACAGAGCAAGACTCCATCTCCAAAAAAAAAAAAAAAAATTACCAGTCAAACCAGGAGACAGGGCTATGAGGCAAAAAAATAAAAAAATAAAAATAAAAATAAAATTAAATAAATCAGTGGAGCAGAACCACAGTTGACCTAGTTACTAGAGTGATCAAAATGATGATGATGATTATTATTTTTTTTGAGATGGAGTCTCGCTCTTTTTGCCTAGGCTGGAGTGCAATGGCACGATCTCAGCTTACTGCAACTTCCACCTCCAGGGTTCAAGCGGTTCTCCTGCCTCAGCCTCCTGAGTAGCTGGGACTACAGGCATGCGCCACCATGCTCAGCTAATTTTGTATTTTTAGTAGAGACGGGGTTTCACCATATTGGCCAGGCTGGTCTCAAACCCTTGACCTTGTGATCTGCCCGCCTCGACCTCCCAAAGTTCTGGGATTACAGGTGTAAGCCACCATGCCCGGCCCGATTAAATTTAAATATATGAAAAATTAAGATATATGACAGCAATAGTAAAAAATTTAAAAGCACGGTAAGTGACATGTCCTAAGGCCTTTCATTATTTAGAAAGTGCTAGAATATGTAATCTAGATTAAAATGTAGCTTGTTAAGGATGCATATTATAATATCTAAAGAAAACACTAAGTTGTAAAATATTGCATAACAAGCTAACAAAGGAGGCATTTGAGTAGCAATATTTGATAAGTTGTTAATTTGATTTTTTTTCACGTTTGATTAGAACAGGATGTTAATGCTATCCAGTGTCTCTGGGAATGAGGTTGGTGGACAGCTACTTAAAGAAGCACAAAAGAACAAATTGCAGAATCAAATTTCTTGATTAGAATCCCAGTTCCACCACTTAGTATCTACATGGTCTTAAAATATTCTTAACCTGCTATACCATCATTTCATCATCTATTGTCACACGGTGATAATAATAATGATTATGGAATAGATTTTAGTGAATATTAAATAAGACATCCATATCAATGCACTAACAACAATCCCTGGCACAGAGTTTGTGCTTTATAAATATCATTCATTATGATAAAAATATTTAAAATCTAATTTCAGTTTCTATTTAGACTTTCTAAGTGGCTGAGGGCCAGAAGAATAATTAATTAAATACTTATTTTGAGAAACACTACAATATACACAATGCAAATTAATATTCAGTCGTTATTTTTAATGAACTAAAACAAATATAGTTAAGAACTGAAAATTTAGTGTATACTATATCACATTTAAAAGAAATTTAAAACTGACTGCTTTGACATTTCTAACATACAACCATAATTGTATTGTTACAGAGTCTCAATCCTAAATGAACTATTTAGCTTGAAGAAAAGATTTTAAGAAAACTTAAAACATATATTTAAAATGGAAATCAAAAAACCTTCCAGTGAATGAGATGACTGAGTTTATATTGTACCAGTCAATTTCATTTTGAATAATTTCTAAACCGTAAAGGCTTAAATAGTAAAACTGTGACCACAATCTATACATTTTACACATCCATTGAACATTTTCTGGAGTAGCTTGATGTGCTGTGCATTATGAAGTAAATAGATAAGTGAAGCTCACAATTTAGTTTTTATTTATTTTGTTTGATTTTGTTGTCTTCCATTTATTTCTCTACATCAGGTAGGTAGAAAAAATTTGTTTTATTGGTGAACAGAAGTCACTTGCCACTAATAGTTGGCTAAAGAATTGACAAATCCCGGATTAATTGGTTTATAAAAGGAGAAAAACTGCAGATTGTCTAAGGAGTAAGGTAGCTCAAACAAAATATATTATTGCATGAAGTTTTCCCTAAGGAAGAGTTTGATAGCTGTAACCTGAAGCTATCTGAGGTCTCAGCCCATGCAGTCGCCTCAGATATAACAGAATTCTTCAGTAAATGGTGAAGACTTTATTCTTCCTAGATTTAGAAAGATTTATTATAGGAAATATTCAGGTGTAAGGTATTGAACCAAACAGAATAATTCAACAATTACCAATTCAAATCAGTGGTGAACATCTTCATTACTATTCAAAAAGTGGTTATTGTCTTAATAAATCTATATTAATTTTCTCAGTTTTCTCAAATATGACTTTGTTTGATAATAATTCCATTTAGCATCAATATTATTTCTGACTTTTGAAAAATAAACTCTGTATTTTGAGAAGCATAATTTGTATACTTAAAGTTTCTGTTTCAGTTAATTGAATGACTTATATGGACTTGCACTGAGTGTGTGAAAATAGAAATATCATTATGCTAGACTTCTCATCTGAGCCCTGTTATGGGAAAAATGCTATTAAATACCACTGGCATATTGCTATTCACAAATCCTATATTTTCTATGTTCAAACAACTCTTTCTTTGTTTTGTAGGCTGAAATGGAAGGAAAGAACATGAATTGAATATTTCATGCTGTGCAGGTATGTATAATTCATGATCAACTTCTTCAAAAAGAAATAGATAAGAAGTACTGAAAGCTATAAATGAAATATTTTTATACTTAACAGATACACCGCATAAAGATCTTTTAAGTTTTATCTGCAGTGATACCATGAAAAATTACAAAAATAACAAGCCACTAAGTATGAATCAGACAGAGAGTGAAATAGAAAAGAGAGTTAAACAGAACAATGGATAGCTGTCCATATAAAATGTAGAAGTAGTTTTCTCACAAGTAACAAATGAAAGTGTTAGCAAAGTTTGTAACAAGATATTTGAGTAAATTATTCACTTCTTCCTTTTTTCTTGTGAATGCAATGTGAATGGTAAAGTTTTTAAAAGAGGACATTTCAAAATTCCTCTTAAAATGTAAAAGATAACTATGGTCAGTTCCTTCCTTCACTCAACTGTTCATTCATTTATTAGCTCCACAAATCTTTATCGAGTAGCCACCATTTACCAATGTTTATAAGTGGAATGACCGTATAATTTATCATCCAAACCAAGACAATTTTCAGTGTAAAGAGGAGACATACACAGAATATTTTGGCAACAGTTTGAAAGTAAAACTGGCTCTGACAAAGCAGGCGATACGAACACCCCCTTATAAAACTTGCTCTTTGAACTTAAGGGCTTCACAGCATATCATTTTATACTCGAAAAGGAACATAAAACTCTAATGTGGAATGACAACCACATGGGCAGCTCCAGGTTGACAGAAGTGTGTATAGGATGAAAACTGACCTAGTTGTTTGAGGTCATGAAAAGATTTTTAGAGAAAGTAACTTTAAGCTGAGGAAAAGATAATATTGGTTAAATTTCAACTGTGTGATAATTACATATTGGGCTTAGTAAAACACTAAAAATAAATTTGAATCCTCCAACCAAATAAATCATGCAGTATAGGAAAAGATTATACAACATCTTCATGAAAACAAAATGAAGTTTTGGTGTTTGTGTGCCAAAAATTATAGAGTAGGTAGAAATACCCAGTCTGAGGCCTAGGTCTGAATTATTAAAGAAAACTGCTGAAGTACCATAAAAATTCTGTTATCCTAATAAAATCGTTCAATTCTGATTAATATCATAAGCTATAAAATGGTGTTCCCAATTATAAATACAGCAGAATAGTTCTGCACCACCTTTTATTGAAGTAGTGCTCCTGCTGTCTGAAAACAAGTTTAAGGCACTCGCCGTCAGTATTTCTTTTAGCCTATTCCTCATTTTATGTTACAGTCAGGCAGTGAAACTAGAACACAAGGTTTTTACTGTCTTGTTACATACCTAAAAGGATGTTTAGAAACTCCTAATAGAGAAAAAAATCTAAATGATACAGGAATGGTGCCTTGTCTTGTCAGCATTAAAAGCTGCATATTATTTTCCAGAATCACAAAATAACATTTTACTATATCTTACTAATTAGAGCAAAAAATAAAAATCATATATATGTATACATGTGCACATTTAAATACACATATACTATATAATTATGTATATATACACATCTAAAAATTTAAAAAGTTCTTGCTAAAAGTTCACTCAAAATATTTTACAACACTCATAAGTGTTCTCTCAAGATTTTTATTAGTATTTTATATATCTTAATGGGTTATTAGAAATAAAAATAAATTTAACATTAAGATTGAGAACTGGATATTTACTGGGAAATCTATTCTTATTGTACAGAAGAAAAGTTAAGGTGCTTCATACAAAGTAGCAATACTAATTATGATCCATGAAGCCTTGATTCCATATCCAATTCACAAAGTATAAGCATGGTTTTATTAATTGCTCATAAATATGCTTATTCAATGACTATTTTGTAAAATTCAGTAAGTAACTATAAATGCTGAATTTGTTTTAACGGAAGAGCAGTTAAATAGCCATAGCTATGTGTTTACAGCATAGTAATTGATTCCTTGATCTAACCGGCTTTCATCACCAATGAATTTCAG
Organism: Homo sapiens; assembly: GCF_000001405.40. Taxonomy (NCBI): domain Eukaryota; kingdom Metazoa; phylum Chordata; class Mammalia; order Primates; family Hominidae; genus Homo; species Homo sapiens. The sequence goes on along the minus strand of NC_000014.9, from coordinate 41,122,077 downwards.
TGAGCCGTTTGCATATGACAATGTTAAACCTTCCCATTATAGGGAACAGTTTCACTTCCAAGGAAATACTCACAGTGCCCTCTTCACTTCACATTCCTTGACTTTCATAGATTCTAATTTTAAAAGATTAATCAAAATTTCATAATTTATTCAGTGCATCAATTCCCTTTTATTACTCAAATCACCCTGATTTCATCCATTAGCTAATAAATCACCCCCTGCACCATTCCCTGAAATTCTGTCCTTGCCTTTTCACTGCAATTCTTGCCAAACACACTTAGAGAACCCTGCATCACCTGCCACTCTACTTGCTATTGGTTACTGCCTTGGAGTTGATACCCCACAAAAGAATATTCAAATCTCCCAAAATACTCTTTAAAAATGTCTGTTTATACTTTAGTTTATAGTTATTTAGTGGCTGCTACTCTCCTTTTCTTCCCTGAATTCTTCACACTTTTTCATGTAGGAAGATAATTTTAATAAATGCTGTATTAAAGAGAATATCACAATATAGATGTATGCCCTAATTTATCCTTCATTTCAGCATTACATTGAAAAGAGAGCTATTGAGGGATCACAGTTTATTTGAAAACTTGAAGTTTCTGATTATCCTTATGCTTATATAGGCAGTCTTTATTATATTATTCATAGGCTGTGCTTTCCTGCATGTTATTTGGCAAAGTTCTGGCTTGTGTGATCTCTGATATGTCTAATCCTGGCACTTCATTGCACTCTTATTCTCTCTTGATGGTCATGGCTAGCAAATTGGCTGACACGTCAGGAACAACTTTGTCAGTATCTCTACTACTATACAATGAAGGCTTTATGCGTTACTTATTAATTTTGTTCTATAAGATTGTAATATTCATTTTTAATAAATGCATTTAATGAATGTATGTAATTTTTCCCCAAATGTTTGCATAAATAAAAAACCTTTGTATTAAGGCATAAAAAGACTATAAATATAATTATCCAAAATCTTCTACCGTAATCTATTTCAGAAATGCTCTTCTAATTTTTTAAGATAGTTCCTTTATTTTGTTTTGAATAATTTTATAAACTCTACATATTATATATGCATGTGTATGTTTTTTCTGTTTTTTTTCTTAGAATTAATAACTATAAACACTAGTTTGTGGTCACTGTTGTTTTTTTACCTTAGTTTTGCTTTTTTTTAAAAAAAAAATCTGTATATTAAATCCTTTTTATATCTACATCAATATTAAAGATGATCTAACATATGTCCCCATGTTAAGCATATCAATAACTGAGAGTGGTCTGAGGTTTACGTTAATTGCAGGCTAACAAGCTAGTTATGTTTCATGTATGCTGACGGGAGACAGAAGATTCCTGGGTCACAGACCAAGTATTTTATTATATACAGGAGACAGCAGGAGCTTCCTCTTTGTGCACGTTTCCTATGTGCCCCAAGTCCCTGGTGAGCCTGGACATGTTGTAGGCACATGGTTTGTGACGTAGCAGGGGAACCATCAAATTAGGAAATTCTAGTGCTTAATAATGGGATGCAAAGAAACCTGACCAACATTTGCTCTAAAAGAAAACATTAGCTTTATTGTACTGGATAGTAAGCAAACCTACCCTCTGTCACAGCAAAGAAAAACCCTTTCTTCCAAGACTGTTTTACAAGCAGCCTTGGAAATATAAGACTATAGCAAAAGGATGTCAGTGCCTCTGCTGACAAGATGGACAGCAATGTGTGTGCATCTTTCAACAATGCAGACTTGCAACCAACTTCTTGTTTTACAAGACAAAATAAGATTTTCTTCTTTCACATTTCCTGACTTCCTGGCTCTTTCATTTGATTGGGAACCTGTAATGTCAAATCTTTGATAATGTTAAGGCATTTTAAAAAATTTGGTCTTTCCAGTAGTGTTTACTAATAAAAGCAGAGCTAACAAAATACAAGTTTACTATAAAATATATCTGCTGGGAAATGCATAAGAAAATAGGCACTGTTCATGGGCAATAAGAAAAAAATTCCTTTTGTTAAAAAAATAAAAATAATAAAAAGAAAAATACATGAGATAATTTGATATAGGCACACAGTGCAGAGTAATCACACCATTTAAAATGGGGTTTCTAGTCTCCCAAACATTTATCCTATATGTTACAAACAATGCAATTATACTCTTTCAGTTATTTTTAAATGTACAATTAAATTATTATTGACTATAGACATCCTATTATACTATCAAATAATAGGTCTAAATCATTGTTTCTAAATATGTTTTTCCTATCTATTAACCATTCCTACCTCCCCTACTACCCTTCCCAGCCTCTGATAACCATCCTTCTACTCTCTATGTCCATGATTTCAATTGTTTTCTATTTTAAGATCTCACAAATAAGTGAGAACATGCAATGTCTGTCTTTCTGCTCCTGGCTTATTTCATGTAGCGTAATGACCTCCAGTTCTATCCATGTCATTGCAAATGACAGGTTCTCATTCTTTTTTATGGCTGAATGTTATTCCATTGTGTACAAGTGCCACATTTTCATTATCTCTTCATCTCTTGATGAACACTTAGGTTGCTTCCAAATTTTGGCTATTGTGAAGAGGGCTGCTTGTTGCATATTTGTTCCATGTTTGTTACATGGAAGTGCAGGTATCTCTTCAACATACTGACTTCCTTTCTTTCGGGTACATAACTAACAGTGGGATTAGTGGATGATATAGCAGTTCTCTTTTCAGTTTTTTGAGGATCCTCCAAACTGTTTTCGATAGTGGTTGTGCTAATTTACAATCATAGCAACAGTGTACAAGGGTTCCCTTTTCTCCATATCCTCACCAGCATTTGTTATTGCCTGTCATTTGGATATAAGCTGTTTTTACTGGGGTGAGATGATATTGCACTGTAGTTTTTATTTGCATTTCTCTGATAATCAATGATATTGAACAACCTTTCATATAACTTCTTACCATTTGTATGTCTTCTTTTGAAAAATGTGTATTCAAATCTTTTGCCCATTTTTTGATGGAATTGTTAGATTTTTTTTGAGCTATTTGTATATTCTAGTTATGAATCCCTTGTCATATGGGTGATTTCCAAATATTTTCTTCCATTCTGTGGGTTTTCTTTTAACTTTATTGATTGTTTCCTTTGTTTGTGTGGAAGGCTTTTAACTTGGTATGATACCACTTGTTCATTTTTGCTTTGGTTGCCAGAGCTTGTGGGATATTGCTCAACAAAATTTTGCCCAGACCAATGTCCTGGAGTGTTTCCTCAACGTTTTCCTGTAGTGGTTTCATAGATTGAGATATTTGCTTTAAGTGTTTAATTCATTTTGATTTGATTTTTGTATTTGTGAGAGATAGGGGTCTAGCTCCATTTTTCTGCATATAGTTATCCAATTTTCCCAATACTATTACTAAAGAGAGTGTCTTTTCTCCAGGGTATGTTCTTGGAAACTTTTTCAAAAATGAGTTCACTCTAGGTGTATAAATTTGTCTCTATTCTGTTGCAATGGTCTATGTGTCTGTTTTTATGCCAGTACCACGCTGTTTTGGTTGTTATACCTCTATAGTGTAATTTGAAGTCAGTAATGTGATTTTTTCTGTTATTTTATTTTTTTTTTTGGCATAAGATAGCTTTGGATATTCTGGGTCTTTTTGGGATTTCATATAAGTTTTAGGATTGTTTTTTCTGTATCTGTGAAGGATGTCATTGGTAATTTGATAGTGATTGCATTGAATCTATAGATCATTTTGGGTAGTCTGGATATTTTCTTCCTCTCCATGAAGATGAAATAATTTTACATATTTTGGTGTCCTCTTCAATTTCTTTCATCAGTGTTTTATAGTTCTCATTATAGAGAACTTCGACTTAATTGGTTAATTTGTAGGTGTTTAATTTTATTCATGGCTATTGTAAATGGGATCACTTTTTAATTTCTTTTTTCAGATTGTTTACATTATCATATGGAAATGCTAATAATTTTTCTTTGTTGATTTTGTATCCTGCAACTTTACTAAATATGTTTTTCAGTTCTAATTGTTTTTTGATGGAGTCTTTAGGTTTTTTCAAATATAAGATCATGTCATATATAAGATCATGTCAAACAAGAATAATTTGACTTCTTTCTTTCCAGTCTGGATGCCCTTTATTTCCTTCTCTTGTCTAATTTCTCTAGCTAGGACTCCCAGAATTATGTTGAATAACAGATGTAAAAGTGAGCGTTCTTGTGGTGTTCCACTTCTTAGAGGAAAGGCTTTCAGTTTTTCCCTATTCGGTATGGTACTAGCGGTGGGTCTGTGTAGCACGTGGCTTTTATTATATTGAGGCATGTTCATTCTATCTCCAGTTTTTGAGGGTTTTTATCATGAAGGAATGTTGAATTTTATCAAATGATTTTTCAACATCAATTGAAATGATATTATGGTTTTTAGTTTTCATTCTGTTTATATGATGTATCAGATTGACTGATTTGCATATGTTAAACCATCTTTACATCCTTTGTCAAAACCCCACTTAGTCATGATGAGTGAATTTTATAATGTATTGTTGAATTTGGTTTGTAGTATTTTGTTGAGGATTTTTACATGAATATTTTCAGAGATATTGGCCTGTCTCTTTTTTTAATGTGTCTGTCTGGTTTTGGTAACAGGATAATACTGGCCTCATAGAATGAGTTTGGAAGTATTCGCTCCTCCTCTGTTTTTCAGAACAGTTTGAGTAGGATACATATAAGTTCTTCTTTCAATGTTTGATAAAATTCAGCAGTGAAGTCATCTGTATTACGGCTTCAATCTTGTTACTTGTTATTAGTGTGTTCTGATTTGGGATGTTTTCATGGTTCAATTTTGATTGGTTGTATGTGTCTAGAAATTTATCCATTTCTTCTATGTTTTCCAATTTACTGGCATATAGTTGCTCATGGTAGTCACTAATGATCCTTTGAATTTCTGTAATATCAATATTAATGTTTCCTTTTTCATCTCTGATTTCATTTATTTGGAGCTTCACTGCCAAAAGTTTATCAATTTTGTTTAACTTTTCTAAGGAACAAAAACTAACTTTTTGTTTTAGTAATCTTTTGTATTATTTTATTTCAATTTCATTTATTTCTGCCCTGACCTTTATTATTTATTGTATTCTACTAATTTTGGATTGACTTTGCTATTGCTTTTCTTGTTATTTAAGACGCATTGTTAGGTTGTTTATTTGAATTTTTTTTTAATGTAGACACTTACACCTATAAAATTTCCTCTTATAACTCTTTAGCCCTCCCTTAGTTGCCCCGGCTGATGTTTCAGTAGGTCACATGCCCCGACCACCCCCAGTCCATTGTCTCTGGGCCCAGTTCGGCATTGAGACTCACCTGTTAATTGCAGTTCTTGTGGCCTAGACTGCCTTTCAGGTTTATTTAGAGCCCCGTAGCACTTAAGCTTGCATTGGTGCAGCTTGTGGGAACTCAGATTTGGACTTCTGGGATTGGTTTAAGTGTTTCCTCTGTGGGCAGGCATCAGTCGAGTTTGGTCTGGTTTTGTTTTCTGTTATTTTAGGGAAGCACTGAGTTCAGTGCCTCAAAATGCCGACATCTTCCTTTCTTCATTCCAGAGAAATGCTCTCAGCACCGCACTGCTGATGTGGGGGATGGTGGAGGGATGGCATTGGCAATTCGAGATTCTTTCCTACCTTGTCAGTAGCTCTTTCAGTGACATGAAGTTAAAACCAGTTACTGTGAATGCTCACCTGATATTTGGTTCTTATGAAGGTGCTTTTTTATATATATATATAGATGTTAAATTGTTGTCCTTGCAGGGGAGATAATTAGTGGAGATTTCTCTTCTGCCATCTTGCTCCCCCTCCTCCTTTTTGTCTGTCTGTCTTTCTTTTTATTTTGAAGATAATTCATAGTTTTAGGTTTTACGTTTTAGGTTTTATATATTATATATATATATATATATATACATATATATATATGTATGTATAACTACAGCTACAGAGTTTGTCAGTAGTCTCCTTACTCTGTTTATTGTTTTCTTAGCTGTGTGAAATCTACTTAGTTTGATGCAATTCCATCCTCTGTATTCACTTTTGTTGCCTGTGCTTTTGAGGTGTTATCTAAAAAAAAATCCTCACCTACAATAATGTCATGAAGTGTTTACTATTAGCTTATAGAAAGCTACTAATTTTTAAATTATTTATTTATTATACTTTACGTTCTGGGATACATGTTCAGAACGTGCAGGTTTGTTACATACGTATATATGTGCCATGATGGTTTGCTGCACCCATCAACCCATCATCTACATTAGGTATTTCTCCTAATGCTATCCCTCCCCTTCCCCCTACCCCCCGACAGGCCCTGGTGTGTGATATTCCCCTCCCTGTGCCCATATGTTCTCATTGTTCAACTCCCACTTATGAGTGAGAAGATGGGGTGTTTGGAAACCTACTAATTTTTATATGTTGATTTTGTCTCCTGTAACTATATGAAATTCATTTATTAGTTTTAATAGGTTTTTGGCAGAGTATGGTTTTCTACATATAATATCATGTTGCCTGCAAACAAACAATTTGACTTCCTTTTTGTCCAATTTGGATGTCTCTTATTTATTTTTCTTGCCTAACTGCTCGCTAGGATGTTCATTACTATGTGGAATGGAACTCGTGGAAGTAGGCCGTCTTGTCGGATTCCAGATTTCAGAATAAAAGCTTTCCACTTTTCCTCATTAAGTATCATCTTAGCAGTATGTTTGTCATATATGGCCTTTATTTTGTTGCAGTATGTACTTTCTATGCATAATATGTTGAGACCTTTTATCATGAAGGGATGCTGGATTTTGCAAAATGCTTTTTCTGCTTCTATTGAAATCATCAATGGTGTATTTCCTTCATTCTGGATTTTTAATTTGAGAACTTTTTCCATTTTAGTGTAATTATTTAGTGCTATATATTTTATTCTTACTAGTGCTTTAAATAATTTAATGTATTTTTATAAATTGTGTTTTTATTTTCATTTAGTGCTATGTATTTTTTAAAATTATCTTGAAAAATTTTATCTTTTACCTATGGATTCTCTGAAATATGTTATTTAATGTTCATATTTTTAAAAATTATGTCATATTTTTGTTATTATATCCATTTTTAGTTAATTATAATCAAAGATCACACAGTATTATTTTAATTACTTTGAAAGCTATGATGTGTGTTTTATAATTCAGGGTTTAGTCTATATGACAAATGTAACATAGGCACTTCAAAATTTATGTATTCCATAATATATGTATGTTATACGTAGTGTTGCATAAATGTCAATTAGATCCTGTTGGTTAATTTCATTGTTCAGATTTTCTATATCCTTTCAGTTGCTGAGAGGAGAGTATTAAAAACTGCAATAATAATTGTGAATTTGTCTCTTTCTCCTTTCATAATTATCAGTTTGCTTCATGTATTTTGAGGCCTTCTTTGTTATGTACATATTTAGAATTGTTATATGCTCTTCGGCTAGTTATCCTTTCATCATTATGCAATATACCTCTTTATCTCTAAAAATTGTATTTGCCTAGAAGTCTATTTTGTCAGATACTAATATTGCCACTTCATTGTTATTAATATTAATATTTTATTACTTGTTTTCTCAGGTTCTGATTCCTCTATATCCCTTGTCTTGACTTCTTGTGTGTTATTTGAACATTTTTTAGAATTGCATTTTGATGTATGTATAGGATTTTTTAGTGTATCTTGTACAGTTTTGTTGTGATTGCTTTGGGTATCACAGCATGCATAATTCTACTTATGTTTTTTATTTCATCCCTTTGAATGAAATATGAAAACCTCATTTCCACTTAAGTCTCTTTACCTTTTTCATTTTTCAATATTAGTCTCTTGAGAATCAGATCGTATTATAATTTTAGCTTCAATCATCCAATATGTTTCATAAACTCAGAAGAAAAATGATAATCTACTGCATGTATCCATAGTTCTATTCTTTCCTTTGTTCCTTCTTCCTATCTGAGCTTTAAGATTCTTTCTTTTAAAATGAGTAACTTCCAATAGCCAGTCTTTAAGAGAAGGTCTGCTAGTAAAAAATTCTTTCAATCGTACTTTATCTGGAAGTGTTTTTATTGCACATGTATTACTGAGGTATAGTTTTGCATAATGTAAAATTTATGACTGACAATTATTTTCTTTCATCACTTGAAAAATATTGTAACACTCATCTGGCCTCAATGGTTTCACATAATAAATCTGTTGTCATTTGAAATGGTGTTCCCATATAGCTGATATGTTGTTTCTCTCTGGATATTTTCAAGATTTTCCCATTGTCATTACTTCTGTTCAAAGTTTAATCAAAATCTATATTCAGACGGATTTCATTGTGTATATACCAATAAGGGCTTTCTCAGTTTCTTGAATCTGCAAATGTATGTCTTTTGTCAAATTTGGAAAATTTTCAGACATTATTTCTGCAAATACCTTTTCAGCTTTTCTCTCTTTCACCTGTCCTGGTACTTGGATGATATGAAACTTGGATTTTTTGTTATTGACCCACGGGCTTCTGAAAATCTCTTTATTTTGAAGTTTATTTTCTTTCTGTTTTTTTCAGATCAGGTGAATTTTATTGTTCTACTCTCTAGTTTACTCATCTACCCTCTATCATCTCCACCTTACCATTAGAACCATTCAACCATTTTAAAAGTGTTATTAAATTTTTTCAGTTCTATATTTTCTATTCTGTTCCTTTTATGATCTTTATTCATTTGGTGAAATTTTAAGTTTTTATTTATTTCAAGAGAATTTGTAATTGATTTTTGAGGTCTTGTGTTGATGTTTACTTAAAATCATTGTCAGATAACTCAAAAATCTGATTCATTTTGTTATTTACATCAGTTGATTATCTTTTCTCATTCTAATGGTCATTTTCTTGGTCCTTATAATGACAGGCATTTTTAAAATTGTATCCTGGACATTTAATCTACTATGTTAGATGAACCAAAATCCCATTTAAATAATTTATTTTAGTAGGGAGACACCATGTTTAAGTTTAGCATATGGATCTTGGTCTACTTTGTGGGCTGAGATTCAATTATAGTTTAACTTTCAGACCCCTTGTATTTTTGGGGGGTCTTTGTAGTTTGTCTAGTGTTTCTGGGGATCCCAATGATCCCTGTTGCTCCTGTTTGAAGGAGCAGAGGCAGTTTCTCCAGGCCGGGCCAATGGCTGTCTTTCATAGGGTGTGGTGGGACCACTACTGCTGTCTCTAGGTGAAGAGGAGAATGTTGAGCCCACTAGAATAAAGATGATTTTTGCACCAACATACTTGCTATAGGTGAGTCACTCTTGCATGATTCACTTCCCCATCACATTAAAAATGGGAGTCAAAGACCTAATGGAAAAGGAAAGTATCTCCACTGACCATTTATTTCTAATGTGGCTCTCCGTTGCTGGTGGTGTTGGGTTCATGTCAATGATACTTCTGTTTTATTTGCAGCAGGTAGAGTTGATGCACAAGACAACCTGATGCAGTGCTGTTACTCCAGTCCTGTGATCTCAATATTTTTTCACCATTAAGAGTTCTGTTTTTGTTGTATCTTTCACCATTTCCAATGTCTATGGTTGTGCTAAGCAGTGAAAAACAGTTCTGCACCATTTTCTAAAGATCGAGCATCTCTATATATTTTCATAGGTATGAAGATGTCCATTTGAATTAATTGTGTGAATTTATTTTGGTAAATATATTTATTAATTCTCAACTGGTATACTTTTTCTCATGAAAATTAGCAATAATTCATCCTTAATACAATCTCAAATCTATATTAACTTGTGAGGGTTTTTTTGTGTGTCATTGTCTCTTATGTGTCCAGACTTTCACATTTGTATGCACTAAAATCTATTATTTTACAGATATTGAATTCCCACTGCCTGTAGAATAGAATTCAAAAGCTCTCATTTATTTATTCACCTATATTTTTTAAGATTTACAATTGTGTTAACATTTAAATCTTTAACTATTATTTATTTTCATATATAATAAGATAAATAAAAATTGTACTTTTCTTACAGGATAACCAATTTTTTCAAAACATTTATTTCGTGACTCATGTTTGCATGTGTTATGAGTTTGTGAATTAAGAATTAGAAACATATATGATGTACATTCCATTTATGAAAATTCTTTTTTGCCCAACAAAGATATAGTGATCTCAACTACTTCCTAAGGTTATTGAGCCCCCACTCATCCTGATTCAGTGTTTTTACATTTTATTTACATCTGGAAGTAGAATAGGGCAAGCCTTACAAGGAGCTCTTATATATTTGTCACTGAGCCAAATGCATTATTAGTACAAGTATAGTGAATGTATAGGGAAGCGAGACACACAGATAAAAATTAAAAGAAGATATATGATAAAATATACAATAAGTAATATGTTACTAACTCTGGTTATATCAACTTAAGAAGAAGCTTCAACAATATTTTGTTTAATAAGTAAATGCTTAATTTCAAAAGTTAAAATGTTTGTATTTTCCCTGATTAATAGTTTTTGATAAAATATAGTAAAAATGTTTGCTTTCTCTTATTTAAATAACATCGCTGAACAGCCTATATAGTTGTAAATTTGCTTACCAATATTTAAAATTGTATTTATTTTTCAATAATGGTTAAAGTCATCTAAAATTAGAGCATAAATTAGAATGGACAACTGTTTAATTTAAATTATAGGCAGATGGTCAATAAATGCTTTATTCGATTCTAAGCCATCTATGTACAATAATTTAGTATTTTTAAGCAATACAGAGATAAACCTGAAGTTATTTATTCACTCTAAGTCTTGTCAAACCATCATTTTATGAATTTTGAAATTAACGTTTTAATTATCATCATGAAAGATTATTTTCTTCTTTGAAAAATGACTTTAATTTTTAGTTTGGCAAAATCTTTTCAAAAATAAGGTAATAGCTTTTCAGAAAGTCAATTCCCAGCACTTGGGACACTCATGTAATGAAATGACAAATTAAATGTAATAGAACATAACAAAATGACTAATAATTAGTAACAAAATAGAACTTAATAGGGTAAATCAATTTTGAGCTGATTTTTACAAGTTTTTTTTTTTCTACTAATTTCCATAGCTCATTGAACAGTTACCATCATTTTTCTTGTATCCCCTTGGGTAGTGGTCGTTTCCCAACCTAGACTAAAATTATCATGAGAGTACCAAAGGAGGGCATCCAGACAGACTCTAAGAATTCAATAAAACTAAGTTAAGTTTTTAGTTTTTCTTTTCTTCTTTTCAGGGTAGTTTTTTTTGTTTTGTTTTGTTTTTCCTGACGGTGTCTCGCTCTGTCACCCAGGCTGTAGTACAGTGGCGCGATCTGGGCTCACTGCAAGCTCCGCCTCCCGGGTTCACGCCATTCTCCTGCCTCAGCCTCCCAAGTAGCTGGGACTACAGGAGCCCACCACCACCAAGCCCGGCTAATTTTTTTTACTTTTTAGTAGAGACGGGGCTTCACCATGTTTGCCAGGATGGCCTCGATCTCCTGACCTCGTGATCCACCCGCCTCGGCCTCCCAAAGTGCTGGGATTACAGGCGTGAGCCACCGTGCCCGGCTCAGGGTAGCTTTTAAGTAAAAATAAAAATCTCTGATAAGGCATAGGACCAATGTTCACAGGTTAGATTATCTAACTAACTCCATACATACCTCAGGGATTTCAGGAACAATCAAATGAATGGTGCTTTCTTTATTCATTTTCATTAGTACATAATAGCACCTACAGTTTAGTTTACATGGGCAGTTCTTAACCAACACCTACATTCTGTCATGAATTTTTACAAATATTCTTAAAGTCTCTCAAAGCAAAATTATTTTCTGGTTGTTCTGTATTCTTTATTGCATTGTAGACAATGTCAAGTTCTTGTCTGAGACAAAATATTGATCTTATCTGTTGATAATTTTACATCTTCTGTGAATATTTAGGATAGCTACAACCTCTGAATATGTAGGATAGTTGAACATATAATACATTTCATCTTTCCATAGGTCTAGTAGCAAAAGCATATCTTGTTTGCAAAGAGAGATTTGCAATTCAGACTTTTCTTGGATCTTTAATATTGGATTAGGTGTATTTTAAGACATATTAAAGTCTCTTAACGAAAGCATGTCGTAGGTCATTAACTATCTCTTATACTGTATGGCTTAAATTGTTTCTATGTTTGTAATGTGATACATATGCTTCCACTTAAGCACATTATTTTTGAAGTTCTAGTTCAGCTTTCAATAAAGGGTTATAATATGGAATAATTTCTTGAGGAAAATTTTTGTTAACTGTCCAATTAAAATTATGTAGATTTCAACTAAAATGTTTGCATTATAAATATACCTCAAGTTTTAATGGCAGTATAAAATAACATCTCTATAAACCATCTTATTTCTGAATGCTGCCAGTACCACATAACTGAATGCTTTCCTATTTTTGCTTTGTCTGCCAGTATGCTCCAAATGTGTTGCTTAATTAAAGTAATTAATATGTTCTAGGTGATAGAAAAAAAATTTCCCATTGAGTGTGTGTGAGAGATAAATCATGAATAAACCAAAATGATTCACACATGAAAAGAAGGCTATAAAATTCAGTAGATGGATGGAATGAGCAACAACATAATGCATTCTGTTTACATGATTTATGGCATTTGAAGGAAAATTAGTATTTTGCAAAGGTGGTGATCATGAAAAGGTTTTACATTTTGTTTTTCTCTCCTGCTTTTGAGACAATGATGAAGTGTTGCTCTTTTATTTTACCTAAAACACCAGATTTTAAAGTGTATTTATATTAGTCTACTACCAACTGTCCTGAGGCAAATGGTTAAGGAAAAGACCTACTCTTTTTTATTCTCAAGCACAACTAGTGGTTGATTCATATTTTGTATACAAAGAATCGAAAACAATATAAATTTAGTCTTAGTTATAAAGTCAAAACATCTTAAATAAAACAAAAGTTACTACTCCATTTTTGAGAAGCAAAGACTATATGAAAATCATAGTGAATTTGCTATGATTCACCAAAGATGCTTGGTAATATTATTTTAGTCTGATATTTTTTATTTTATTTAAATCATTTTTAATTTAAACTATATTTTACACAAAATAGGTTTAATAGTATCAGTAAAGAAATTATTTTTTATAAATTATGGAGTTTCATCAATGAAAAAAAGACATAGAAATGAAATTCATGTTTATTCAACTATTTTTTCATTTTCAGGTATATCATTATATAAAAGTCATTTGAACTTATTTTCCTGCAGTTTTCCAAGTACCAGATGACATATGAGGTAAAAGCAATAGGAGGAAGACATCAAATGAGAATAGAAACATGTGGTATATCCTACTTAGCCTACAACCCTATGCTAGTAGGTAGACAGAAATATACATAGTATTATATGTAGTAAGAACTGTGGATTATGCAATAAATATAGAATTACTCAACTCTGAATTCTGCCATTTACTGAATTTACTGCTTTGTCCATGTCATAGCATTTCTCTAAGCTTAGTTTCCTCACCTCTAAATTATATGTAATTTTAGATTCAGGGGGCAAATGTGCATATTTGTTATATTGTGTACTGATGGGGATTGGGCTTCTAGTCTACCTATTACCCAAGTGGTAAATATTGTATTTGATAGGTAATTTTTCAACTCTGCCGCCTCTCCCATCCCCATCACATCCCCAGTGAATGTGTATCCATTGTTCAGCTCTCACTTATAATAAAAAACATGTAATATTTGATTTTATGTTTCTGAGTTAGTTCATTGAGGATAATGGCCTCCAGCTGCACCTATGTTGCTACAAAGGACATGATTTCATTCTTTATTATGGCCGTGTAGTATTCTGTGATGTATATGTACCACATTTACTTTATCCAATCAACCACTGATACATCCTCAGGTTGTTTTCATGACTTTGCTATTGTGAATAGTGCTACAATGCATGTATAAGTGCAGGCATCATTTTTATACAATTATTTATTTCCCTTGGGTAGATACCCACTAGTGGGATTGCTGGGTTGAATGGTAGTTCTATTTTAGTTCTTTGAGAAATCTCCCTACTGTTTACCATAGATGTTGAACTAATCTACATTCCCATCAAAAGTGTATGATCATTTCCTTTTCTCTGCCTGCCTACCACCATCTGTTGTTTTTTGACTTTCTAATAATAACCATTCTGACTGATGTAAGATGATATGTCACTGAGGATTTAATTTGCATTTCTCTAATGATTAGTTATATAAAACATTTTTCCATATGTTTATTGGCCACTTGTATTTCTTCTTTAAGGAATTTCTGCTTGGGTCTCTTGATCAGTTTGTATTGTTTTGTTTTCCTATTGAGTTGCTCTTAGATTCTGGCTATTAGTGCTTTGTCAGAGGCATAAGTTGCAAATATTTCTCCCAATCCATAGGTTGTCTTTTACTCTGTGACAGTTTATTTTGCTGTGCAGAAGTTTTGTAAATTCATCAAGTCCCATTTGCCTATTATTGTTTGTGTTGCATTTGTTTTGGGGCACATAATAAAAAATTATTTGCCTAGGCCAATGGCCAGAAGAGTTTTTCCTAGGTTTTCTTCAAGTATTTTTATAGTTTAAGGTCTTATATTTAATTTTTTAATCCATGTTGAATTAATTTTTGTGTATAGTGAGAGATAGGGGTCTAGTTTCATTCTTCTGCATATGGTTAGCCAATTTTCCCAGCATTATTGGAGGACTTTGTTGATGATAAGAAGTATGGTTGTAGGTATGTGAATTTATATCTGGGTTCTTTATTCTCTCCCATTGATCTATGTGTCTACTTTTGGACAAGTACCATCCTGTTTTAGTTACTGTAGCCTTGTAGTATAATTTAAAGTCAGGCAATGTGATGCATCCAGATTTATACTTTTTGTTTAGAATTGCTTTTATTATTTGGGATCTTTTTTGATTCTATATGAATTTTAGGATTATTTTTTCTAATTGTGTAAAAAATGACATTGGTAAATTGATAGGGATTGCACTGAATCTGTAGATTGCACTGGGCACTGTAGTCATTTCAATGATATTGATTCTTTCAATCCTTCAGCATGAGAGTAAAAAAAAGAAAAGAAAAAACAGAGAGAGTGATATCTCAATACCTCTCTGATAAACGAGCTAGGCTGTGAGAGTGGCTAACGTCTCATAAGTCAGCTACCATTTTGAGATTGCTCCCTCATGAGTTGCAATGATGGCTATTAACCCATGAAGACTAAATGCTGTTGGTGGACTATGTATACTATGTACATCGAGAGAATAGACCATAACTGGAGATATAAGTCAATATGAGTTTCTCATAACATATTCTTTAATCCTAAGACTTAGGGTGATAATAGGTAAAACAGAATCTTATTCAAATTTGGAGAAAATTCTAAACAGTCTGGCCTCACTGGATGGGTTCGCTTTATTTCTGGAAAGATAAAGACCTACAAAGACAGTTGAATGTACAAGAAAATTATTTGCCATTGTAGATCATATATATACCCAAATGTTTCTTTGTTTACTACACTAATTGTGCTGGGGGTGGGGGCAATTCAGAACAGACTTGGATACACGTGATAATCATGAAAACACTTTTCTCCTGTAGTAGTCATTGAGAAGCACAGTAAGTTTATTTGAGTAAATTCAAAAATTTACTAGGTAGAGTTACATTGCGAGAATATATTTCAAATTTAAATTTACGTTGTTCTCATGCTATTTTCTCATCACCTATCCAGAAAGGCATCAGGGCTTTTTGTCTGGTTACAGGCAGCAATATATCTGTTTCAAAAAAAAAAGGTCAAAATTACAAAGAGCCACTTTCTTTCCTTAATTTATTTTGCAGAAACCTGAGATATGAAGTAAATTTTTAGGGGAAATCAATGGGAAGAGGGAAGGTAGGAACATAAGGAAAATGGATATTTCCTCTAGAATAAAATGGAAGTGGATAACTGTGATTCCTTAGGTAGTCAGTATTTAGTCCCCATTCCCTACAATCACTGCAAGACTGGAGGCAAGATCTCAGAGAGGAAGGAGCTTGGTATGAAACCATATTGTCTACTGACTTCCTCTCTTCCTATTTGGATACGCTTTATTTATTTATCTTGCTCATTGATTGTCCTGTCTAGGACTTCCAGTATTATATTAAATAGGAGTGGGGAGAATGGGCATCCTTGTCTCATTCTGGTTCTCCAGGGGAATGCCTCCAGCTTTTGCCTGTTTAGTATGATTTTGGCTATGGGTTTGCCATAGGTGACTCTTAGTATTTTGAAGTATGTTCCTTCAATAGCTACTTTGTTGATGGTTTTTAACATGAAAGGATGATGAATTTCTTGAAAGGCTTTTCTGTGTCTGTTGAGATGATCATGTGGATTTTGTTTTTAGTTCTGTTTCTGTAATGAATCACAGTTATTAATTTTTGTATATAGAACCAACCTTACAACCCAGGGATAAAGCTACTTTTTTAAGGTAGATTAGGTTTTTGATGTGCTGCTGAATTTGGTTTGCTAGTATTTTATTAAGGATTTTTGTATCCATGTTCATCAGCACTATTGGCCTAAAGTTTTCATTGTGTCTCTGCCAGGTTTTGGTATCAAAATAATGCTGGACTCGTAGAATGAGTTAGGGAGGAGTCCATCCTCCTCAATTTTTTGAAATGATTTCAGCAGGATTGGTAACAGTCTTTCTTTATATGACTGGTAAAATTTAGCTGTGACTCCATCTAGTCCAGGACTTTTTCTGGTAGGTAGGCTTTTTATTACATAATCAATTTTGAAACTAGCTGTTAGTCTGTTCAGTGTTTAAATTTCTTCCTGGTTCAGTCATGTAAAATTGTGTGTTCGTAGGAATTTATTCATTTATTCTAGATTTTCCAGTTTGTGTGCATGGAGGTGTTCATAATAGTCTCTGAAGTTTTCTGTGAAGTGGGTGGTAACGTCTCCTTTGTCATTTCTGACTGCATTTCCTCGGATCTTCTCTCTTTCTTTTATTAGTCTAGCTAGCAGTCTATCCATCATATTTATTTTCTCAAAGAACCAATTTTTGCTTTCATTCATCTTTTGTATGGTTTTTTGCGTCTTCATTCTGTACAGTTTAGCTCTGATTTTGGGATTTTGTTGTTGTTGTTCTGTCTTTGGGTTTGATTTGCTCTTGTTTTTCTAGTTCCTCTAGGTGTGATGTGAGGTTGTTTATTTGAGATCTTTCTAACTTTTTGATGTAGGTGTTTAGCACTATCAACTTTTCTCTTAACATGTTGTAGCTGTGTCCCGAAGTTCCCAGTATGTTGTATCTTTAGATTTTCCCCCAAAGATTTCTACATATAATAAATAACTTCAGCAAAGTTTCAGGATTATAAATCAATGTATAAAAGTCAGTAGCATTTCTCTAAACAAATAATATCCAAGCTGAGAGTCAAATCAAGAATACAATCCCATTCATAATAGCCACATCCAAAACCAGAAATAGCTAGGAATACTGCTAACCTGGCAAGTTGAAGATCTCCACAATAGGAACTCTAAAACAATACTGTAGAAAATCAGAAATTACACAAACAAGTGGAAAAATACTCTCTGCTCATGGATAAGAAGAATCAATATTGTTAATGTGGCCATACTGCTCAAAGCAATTTACAGATTCAATGCAGTTGTTATCAAACTACCAACAACATTTTCCACAGAAAAAGAAGAAAAAAAACTATTCTAAAATTTATATAGAATCAAATAAGAGCCTGAATAGCAAAAGAAGTCCTAATCAAAAAGAACAAGACTGGGGGCATCACACTACATAAATTCGAGCTATACTACAAGGTTACAGGAACCAAAACAGCATGGTACTGGTACAAAAACAGACACATAGACCAATGGAACATGTTAAAGAACCCAGAAATAAAACCTCACACCTACATCCATCAGACCTTCTGCGAAGTTAAGAAAAAAATAAAAAGAAACCTGGAAGAACTCCCTTTTCAGTAAAAGTGGCTGAGATAACTGGCTAGCTATATATATGGAAAATTAAAACTGGACCCCTTCCTTTCATCATAAAAATATCAACTAAAGATAAATTAAAGACTTAAATGTAAAACCTAAAACTATAAAAACCATAAAAGAATACCTAGGAAATACCATTCTGCACAGAGGCCCTGACAACGATTTTATTATGAAGAATCCAAAAGCAATAGCAAGAAAAAACAAAAATAGTCAAGTGGGACCTAATTACACAGCATCTGCACAGCAAAAGAAACTATCTAGAGTAATCAGTTAATCTACAGAATGGGAGAAAATGTTTACACACAATGCAATCAATACATCCAGTGAAGGTCTAATATCCAGAATCCATAAGAAACATAAATAAATTAAGAAGCAAAAAAAACTATTAAAATTGGGCAAAGGAGATGAACAAACGCTTCTCAAAAGAAAGCAAACATATGGCCAATGATCATTTGAAAAAATGCTTAATATCACTAATTATTAGAGAAATGCAAATCAAAACCACAACGAGATATCATTTCACACCAGTCAGAATGGCTACTATTAAAAAGTCAGAAAACAACAGATGTTGGCAACATAAGGAGTGCTTATACATTGCTGGTAGGAACGTAACTTAGTTCAGCCACTGTGGGAAGTAATTTGGAGATTTCTCAAAAAATTTAAGACTCAACTATCATTTGACCCAGCAATCACATTCCTGGTTGTATACCCAAAGGAATATGAATCATTTTACCATAAGAACAGATGCATGTGTATGTTCACTGCAGCACTTTTCACAATAGCAAAGACATGGAATCAACCTAAATGCCCATCAACAGTTGACTGGACAAAGCAAATGTGGTACATATACACCATGGAATACTACACAGCCATAAAAATAAACAAAATTGTGTCCTTTTATGGCAACATGGATGGAGCAAGAGCTTATTGTGCTAAGCAAATTTATGCAGGAACAGAAAACTGAATATTGCATGTTCTCACTACTATGTAGAAGCTAAACATTAAGTATACATGGACACAAAGAAGAGGACAATAGACATTGGGACCTACTTGAAGGTCGAGGGTGGGAGCAGGATGAACTTTGAAAAGCTACCTATTGGATATTGTGCTCATTACCTGTGTGATGAAATAATCTATACACAAAAACCCCTATGAAATGCAATTTATCCATGTAACAAACCTGCATATGAACCAAAAATAAAAGTTGAAAATTAAAAAAACAAAAACAAAGGAAAAAGCTGGTGGTGCATCTAGATCAGCTAGACTCTAAGGAGTGATTTGTGTTCTCAGTCTTGGCAGAGCTATTTATTAAGGGATGATACAAGCATGAACAATGAGACTCTAAGTTATGATAAAGATGTAATACAATTTTAAAAACATCCTCAATTGTTCATGCAAAACAAGTCTAATGTTTTTCTTTGACAGTAGATAGCATGGTAAAGTCACAATGAAGACAGTTCTGTGGGATTAGACATCATATTTGTATTGATTTTATAGAACATTATCTGGACTCAAATTTTTATCAATTACAATATCTGCAAGCATATAAACTTAAAGAAAACATACAAGGAGTGTTTTAATTACATATCCTGATTGCATCTAGCTCTTTAGGTAGAGTGAAAGTCCAAAGAGGTGATATGTTATGGATAGCCTTCACAAGATTTTAGACATGAGTGGGACTTTGTGTTGGCTTTTGGAATTTCTAGATACCTAGAAACTGGCTTAACCTACTGTGTGTAAAAATGATCAAAAACACTTAGCACTTGTCTTTCTGGTTTGGAATTTCTGATTTTGATATGACAGAGATAGAAAAGAAATATAGGTTTAGGTGCAGTGGCTCATGCCTATAATCCCAGCACATTGGGAGGCCAAATGGGGAGGATCACTTGAGCCCAGGAGTTCAAGGCCTGTGTGGGCAACATATGGAGACTCCCATCTCTATAAACAAAAAATAAATAAAAAATTAACTGGGCATGGTGGTGCATGCCTGTGGTTCCAGTTACTTTGGAGTCTGAGGTGGAAGGATTGCTTGGGCCTAGGAGTCTGAGGCCACAGTGAACCAGGATCATATCACTGCACTCCAGCCTAGACAATGGTGCAAAACTCTGTCTCAGAAATAAAAATAAAATGAAAGAGAAGTACGGTTTGATATGATGTATGTAATCTAGACTCACTAAAATGTTATCTGTTTATAGTGAGAATATTCAGGGAGCATCACCTGGGTTCAGGCACTAAGTGTGTCTGAGTAAAGTGATTTTTGAAGTCAGCATTGTACTATTATTCAACAGCCTGAGGTTCCCTCTGAAAACACTCTGACCAAATTTCCATGAAGAGGCATATTAAAAATCTAAAAGAGAAAGTAAACTAAAGTAATTGATAGACTAGAATTTTTGAAATACACCGGGAGGAGTTCTCTCTTCTTTGTTTAGAGCTTAAATGAAATAATGTTGAAGGTTACTTGGAGAGAATGCATATATTCATTACAGCACTATTCACAATAGCAAAACATGGAATCAATCCAAATGACCATCATAAAAATTGTGGTACATATACAACATGGAATATTATGCAGCCACAAAAACAAATGATAGTATGTCTTTTTAAGGGACATGGATGAAGCAGGAAGCCATGATCCTCAGCAAACCAATACAGGAACAGAAAACCAAACACCACATGTTCTCACTTATAAGTGGAAGCTGAACAATGAGAACACATGGATGCAGGGAGGGGAACAACATATGCTAGGGCCAGTCAGGGGAGGGCAGACAGGGGAGAGCATCAGGAAAAAGAGCTAATGCATGCCAGGCTTAATACTTAGATGATGGGTTGATAGGTGTAGCAAACCACCATGGCACATATTTACCTAGGTAACAAAACCTGCACATCCTGCACATGTACCTCGGAACTTAAAATAAAACAAAATATATTTTTTAATTCTAAAAAATAAAAAAATCTATTTATATATTCATTTATCATATTGGTTCTGCTTTTCTTGAGAACAATGAAGAATATACCCTTACAAGAATATTATTTACGTATTGAATAAAATGAAATAAAAATGAATAAAATACTGGTACATGATACAACATGAACTTTAGAAACATTATGCTAGGTGAATTAAGCCAGTCACATGAAGACCTCATATTGTATGATTTCATTAATGTAAAATATCAGGAAAAAAAGCAAATCTAGACAGAAAGAAAGTAGATTTGTCTCTATTCTCAACAAACGCTGTTCTAAAGGAGATATAAAGCTGGCAAAACAGCATATGATAAGGTGTCAACACCATTAGTCATTAGTGGAATGCAAATTAAAACCACAGTAAGATAACACTACACACTTTTTACAATGGTTAAAATAATGAAAATTCCATATGCTAGTAAGAATGGGGAGTTATAAAGACATACGAGACTGGGAAGAAAAAGAGGTTTAATTGGACTTACAGTTACACATGGCTAGGGAGGCCTCAGAATCATGGCAAGAGGTGAAAGGCACTTATTACATGGTGGGGCTTAGAGAAAATTAGGAAGAAGCAAAGCAGAAAACCCTGAAAAACCCATCAGATCTCATGAGACTTATTTACTATCATGAGAATTGCATGGGAAAGACGGGACCCCATGATTCAATTACCTTCCCCTGGGTCCCTCCCAAAACATGCAGGAATTCTGGGAAATACAATTCAAGTTGAGATTTGGTGATGACACAGCCAAACCATATCATTCCACCCCGGCCCCTCCAAATCAAATCACACATGCTCACATTTCAAAACCAGCCATGCCTTCCCAGCAGTCCCCAAAATCTTAACTCACTTCAACATTAACCCAAAAGTCCACAGTCCAAAGTCTTATCTGAGACAAGGCAAGTTCTTTCTGCCTATGAGCCTGTAAAATCAAAAGCAAGCTAGTTACTTCCTAGATACAATGGGGGTACAGGTATTGGGTAAATATAGCCATTCCAAATGGGAGAAATTGGCCAAAACAAAGAGGTTACAGGGCCCATGCAAGTCCTAAATCCAGCAGTGCAGTCAAACTTTAAAGCTCCAAAATGATCTGCTTTGACTCCAGGTCTCAAGTAAGGTTAGGCTGACGCAAGGGGTGGGTTCCCATGGTATTGGGCAGCTATGCCCTTTGGCTTTGCAGGGTACAGCCTCCCTCCAAGCTGCTTTCATGGGCTGGGATTGTGTCTGCAGCTTTCCAGGAGCACAGTACAAACTGTCGGTGGATCTACCTTTCTGGGATCTGGAGGATGGTGGCTCTCTTCCCACAGGTCCGCTAGGCAGCACCCCACTTGGGACTCTTTGTGAGGGCTACAACCCCACATTTCCTTCCCACAGTGCCCTAGCAGAGGTTCTCCATGAGGCCCCTGACCCTGCAGCAAACTTTTGCCTGGGCATCCAGCATTACCGTACATCTTCTGAAATCTAGGCAGAGGCTCCCAAACCTCAATTACTAACTTCTGTTCACCCTCAGGCTCAACACCACATGGATGCTGCCAAGGCTTGGGCCTTCCACCCTCTGAAGTCACAGCCTGAGTTGTACATTGGCTTCTTTCAGCAACGGCTGGAGTGGCTGGGACACAGGTCACCAAGTCTCTAGGCTGCACACTTTGTGGGGACCCTGGCCCCAGCTCACAAAACCACTTTTTCCTCCTGGGCCTTCAGGCCTGTGATGGGAGGGGCTGCCATGAAGGTATCTGGCATGGCCTGGAGACATTTTCCTCATGGTCTTCAGGGTTAACATTAGGCTCCTTGCTACTTACGCAAATTTCTGCAACTGGTTTCAATTTCTCCCCAGAAAATGGGATTTTCTTTTCTATCACATAGGCTGCAAATTTTTCAAACTTATATGTTGTTTCCCTTTTATAATTGAATGGCTTTAACAGTACCAAAGCCATCTCTTGAAGGCTTTGCTGCTTAGAAATTTCTACTGCCAAATATCCTAAATCATCTCTCTCAAGTTCAAAGTTCCACAAATCTCTAGGGCAGGGACATAATGCCACCAGTCTCTTTGCTAAAACGTAACAAGAGTCACCTTTGCTTTAGTTCCCAACAAGTTCCTCATCTCCATATATGACCACCTCAGCCTGGATTTTATTGCCCATATTGCTATCAGCATTTTGGGCAAAGCCATTTAACAAGTCTCTAGGAAGTTCCAAATTTTCCCACATTTTCCTGTTTTCTTCTGAGCCCTTCAAACTGTTATAATCTCTGACTGTTACCCAGTTCCAAAGTCATTTCTGCATTTTCAGGTACCTTTTCATCAATGCCCCACTCTACTGGTACCAATTTACTATATTAGTCTGTTTTCATGCTGCTGATAAAGACGTATCCAATACTGAGAGAAAAAGAGATTTAACTGGGTTCACAGTTCCACATGTCTGGGGAGGCCTGAGAATCATGGCATAAGGCGAAAGGCACTCTTAACATGGTGGCCAAAAGAGAAAATGAGGAAGAAGCAAAAGTGGAAAGCCCTGATAAAACCATCAGGTCTCATAAGACTTAATCACTATCACGAGAATAGCACAGGAAAGACTGGCCCCTATGATTCAATTACCTACCCCTGGGTTCCTCCCACAATACTTGAGAATTCCGGGAAATACAATACAAGTTGAGATTTGGCGGGGACACAGCCAAACAATACCAGGGAGAAACTGATGAGAATGCTATTTGGTATTGTTACTTTGGTAGAGTTTGGTAGGTTTTACAAAGTTGAAAGTACAATTGGCATATGAACTGAAATTCCTATTTCTAGGCATTACTTATGTGACTAAAAACTTCTGCTTACCGCAAATCCTGCATGGCAATATTAATACTAGTTTTATGCAAAATCTAGTGAAACAATTCACATGTTCTTCAACTGGTGAATCGACAAAATTTGATAGATTCATCCAATAGAATACTTCTCAGCAATAGAAAGAAGTGTCCTATTGAGATATGCTAAAGCATCAGCCAATCCATATTATACTGAGAGGCCAGACTAACAAAGGTATGTATTCTATGATTCCATTGATCCAACATTCTGTAAAAAGCAGAAGTGTAGTGATGAAAACAAAGATGCTGTGTTTCTTGTGGTTAGGACAGGTATACATATCGACTTTAGAGGAACACTAGGAGGGAATTTTCTGGGTTGAAAGAACACTTCTGTGTATTGATTGTAATGGTTCTGTTAAAACTCATATTTGTACAGCAGAAAACAATTTTTTTCTGTTTGTAAATTTAAATATACATACACATATGTAAATTAACAATTGTGTTTAATAACCTTTTATGACAGAATATATTTTAATGTAAGTTAATCATTATAATATTCTGTCAGCTTAAGTACCTATATTTTATTCCTTCCTTTTAAGTCGTGAATATGGAAGTACTATATACTTCTCTTTGTAAACCACAGATGTGATTTTGTTGGTCTTGAGATAAAGCCAAACAAGGTTTTTCCTTTTTCCTTTTCTTTTTTTTCTTCCATTTTCCTTCCTTCCTTCCTTCCCTCCCTCCCTCCCTCCCTGCTTTCTTTCTTTCTTCTTTCTTTCTTTTTTTCTTCTTTCTTTTTCTTTTCCTATTTTAGATAAATCAGGTGCTTTTCCATAGATTGGCTTGCACCTAGCAGTAAAAGATAAGATTGAACAATTCAAGAAAATTATTAGGAACTAATTTTACATGCTCTTTTTTATTAGATTTTGGTTATATATACAGTTTTACATTTTAGGGATTTTTATTTAAATTGTAAATTTTATGTACTGCCTTTTCTTTCAAAGAACAACAATGAAGACTATTGAAAATACTGTAAAAATGTATAAGATGATACAACTATCACAAATAAATTTCTGACATATTGCTAAGTTATTGTGAGCATCTAGTTACCATATAGTTATTTAAGAAATTATTTGAATTTTATCAATCAAATACATTGGACATTCAAATTTAACAATTATAAAAGTAATTAAAATATCCAACTTACTTTGGGTAGTTCAAATATTTTTCTCATAATTGTTATGATCACGATATTTTACCTTTTTTCTTTTCTTAGATAATGCATTGTGTAACTTAGTGTGAGCTGACTAACGTGTACATAGTTCATTTATTAGAATATAATATGTTACATGGACTTCTAGGAATCATTTCTTTCCAAATGATGTAAAAATAAATAAAATATTTTAGATTTCTTTCCACAAAAATAGTAAAGAATTGTAATTGAAAAAAATAAAGGAGCCTAAGTATTACTTTTAATGTACAAATAACCTCACTCCATTTCCCTTCTGTTAGATCAGCCCTTTTTCACTTTCCTATTAATCCATAGGGACAATACAAGGCCTCCGTTGTGATTTAAGAAAAGTGTCTATACTTTGAGCACATTACTGCTTAGGTACTTTTTTCAGCATTTATTTTCATTTTATATGTTTATGCATTTTTATGATAATTTTACCTTTTTGGATGACATTTTTTTCTTCCATCATGTGAGCAGGGCTTTTTAGTTACAAACAACAGAAACTGATTCTGGTTGACTTAAGCAAGGGACAATTTATTAAACGGTATAAGAAGCTCACAGAATTTCCAAATGTCTGGAGAATTAGGCTAAACCAAGTGTGCAAGTGCTGAAAAGGTTGAGACTCTAATATCACAAAAACAAACAAAAAACACCGCAGAGTGTCATTACAACAATTTTGTAAGGACAATGACCCTGCAAAGCACTGCACAGTAGACACTAGGACTATCTTTAGAAACTAGATGTCATTGCTATTATATGACCTCAAGAATAAATTACCTGCTGTCATCTCCTTTACTTCAATCACTCCTCATCGATGACTCAACTCAACTTTTTATAGGACGTGCAAAGTCTAGGTACTATGTGAGGAGCAGGGGAGGCGGGGAGAACATTGGAGGTTTATGATATATGAAGGAAGTGATTATCTGGCACTGTTAACCTCAAATCTGAGAGTTGTACTGTCTTCCACTAGATTCTTAACATGGAGACATCTCCACAGATAAAAAGAGTCTTTAAATACTAGACAGCTAAATAAAAGATGTCACTTTTACCACTTGGTGCCCAGCATCCCACAGTGCCCTTATTTCCAAATTTACACTTTTGAAGTAAGTTATTTGGGCTATCCTAAAAAAGCATTGCCTTAGAATGTAAGAACCTCCTCCTGAAGGAAAATAACCAATAGTTCTACCAGCTATTTTAACCAGGTTTAGATCAATGAATCTGAAGTAGACTAAACACAAAGTGAACTGTAACTATATATATCATAGAGAAAATGCTGAAAGTCTAAGTTAAAAATAAATTCTTTTTTTAAAAATGTAAAGCAGTTTTATTCATAATTGCCAAAACTTGGGAACAACCAATATGCCCTTCAGTAGGTGAATGGATAAACTTTGTTACATCCAGACTATCGAATTTATTCAGCACTCAAAAGAAGTGAGCTATCAAGCTATGTAAACACAAGGATAAAAGTTAAATAAAGATTGCTAAGTAAAATATGCAAAACTGAAAAGGCCTCATACTGTATAATTCCAACTACATGGTATTCTAGAGAAAACAAAACTATGCAGACAGTAAAATGATCAGTGGTTGCCAGGGTTTAGGAGGGAGGGAGGGATTAACTGGCTGAGCACAAAGGATTTTGGGGAAAATAAACCTATTCTGTATGGTCCTGTAATGATGGATACATGTCACTGTACATTTGTCCAAGCCCATAGAATGTATAACACCAAGAGTGAACCCTAGTGTAAACTATGCATTGTGGGTGTCAATGTTGGTTCACCAACTGTAACAAGCGTACCACTGTGTTGTGGGATTTTGATAGTGGAGGAAGCTGTGAGTGTGAGTGGTAGGTATTTGAGAACTCTATGTACTTTCTTCTCAATTTTTCTGTGACTGTAAAACTGCTCTAAAAAAGCATGTGTATGTGTGCATGTGCATGTGCCTGTGTGTGTGTGTGTGCATGTGTGTGTGTGTGTCTGCCAGTTTGCTGCTTTGCTTTAATCTGTATCTTTTCGCCTTTATTTTGTTGTTAATATGACCTCTATTTTTGTGATATTTTCATTTGTTTCCTCCTCTTCTTTCTTGCTCACGGCCAATCCATTTTTAATCATCTTTTGTTGTTTTCTTATTTCTTCCTTGATCCTTTTGTTTCTGCCATAGGTTCCTGATTCATAGAAGCTATGTGTACCACCCATTTCTTTACACCTGTGGAGGAATGCATGGTACAATTGCCCTCTGTTCCACTGCAGCATTTTTCTGCTGTGTGCTCTTCATCTGCCTTTTTTTTTGATCTTGTATTTTTTTTTCTTGCAGTACTTCTGAGAAAATCTTGAAAACATTAAGAGGTAACTGGTAATAATAGAATTATCTCTTTTTTCAAAGCAATACCATGTGTTGCTAGAAGTCCTTCCATTAATATTATCTGTATTTCCACAACTTTCAACTCCAACTAGCAAAATCTTCCAAATTC
This sequence comes from Homo sapiens, assembly GCF_000001405.40. Taxonomy (NCBI): domain Eukaryota; kingdom Metazoa; phylum Chordata; class Mammalia; order Primates; family Hominidae; genus Homo; species Homo sapiens. The sequence continues at coordinate 41,094,642 of NC_000014.9, read as the reverse complement.
TAATCATTGTCCTGTTGAAATACTTTTATGCAGTTATTCTTAGTGGTAATATTTCTATTAATTATGGATTTTAGTTTTAACAGACAGAAGTTGAATCTGCCAAATAAAGCAGAAAGATTATTTATTTAGAAAAAAAAATTGAAGCTGAAAAGATCTCAAGCAAGGTAAAAAAAAATGGGTTTCAATTTTTGAAAGAGTTTCAATTAATAAAGGATCAGAGATCAAATTTCAATCAAAATCTTATCACAGAAGATGTAGGCTAAATAAAATACTATCCTGTTTACTGCTGCTAGAGCTAGCACCATGCACACCCTGTCACTGACATAGGAGGGCCAGTTGGTAAAGCTTCCCCTAGGAATAGTATGCTACTGCTATTACTCCAACTCATTCTGCACTGTGCCTGTTTCTTTAATTCACGAGACTATATAATATAATTTGTTAATAGCATCCAGTGCTAAGAAAGTGTTACACATTCACGCAACCAGGAGTCTGCTAAATTGCAGATAGACAAACACATACATACAGAGAGGGCTTATAGCTTCAATACTAAAATTTCAGTCTTGGATCAAGAATAAACATGTAAACAAACAGATGAACAAACCTACTGGTCCAGATATCAAAAAAAGTTGTTTGTTTGTTTGTATTTTTGGTAAGCACAAACTTCTTAACTGATTAGAGCCCAAAATGGACAGGGAAACAAACAAACAGGGAAAGACTTACAAACCAGATTCTCTCTTTTCTCTCCTCCAACAGAGAATAGATACCTAAAAGCTATTAATCAAATTTCAGAGATCATCAAATAGTAACATGTAAAATGAAATTACCAGTTACTTCTGTCTGCAGAATTGGCTATAAACATACCAGTTCTAAAAACAAAAATGCAAAATTAGTAGGGAAAAAACAGAATTAGGGAAACAGAGTCAGCAAACTTCTCTTGATTCTTTGGATTCTCCTCTGGGACCCAAGGAAAGACTCACCTGGACTTAAACTATTTATAAGGTGCACATTTTTAATAATAAATTTGACCTGGTTCTGTTAGGTGATTCCATTGAGTATTGCAGTGGGAAGCCTCCAAAACTGTTCAAAGATAATATTAACAAAAATGCAAAATCATGATTCTCATAAGGATATACAAATGAATATATGTTATAGATTTTCTTTAACCATAATCAGGGAACCAGGCAAATATTTTAACAGGTTCAAATTAGAATTTAAAAAGACACACTTTTGTAACTGGAATATTAAAATAAATGTAAAAATAAAGACAGATTCTTCCATAGTGGGGGAAATCAGTCATTTGACTCTCTACCAGACAAGACAGAATTTACATAGAAAATAATGGTGAAACCTTGTCTCTATTAAAAATACAAAAAGTTAGCCGGACTTGGTTGCAGTCACCTGTAGTCCCAGCTACTCAGGAGGCTGAGGCAGGAGAATGTCATGAATCTGGGAGGCGGAGCTTGCAGTGAGCCAAGATCACCCCGTTGCACTCCAGCCTGAGAGACAGAGCGAGACTCCATCTCAAAAAAAAAAAAAAAATTTGTTTATAAGCAACAAATGTTTTGCATCACTATCAGATATCCATAATTTATGGAGTTCTAAAATAGCTCCAATAAAATTAGTTGTATAACAAGGAGTTAGACACGGTATAGACAACTTATAGTTTTACACCGAAGCAAGCATTTTTTTTCTACAAGTGAATTCCTTGTAAAACATATGGTGATATTATAATGCTATAATTTTCCTACTTCTCTATCTTTTGGTGATTATAGTTCTTATCATTCCATAGAAATACGTCTTTCTGTTAGCATTTCTTGAAGTGTAATTTTTCAAAATCATAAGTTTACATCCAACAAATAAATGAGAACAACTTGACAGATTCACCTCTATTTCAGTATGTTTAAATGCATTTAAATTAAATGTATATTTTTTTCATTATGAGCCTTCCATATTACTTGTAGGCTGAACTAAATTGTCTAATATACTTTAACCTTTTAAAACCCTGTAAGCAAATATTTCTGTAGGAACCACATCAAGAGCCATATTTTTACAGCAACCAAAACTATCAAAACTGAACAGCCTAATGAGTATTCTAAGTTTATAAAATAATTAAACATAAATGATTTCTTCATTTTTGTATGCCTTTAAAATACCAGAAAAAGTCTAAATGGAAAATCAGATAAAATATAAAAATGACATGCTAATTATATACTAGTTTAAATGTGATATTGTTTTTTTCGGTAGGACAGTTTTTATCAAGATAATAAATTGCTATTTTATAACTTGGGATTTACACAAATTTCCTCAACATGTAACCCAGATGCTTGACTTCTAAGAGCACTTTTAAAAATTATTGTTATGCATTTGATCATTAGAATGAAAATATAATTCACATGGTTAAGTCTAAAGACACTATATTAATAGATGTGTATTTTATTGTTTCAGATTAATGTAGTTATATTAAGTGCTAAATTGAATTAAAATGCTAGCTGAGTTTTGGCATCGTGAATTACTATTTTTTTCTAATTCAGACATTCAGGGACATTCAGAAATGAATGGCTGCTAAAATAAATAAAAATCTCCATAATATGATTTATATATTTTTTTCACATATATGGGAGGGTTCTGACCGGGAACAGCAAACTAGTTTCTGTGTCTGTCCTGCCACTGACTAGTCACAGACATTTGGTGTGTCACTCAACATATGTTTCCTTATAGATAAAGTGGAAATTATTTTGATATCATAGGGTTCTTGTGAATATTAAATGGTATACCGTGGTACTTTCCAGGATTTCTTAAAAATAATTAGCTGCAAGTCAGACACAGAAAAATACTACATAATGCCACTTATATGATGAACCTAAACTAGTCAAACTCATAGAAGCAGAAGGTGAAATGGGATTGCCAGGGGCTAGAGGAAGGGGGGAAATGGGGAAGCCTTAGTCAAAGGGTACAAAGTTTCAGTTACACAACAATGAGTAAGTCCCAGATATCTACTTTGCAGCATAGTGTTTATAGTGAACAGTCCTGTATATGTGCTTACATATTTCTTTAAAAGGTAGATCTTAAGTGTTCTTACCACACACACAAAAAATATGAATAATAATAAGGTGGGAGGAAACTGTTGGAGGTGATGGATAGGTGTATGGCATAGATTGTGGTGATAGTTTCCTGAGATGAATTGTCTCCAGATTCATCAAGTTGTATACATTAAGTATTTATAGGTTTCTGTGTGCCAATCATACAACGATAATATGGTTTCACAATAAATAAAATGAATTTTAAAAAACAACTAGCCAAAGAACATAGCCTTTAAACTATTATATAAAAATCTTAGAACACCAGTCGATATTTTACAAAGATTATTCAGTTTGGGTTCAGCAAAGGTCTTCTAGAAAGGGTCAGATAGTAAATATTTTATGCTTTGCAGGTCATATAGTCTCTGCTGTAGCTACTCAAGTCTGCCATTGTAGAGTGAAACCAGTCATAGACAATAAGCAAATACATGAGGGTGACTGTGTTCTAATAAAATCAAAATGTGAATATCATAGAAATTTCATTTGTCATGAAATATAATTGACAATTATCAAGTTATAAATTTGTAGTTATTTAAAAATAATTCTTAACATATGGGCCATATCTTAAAAAGGTGGTATGCTGAATTTTGGTGGGGGATTCCATCATTGCTCCTATTCAGCTTCTCACTCTCTGGTCAAAGAGACCCTCTCTTCTTAATCCCTAGGAAACTTCTTAGAAAATGATTTAAAGGTACATGATAAAATATATTTTAAAAAGCCTTGTGCAAAGCAGTAGAAAACTATTCAGTGTTTCATCATATTATTACAAAAATAAAATAACATATTAAAATAATATTTTAGGTTTCTAAATTGCTTTATGAGCTCAATGAGAGAAAAGACTAAACCATATCTATCTTTATAATTCTACTACCTAAGTAGAATAACAAGTACTAAGAGAGTACTTGTTATTCAATCAGTTAAAATTTTAAAAGTGTGTTAATTAATGTATCTAATATCCGACAATATATCCACTTGAAATTAGGCTGGTTTAATTTATTATAGTCATTATGATTTATCAATATGGCAAACTATGCTTACAATTCACAAAATGTAAGAGGATTCAAACTAGGAGCATGCACAAGTAAAAGGGACTGGACTTCTGCCATCGTGGGTTTTTATTCTGCATATCCTTATATGACCTTTGGTGAGTCATTAGACCTCTTTTAGCTTCTGGTAGTCCAGGAGACTAGATGATGCCTAATGTCGCTTTTTAATATAAAGACTTTTTCTGATGGCTTGGAATATTTATCATTAGACATTATAAATGAATCTCCTTGAAAAGGACCTTCATTTCCCCTGTTAGCTTTATCCCTAGGTATTTAATAATCTTTGTGGTAGTTGTGAATGGGAGTTAATTCATGATTTGGCTCTCTGCTTGTCTGTCGTTGATGTGTAGGAATGCTTATGATTTTTGCACATTGATTTCGTATCCTGAGACTTTACCGAAGCAGCCTATCAGTTTAAGAAGGTTTTGGGCTGTGTTGATGGAGGTTTCTAGATGTAGGATACTGTCATCTGCACTGCTCAAGGAAATCAGAGAGGACACAAGCAGATGGAAAAACATTCCATGCTCATGGATAGGAACAATCAATATCGGAGAAATAGCCATACAATCCAAAGCAACTTATGGATTAAATGCTATTTCCATTAAACTACCATGCACATTCTTCAAAAAATTAAAAAAAAAACATTTTAAAATTCATGTGAAACCAAAAAGAGCTCTCATAGCCAAGACAATCCTAAGAAAAAGAACAAATCTGAAGGCATCATGCTACTTGACTCCATACTATACTACAAGGCTACAATAACTGAAACAGCGTGGTACTGGTACAAAAACAGACACATAGAAAAATGGAACAGAATAAGAACTCAGAAATAAAACTGCCTGTCTACAACCATCTGATCTTTGACAAACCTGACAAAAACAAGCAATGGGGAAAGGACTCCCTGTTTAATAAATGTTGCTGAGAGAAATGGCTAGCCACATGCAGAAAACCGAAACAGGACCCCTTCCTTACACCTTAATAAAAAATTAACTCAAGATGGATCAAAGACTTAAATGTAAAACCCCAAACTATAAAAACTCTAGAAGAAAATCTAGGCAATACCATTCAGGACATAGGCAAGAGCAAATATTTTATGATGAAATTGCCAAAAGCAATTGCAACAAAAGCAAAAATTAACAACTGAGATCTGATTAAACTAAAGAGCTTCTGCACAGCAAACAAAACTATCATCAGAGTGAAAAGACAACCTACATAATGAGAGAAAATTTTTGCGATCTATCCATCTGACAAAGGTCCAATATCCAGAATCTATAAGAAACTTAAGGAAATTTACAAGAAAAAAAAAACAACCTCATTAAAAATTGGGCCAAGGATATGAACAGACATTTCTCAAAAAAGACATACATGCAGCCAACAAACATATGAAAAAAAGCTCAACTTCACTGACCATTAGAGAAATGCAAATCAAAACTACAATGAGATACCTTCTCACAGCAGCCAAAATGGTGATTACTAAAAAGTCAAGAAACAACAGATACTGGCAGCGTTGCAAATAAATAACAACGCTTTTACACCCTTGGTGGGAATGTAAATTAGTTTAACGATTATGGAAGATAGCATGGGGATTCCTCAAAGATTTAGAACCAGAAATACCATTTGATCCAGCAATTCCATGACTGAGTATATACCCAAAGGAATATAAATCATTCTGTTATAAAGATACATGCACATGTATGTTCATTGCATCACTATTCACAATAGCAAAGACATGGAATCAACCCAAATGCCCATCAGTGATAGACTGGATAAAGAAAATGTGGTACATATACACCATGGAATACTATGCACCCACAAAAAGGAGTGAGATCATGTCCTTGCAAAGGACATGATGAAGGTGGAAGCTTTATCCTCAGCAAACTAACACAGGAACAGTAAACCAAACACCACATGTTCTCACTTATAAGTGGAGCTGAACAATGAGAACACATGGACACAGGGAGGGGAACAAGACACATTGGGGCCTGCCAGGAGAGGCTTAGGGGCAGGAACAGGGAAAAGAGCTAATGCATGCTGAGTTTAACATTTAGATGATGGGTTGTTAGGTGCAGCAAATTACCATAGCACACGTTTACCTATGTAACAAACCAGCACATCCTGCACACATAGCTACCACACCTGGCTAATTTTTGTATTTTTAGTAGAGATGGGATTTCATCATGTTGGCCAGGCTGGTCTAGAACTCCTGACCTCATGTGATCCACCCTCCTTGGCCTCCCAAAATGCTGGGATTACAGCAGTGAGCCACCTAGCCTGGCCAATTTTTATATCACTGTTAATGCATGCTAAAACCTTCCTTTGGTTTGTCTTAGCACAGAATCTATGCCACAATACTGTGTGCAATTTCAACACGAACTCAAGTATATGTAAAATTGGTATGTAACAGATTCAGAGAAAGAAGTGCTTTCACACAAGGTGAGTAATATGGACAAACACAGTATCTACCCCCTGTGAAGGGAGGCCAGGCCCACTGTGCTTCACATTCCTAAGTGCGTATCAGTGGGGTTAAGTGGTGATCTCGGTGTCTACCTCCATGTGGCATCAACAAAATAGTCAATGTGTGATACAAGTTGGGGTAGTAGACACTGTTTACCTTCTCCTCTGATGTCAGTGCAGCCTAATGAAGAGCTGAACTTCCCACCTCCACCACATTAAGAAGAAAGAAGTAGGTGGTTGGAGGTGGGGTAGTTGATATTCTGCTTCCTCCGTGTCACTAGGCCCCAGCAGGGAGCCGACTTTCTGCCTTCATTTATGCAACAACAGAGTGATCTAAGTCAACCCTCCACTTTTCCCAACCCTAGCAGCACTTGGTCCAAAGAAAAACGCATCATATAATTCCTTTCAGAGACAAGTTGGTGCCATACTTTTGCTGAGAAGCTATCGGTAGGGCTGAACTTCCACTCTGCCTGTCTGCAGTACAGGCAGTGTAAAGTTTAATTCCACTTTTGCTGAGACCCAATGGTACACTAAATATACATACATACCTAGACTGCCTTCACACTACAACTGAACAAGAAGATGGGCTAATAAAAACAAAGAAAGATTAGGATTCAGAGTCTCATAAAATAATAGCCTAATCATCGAGACTATAATGAAAAACCACTCATCATACTAAGAACCAGATAAATCATAACATGAATGAGAAAAGACAATCAATGGGTGCCAACACCAAGATGAAGCAGATTTGGGAATTATCTTACAAGGACTTTCAAACTGCCATTGTAAAATTCATTCTGGAAACCATAGAGCTGAAAAATGCAATATCTGAAATGAAAAATTCACTAGATGTGCTCAATAGTAGAGATGACAGAGAATGGAATTTTCGTTCTTGAGAACAGAACAATAGAATTTAAACAATCTGAAAACAGAGAGAAAGTAAACTGAAAAAATCAGAGTCTTAGGGACCTGTAGGACAATAACTAAAGAGCGAACATTTATATAATTAAGGTCTTAGAAGGAAAAGAAAGAATGAGATTTTAAAAAGTATCCAAAAAAAATCTAAAAATTTTCCAAATTTGTTTAAAGACTTAATGTACAGATTCAAGAAGCTGGATAAACACTAAATACATAAATTCAAAATAATTCATGCTGAAACCCATTATATTGAACTTCTGAATACTAAAGAAAAAGAAACTGCTGAAAGAAACCACAGATAAAAAACACATACTTGTAGGAAGACAGAAATTAAAATGACAGTTGATTTCTCATGTGATACAATGGAGACCAGAGGAAGTGATCCAATATTTTTCAAATACTAAAAAAAAAAATCATGAATTCCATATTCAGCAAAATTACCCTTCAGAACTGAATGACAAAATAAAGATAGTTTCAGAAGAATAAAGACTAAGAGAAAGGGAGAGACTTTTGTGGGGTTATAAATGGTAAAAGAAGGATCCTGGTAGGGATGTTATAATTCTATATAGTCACTGCATCTATTTCAACATCCTGATTATGATATTTTACTGTAGTTTTATAAGATGTTTCTTTTAGAGTAAGGTGGACAAAGGGTGCATAGAACTGCTGTGTTACATATTTATTATACTTGCATGTGAATCTACTATTATCTCAAAATAAAATGTTTAATTTATAAAACTGACTTTCTCACTTCCTCTGTAACAAGATTGATGCTAAATTAAATATTTCACCTGAGGTTTTTAGAATATCATAGATAGTGGAGGCGTAGCTCACCATATAGAAGGGTCCAAGTAGGTATTTGAGAGTTAATGAAGCCTCTTAAACCTTTACAGCCAAATAAGGGAATAAAATATAAGGTGTGGAAACATTTTAAGAATTCTTTTGGAAAGAACTGCTCTATGAACTAAATTCCCTCTCTTCACTTAAGTCAAGAGAGGGGGTATTTTTAGAGCTTGCTCTATTTATCCCATAGTAAGAATTAGTCCTAATTAAAAACAACAACAATAATAATAACAAATAAAAGTTTGAAGAATTTCAGGGGAAAGAGAGGAAATAATCTTCAGAAGTGTCACTCAGTTTGTCAGAAAGAGTTTGTGACAGAGATTGGCACATGTACTTTGGTCACTATTAATTTATTTAACAAATGTTTGAATATTAAATGGGCAAAACATTTTAATGTTATATGCTCAAATACATACAGTGGTATCTTCTTGGTGGTGTGATTTGGGATGTGGTTATTCTTTTTATTTGCTTAAAGTCAATACAAAGGAAAATGACAAAGAGCAAGGTATTAAACACAAAGTAAACTCCAGGCATGTCAGAAACACTCCCTGAAACGCAATACGTTTTATTCCAATGTGTGAGACTAGTTCTCACAGAAACTTTAGTGAATTTTAAAAGTACAACTCATTTTTAATTTTTATGGAATTTTATGTCTTCTAATCTCACCACAATGAGAATAGGAATAAATAAAAAAGATGGTTAACTGGCACATGGTTCTAAAAATAGGAAGTAAATTCAAAATTTTGTTAGCCTTTAATCCAAATACGGAATAATATTTTTATCCTACTTGTGGTTACCCAATCATGAAAAGGGGATCTAAATTATTGGTTGTTTACCTCCACGTCTGCCTTCAAAATAGAAGTCATAGGGGAAATATAACAAATGATGTACATTCAACTTCTCTAAGTTCTTATCATTATCATATAATAATATATATGATGATATATATGATGATAACTAAATATATATAATATCTATATCTATCTATCTATCTATCTATCTATCTATCTATCTATCTATCTATCTCTATATATATGTAAGATTATTGAGTGACCCTTTCAAACAGGTAAGAGTAACTCTGGCATGGGCAACAATGTGTCAGTGTACAGGAAAACTCACATGATAACCTTGGAACATTTTTCTGAACTATTAATTTAAATTAGTGAAATTAATTAGAACATCAATTAGGCATTTTTCATGGTAGATTGACTACTTCTACAATGTTACGAGTTCACGAGCTGTGATGCATGATATTGCAAAGTTCAGGTAGCTCGTAAAGGGCTGCTCTTATATGGAAATTGAATTTGTAAATTAAGTGCAATTCTGTCCACTGAAGAATGTTTTAATTCAGCCCTCAATTATTTATGAGGCATGCACCTCTTTTCAGGAGACATCAGTTTAAATAACTAGGTAATGCTCAGGATTAACAATTATGGAGCCCTTTCAATAAGACAATATTGAATAAGCACTCATGGGAACTCAAATATAATTTTGAACTGTAATAATTGCTCACTATTGCTTTAATAAAATTTCGTATGCATTCTGCACCCAAAAGATTTGCTCAGCTTTGTGTATTTTACTCTTTTGCTCAACCTAGAATATTAGTTTTAAATTCTGTCATGTCACAACAATTATTCTATTATTTTCTGGAAACCAAATCTGTCAGAGGACTCAAAAGCCCAAATTAAAGAAGGTGAAAAGAAATCTAGAAAAATAAATATTAGAAAAAATAATATCCGTTGACTGATAAGCAAAGACCAAAATTGTAGATTTAAAACATGTGTCACCATTGTAAAAGCAGCCCTTTCTTCCCTGAAGACAGTGGATTGGAAAGGTTTTTGAAGCATAACTCCTAGATTCTCACTTAAACTCTTATCCAAGAAATGTGTCTGCAAAGCTAGCTGAACTCATCTTCAAGAACTGCTCACTGCAGAGTCAGATTTTATGTGCATTAAGTCAATTCCAGTTACTAGAGACAGTATGTACTGGATTTTCAGCTCTCTAAAATCCATGTTTACACAGTTAGGTTTCTCCACTGGCTGAAACTTAAGGATCAAAGTTTTAAATTTAAAAGTTTAAGTTAACCAGAGTAAAAAGGGAAAAGTTTATAAAAAATCATAATCATCTTATACTACCAAATAGCATGTTTGTCATTTGGTAAGTCATCAAAGCAAAATAAGTCCTATTTAAATCATACCACTGACAGAGATCTTCAATGTGATTTTGAATATCTTTGTTTTTGTAAAATAGCAGATAAGCAACAAATTTCTTAATGCTTACAAACAAGCAAAAACCAAGAGAACAAGCAGAATTGGCAATTGACATGAAGTAAATAAGAAGAAAGAAATATACCTGGTAAGGTATATTTATTATCGAATTGATTTTTATTAAAAAATGATGTTTAGAACATAAAAAATGAAGGCCTGTGGGAGGCAAGATATAGATTTTATATCACCACACTAGCACTTACAAGAATCTGAAAGGAAGAAACAATTGGGTATGTGATTTAAAGGTAGATTAGTTGAAAGACAGATGCTATCATGACCTTGCATCATAAATACTGGATGAAGCAGGAATATGCAAAGAGGGCTGCCGAGCCCCTGGCATGGCCAGAACTAGGAGGCTAGGAGGCCAGTGGGAGCTGAGTCAATTATAGAGAAGGCCGAATAATACAATTCTTGGATGCAGAGGCCATTCCTTCTTTCATTTTTTTTTGCTCAAGAGGCAAAAAGCCAAGAAATTCCACTGGGCCTTGAGTTTTTTAGGATTTTAATTCACAGAACCAAATACCAACAGGACTCTTAGTAAACCCTAATGTAGGATGACTGAGGGTCCTTGAAACTCAGATCGGCACATCATCCCTTATCCACAGATTACTTTGGCTGGTAATAGAAAAAAATTAAAAATATTAAACATAAAATTAAACAAAAATTTGTAACAGAGAAATTCAAAGAAAATTTTGGACTTAAGATATATTTAACATAGTAAATATAGTAAATGGTAAATGTGCTATAACAGTAAGTGCCATATTCAGCATGGCAGGAGAGTGGCAGAGCAGAAGAAAAATTTCTGGAAATAAAACTAAAGCACTTTAAATTTTATAGGCATATATTAAAATTAAATCGCATACATATGAAAATAGAAGATTAAAAGAAACTATAAAATAAAGGTGGTTTGGAGAGTGTTTTAGTGTTATAACAAGTGTTAATGTTAGATGTTCTATTATTTTTATTAGTGTTAACAAGTGTTAATGTTAGATGTTCTATTATTAAATCTAGATTTAAAATATTTTAGAATATTGCTTTATTTATCTTTTTATATAGAAGCAAATGGCTTTATATGTTTACATGTTTATATGTTTTGTATTTGAAAAGTAAAACGGTCAGGTGCAGTGGCTAATGCCTGTAATCCCAAAATTTTGGGAGGCTGAGGTAGGAGAATCACTTGAACCCAGGAGTTCAAGACCAGCCTGGGCAATACGATGAGACGACATCTTTACAAGAAAAAAAAACCAAAAACTAAAAGAGCTTGCTGGTGAAAAAAAAGCATATGACAAAATTACACTGAATCTATTTACATATGTATTTAGCATTATACACATATATGTTAAATTACCAGAAATCACCATTTTGGATATAAATATAAATTGTGTACAATTTATATTTATATAATGACTATATCTAGCAAGCTAAATAAATTAAAAATATACTATATATTTGTATTCAAATCGTCAGAATGCCTTTTGGTTCCATAGATGTATGTGTCTAATTCTGTGTAGATCTGGGAATTTAGAATTACTGGTGGATAGCAAGTGATATCTTGTTTTGTTTTGTATGAATGCCTTTGAATAGAATTATTGAATCCTTTCACTGTCTTTCTCTATTCTTCTCCTGGCCCCAACAAGCTGGCTTTTAGAACTTTTGGCACAGATTTTGACCTGCTACTGACACTCTATGGGTCTAGTCCTTACATGGCTCTAATAGCAGCATTTTATCCCTTTACTGGTTTAGGCCCAGGATTGGTGACAGTCTCCTACCGTTGCTAGTCTCTGAGTGACTTGATATTTCTTGATTGTTTCCTTAAACATTACATGACTATGAATATAGTCCTTTAGGTAATTTTCTTTGATATGCATTTGTGTACCCATTCTTCTGTATATGTATTCATTGACTATTTATATGTATTGATTTCTATAATGTTTATAATATTCTTGGCCCACAATTTTTTAAAACCTGACAAATTACCTTTATTAATATGTTTATTGTTTTTCTTTTCTTAAGTTGTTATTTGTATTACAAACTTGTTTATACTTGGGCTTTTTTGTTTTTTCTTATTTTGTGTTTGTTTCATTATTCGGTTTACAGTTTTCTATGATTGTATAGATCATGTATATTTATTAAATTTATTTTGGTAAACGAGATTGTTTCTTACTCCTGAGAAGCACACTGCAACCAGTTGTCTTAAAATAATTTATTGAAGAATTTAGTTTTCTTATGATCTCTAAATTCTTCCTATATAACATATTAACATTTCTGTGTATATTGTTTATTTTCATTCAAAAATGTATTACATTTACTATAACTTTTAAGTAGTTATTTTATGTCAAAGACTGTAGAAATTTTGGGAACTTAACATTACTTGCTAGGCAACACGTTAACTTGCCACAATTTCATAAATGTTGGTGGAACTTGCAAGAATCCTGGGACAGAGCAAAAAGAGCTCAATGCTTGCCAGATCTCCTTGATAAAGGTCCGAAGCAGTTGAACTGGAGATGCCCAGGCAGTTATTTTGCGTGTAGTGGGTTTGCTTTACAGCTGAAAAACTCCATGCATAACCCTGAACCTTTTATAAATGGTTGGAGGAGGACATTTTCTGTATTATACTGGGTGGTGAACAAATATGATCTGTCATCCAGAGGGCAACACTATGTCAATCTTCCAAAGCTGTTTGCTATAAACTCTTGAAAACAGAATCAGAAAAAAAACATAGCCAATGTCCTAGATGCAAGATGTGCAGAAATTCAAAAGACCCATGTGAAATCATCTACTAACATTTAAAAAAAATAAGAAAATAACTGATTTTGATAGAGATATTTTGTCATTAACCAGACTGTGAATATTTTGGTTTACTCTTTTTTCATAATTAATTGTGTTAGAACTTTTATATAGACAAATCATTAAAAAATACTGATTTTTTTGCTTCTTATTTCAAAATCTATAGTTTCTTTTCACTTTTCTTGTCCAACGACAGTCCTCAGAATTTCCAGAAAAAGTTTTCAGAATTCTATTGATAATTAAAATTAAGTTTACACTCCTCACTTTAATCAGAATACAACTAGATTTTCCCTGTTAAGCTTGGTTGCTGTTTGGTGATATATACCTGAAAACACACACACACACACACATACACACATTCATTTATCAGACTGGGACATTCAACTCCACTCATTACTTTACAAAAAGTTTTAGTGGGTTCTTGGCCAAAGTTCAGGAGAAATATTTCTTCTTGCCAGGATCTAAATGATTTGTTTTATTTTTTAACAGAAATAATGTCAAAAGAATTTCTTACCTTCAAACAAGTGTTTCTTTATCATAAGAAATATCTCTAAAAACTCACTATAGTGTTAGAAAAAAAGACTGAAAAACAGTAACAGTAAGAGAGTGTAGTCTATTTTTGTTGACACACGCTTCCATTTCTAAGATATCTGTTGATAGACTGATGTGGACCTGTAGAGCCATAGGGACCCTCACATTTCCTTTATCTCCCCACCCACATCTTAATTTGTTAGTTAAGTCATTATTTTGTACTGACATTGTTTATGGCATACTCATATAACCATAAGTGACAAAAATATTAAATTTATATACATATGGAGATCATGTAAATCCGTGCTCACAATCAGTCATTTTCTCCCCTAGATTCTTTCTTTCAATTTTCTATTATTACTCATTCATTATCTGGCTCAACTTAATTGCTAAATGGTTATATCATTCTTAAGAGGAGTATATATGTAAATACACACACACACACACATACATATACATATACACACATATATACATATATACATATATGTAGTCTTTCAGAACTGTATATGTGTGTGAGTGTGTATATATACATATACACGATCTTTCAGAACTGTATGTGTGTGTATATATATATACAGTTTTGTATAAATATATACAAAATATATTTGTATATATACACAGTTCTGAAAGAAATATATATATTTCAGAACTGTATAAACATGGATACAGAAGTTTCTGGCATTGGTTACTATTACAGAGAGACACTAATGTGAATCTGATTTTCCTCCTTGGTAAGATTTGTCATTTTTCTGTCAAAATGTTGATTATTATTTTAAAATTTATACCTGATTTTCCACAACGTAAAAAGCTTTAGTTATTCCTTCTTTATTTCCTTAACGTTCAGTTTGCTTTTTCAATGGAAATGTTTATTCCTTTCTTTCTTTTTTGTTTTTATTTTTTGGAATTTATAGGTATTTTTATTCAAGTAAGCCATTTTTACAGCAAATTTCTGAATACTTTTCAGGTCTAATTTTTTCGTTCTCCAGAGGTGTTGACAAAAATTTTATTGAATCATGTTTGTCTTCTCACCATATGAAGTATTTTCTCAGGGTTTTGTTTAATATTTTTACCTATTCATAAAATCAATTTTTTTCTCTTTGATTTTTACATTTTTAATCTATTTGGTCAGTTTAGGGAAAGTTTTCTTGTTATTGTTTGTATATTTATTTGTTGTGATTTCTATTTGTGTTTGTTGTTGTTTGTTTGTTGAGAAAGGATCTCGCTCTGTCACCCAGGCTGGAGTATAGTGGTGCAATCTTAGTTCACTGTAGCCACAATCTCTCAGGCTCTGTTACTCCTTCCACCTTAGCTTTCCAAGTAGCTGGAACTACAGGCCTGTGCCACCATGCCTGGTGAATTTTTTTTTTTTTTTTTTTTTTTTGTATTTTTTGTAGAGATAGTGTCTCACTACATTGCCCAGGCTGATGTAAAACTCCCGGGCTCCAGTGATCCTCCCTTCTCAGCCTTCCCAAGTGCTGGGATTACAGGCATGACTACTGCCACTGGCCTTGCTGCGAAATATTTTTTTAAATCTCTGTTAGTCATTTTCTTCTCAGCCATACTTATTGTGTTCTGTATTAAGGATAATGGTTTTTCATAAAAATATTTTCCAAAATACAGTTGCATCTCACTATCTAAATATTTCAAGCAAGGGCTTTACTTACTGTTTCTAAGTGCTGTAAAGTTTATTGAAAATTGCATCACGTAGAGTGTTAATTTTGGGAAAGTACATATTTTTACCTATTCATACAATCAATTTTGTGTTCTCCTTGATTTTTACATTTTTAATCTATTTAGTAAGTTTGGGGAAAGTTTTCTTGTTACTGTTTTTTAACCTATGCTTAGTTTGCTACATTTTCTCTAATAACAAATGTAACATAATTATTGAAGACATATCAGTAATGGTATTGTGCTTTAAACAGAATGCAGTAAAAGTGAAATGCTGACTGCACATTGCTTCTTGTGTTTTTATCTTTAAGTAAATATTCCAGTTTAGCTTCAGTGGAGTACATTGCAGTGAATGAGTGCATGCATTTAAAGTTATAGATAAAGTTTTTTATGTAAAAATATTAATACACTTACATATACTGTCCTAATGAACATCTCTCCAAAAACGTTGTTTTCTTCTTACTAAAAACCAAATAATAATGATACATTTACATAAGGAACTACAACTGATTTGTTGTAAGCACACTGTCTTCAGACATTAAACCAGCTACCAAGAATATCATGTTTGAATATATACAACGTTTTCACAGTTCAATTCAATGGGAAATTTTTTCCATTAGAATGTGAATATCTTTTGAAAAATGTCAAATTGCTTAAATAAAAACAGTGAGTGTGGAGAAGAAATTTGTGAGAAATAAATAAGGGATAATTTTGCAGCAATAAATTTAAATTCTTGAGAAAACATCTAGTTATAATGATTGCTCATAAGATTCAGAAGAAATTTTTGTTCAATTTCCTCATCCATGTCACCATTTATAAATAATGTTTACAATAACTTTTCCTAAGAATAACATTTGATGTTTTCTTGAAAAATAAATGCTAATTATGAAAACAATAAGATTAGGATTTACAGCATTAACTGAAATATAATATTCGAACTAGGACTGAAGGAAGTTGAATATTAATATAAAAATTTAGTGAAACATTTTAGCATCTGCACTAGTTAGTAAGTTTTACATTTCTGTTTTTTCTTTACATTTCTTACTTTTATTCTTACTCATATCTCTTTGGTTATACAGAAAAAAAATGACCTAAGTATAAAACTGGTTAAATTTCTCCCAACATTTGTATCTATATGCAATTAGAGTGAATCTTTGAATATGTGGGGAATCTGCATATAGTAAAATAACAAACAAATCTTTAAAGTAGTTTTTGCAATAGAAATCAAATTTTCTGAGAAACACTAAATATTACTTGTTATAAGTGAATAAATATTTGAAAATTTAGGGAGTAACTTAGAAAATGGATGATATAATTCATAATTCATAATATAAAAATATTTTGGAAAATGTTTTCAGAATGTATTTCTTCACCCTCAAACTTTGTTATACAGAATGTAATTTCTCAATTGAACTAAGTGATGTGCTTATTTTTCAGTGTTTGTTTTCCTCCACTGACTACACAGATCATGTGTCAATCTTTTTATTTTTAAAAATAAATAAAATTTAAAATATATTTTAGTTTTATTACTTTTCTATAAATTTTATCCTCCACCTTGCATGTGGAGAAATGTTAATACAAAATTTATTACTAGCCAATAGATTATATTTTTAAATATTTAGAATTAAGAAACCTGCTCTTATGTATAAATCACTTTTGATACTTTTTAGTCTTTGTTCATTAGTATCTATCATAGTGAATCTAATTTAACATGGATTTTTGGAACGATGCATTATATATAAAAGTATGCTTTTCTCTCAATAATGCTGTAATTCAAGGAATAAAGTTGAGGTTTAAATATATAGTTAACAGGAATTTTCATATTAGGCACATTTCATGTTGTACCGTTTTAAAAAATTTGAAATGTTCTATGATCACAATTTAAATATTTGACATTAAATGCAATGTCGTTCTTAAATTCAAAAAGTTTCCATAAAGTGAAAATAATATAATTTAAATAATAGTTTAAAGAGATTTAGAGACATTGAAGCTATATTCGCAAAGTTTCTAACATTTTTTCTTAACATACATGTATATAACACATTTACCAAATTAACATTAACATACCATTTTTTGACTTTTAATTTAATTTTTGCTTGTATCTTTAATTTATTAAATTAGGATATTAGATATTAATATTATAGTTTGAAATATGAGAACATAGCTTATTTACACCATTTTATTCTTCCCCTGGCTTCTAATTTTGATAGTCACTTTAGCTACCTTGTAGACAAGCAATATGTCTTAAAATTATTGGTCTCAAATAACTGAATTTTGTTGCCAAGGGAACATTTGGCAATATTTGAAGACATTTTTTGTTATCGGGACATAGGGAAAGAGAAGCTACTGGCATGCCGCGGGTAGAGGCTAGGGATACTGTTAAACACACAAGAAAAGAAAAGGCCCCACAATAAAGGAAAGGCCGAGGAAGGGCCCCCACAACAAAGAGCAAAATATCAATATCACTCATGTGGCAAAAACATCTTTTAATTGGAATGTTTAAATAATTTTTCCACTTTATGTCTTTCAGGTATGTTAGAATATAGCATTTGTCACCTGATATCTTTCTCCTCACTCATTTAATCTACCTACTTCTTATTCCAAGTGGTTTCTGTGAAAGTTATAATAACACTACATTCTATAATAGTATTAAATTCTTCATTAAATGCTCTGTAGGTTTACTTTAAATGTTGGAACATAAACAAACAATAATTGCATTAAAATTTTGTAATAAACTTACGGTCTAAAAATTAAGTTAGGTACTTTTCCTTCTCTATTGGTAAAATGTCCTAACCCCTGTTCCAAACATATAAGTATTATCATCCATATCAAATTAAATTTTAATTTTTGGAGTCATCAATTATTCAAGTCATGAAATATTAAAACTTTTAATTTGCTAAATATATCGACTATGACTTTTGCTTCTCATCTTTAGTTAACTTTCTGTTTTTTTCTTTTCCATAGAAAGAAAAGAAACAAATGTTTATACTGCAGATTATAATCCATCCACAGTTATTTAATTATCTCACTTTTTGTATTGAATATGTTTCACTTTTTCTTTTTGAAGACATTTCTGTTGGTGTCCAGGAACCTCTTTTCTAATTTTACCAGCTAATTTTTAGTTATGCTACATCAATTTAATTTTGGGTTTTTTTTGCTTATATATTTATATATAAAACTATATAAATATGTTATGTATTTCATCCTATGTCATTCATTTATTTGATTTTCATTTATTCGTTCATTTATTTAATATTCATTTATTTGTTTTACTAGTTAGTTTGATATTTGTTTTACTAGTTTGATATTTATTTGTTTTACTAGTTTGATATTCATTTATTTGTTTTACTAGTTATTTTTCATACAAGATATATATTGATTGGTAAATTTTCAAAATTGTTGTATATTTGAAAATGCCATTTGTTGTTGTTGTTGTTGCTGAAGGGATTGAGCTTCACACTTACTTAATAGTTTGAGTATATAGTTTTTGGTCCAAAATACTTTTCATCCCTAACTCTCAAAGGTTTTGCCCCAATATCTTTCTGTATCCAACATTTCTTATCAGAGTTATGAAGTCAGCCTTAATTTTTTTAATTTGTAAAATGCACATATTTTTCTCTCTAGAGGCTTTTGCATTTTCTGTTTTTATTTTTCAAAATATCACAATAGAGTATCAGTTTGGATTTCTTTTTCTTTTTTCTACTCATCACTTGATGTGGTGGTCTCACACAATTTGAGGCCTTGTGTCTCCCTTCAAAGGGCACAAAACGCCACGCTCCATCCATGTCCTTGAACTACAGTTCCTTAAGTGATTACTTGAATAAATAATTTAAGTAATGTATTTTGAAAGTGTTAGATTAGTATTAGGTGCAAAAGTAATTACACAATAGGGGCATTTCAATGAAACTTAATTTCCACAGCTGTGAAATGTGAACAATAAAGCTATTCTAATGATTGTTATTTGGGATAAATGAACTAATGGATGTTGAACTTCAGTAGCTGTTCTTTTTTTCCACAATGATGAAAATTTGGCTTTTTTTGTCTTATTTTTATTCAATCTACATGTAGTACATAGGTTAAGCCCTGGGTTTCTTATTTTCTGTTTAATTAAATTAGAAAAAAAAGTTGCCGGTTCACTAAACAGTAAACCACCTTTATCTGCAGAGATACGTTCCAAGACCTCCACTGAATGCCTGCAATCACAGATAGTATTGAACCCTATATATATTGTTTTTGCCTATACATACATGTCTATGATAAAATACAATTTATAAATTAGGGACAGGAGGAAATTAACAATTACTAATAAGAAAATAGTAAAATTAATTGAAATAAGTGTCACAAGAGTTACTTGAATACAGCACTGTGACACCAAGACAGCCAATCTGATCACCATGATGGGCACTAAGTGATGAGTGGGTGGAGAGCACAGACAGCCTGAATATACTGGACAAAAGTGAGGATTCACATCCCTGTTGGGACTGAATGGAGCAGTGTGAGATTTCACCACTCTACTCAGAAAAGAATGCAACATAAAACATATAGTTTATTTCTAGAATTTTCCATTTAATATTTTTAGACCCTGGTTGACCGAAGAAGGGGAAACTGGATAAGGAGAGACTACTGTATTCATAGAAAAGTCCGGTTTAGTGTTAAAGATCAAATGAACACCATTTCAGTACCTATTTAGATAATTGATATCTTCATAGATTTATTTTTTTGAGTACTAAGCTATGACCAGGAAACAAATTATTTTGCTTTTTTTCTGATTTTCCTTAAATTGGGCTTTTTAGCTATATTATATAAAGAGGTTGCTAAACATAATTTGTTCTGTATTCTGAAAAGAATGACAAACTAATTCTGAATGAAAGGCTGATATTTTTTTTCAAATTTCCACATTACTTTTAAAAAGCCGAATGTACTAATAATATCACGTGAAAAAGTAAACCATAACATGATATAAAATGTACACAAACATTTTGTCGAAAACCCTATTTTAGGGTTCATATCAGCTAAACCTCCTCAAAGCAAACATACCCTTGATTTGTGATAGCTTATGGGATAGAGGGTTAAAACTGGATAAATACTAAAAGTAGGGGCTATTATATCAAAGAGGATTTTTTTGAAGTTGTTATTTTATAAATCTAATTATTTCTCCCAATTTAGGAGTACTTTTTTTTTCAGTTAAGGCCTCATCTAAAAATGACTGTTACTGCCCTAATACAAAGACTGTATAGACTTTTTATGCTTCTACAGTACATCTCAGAGACCTCTGTGTGAAAGCAATGCTCTGGATGATACTGACAGCTGACGTTAGCATTTTCTGAAGGGTAGAGTATAAATAAAGCAGATCAGAGAGCGTTGAAAAATGAACATACTATCAAATTTAGCAAAATATATTGGGAGAATAAGAACCTGCTTATATTGAAATATTTTAGAGTTTTGTAAAAATGGCGACAACTTGAGAAATACTTGATAATAACAATTACTTAATGTTTGAACTTAACAATTATATTAAAATTTGAGGAAAAATAAGTGGCAATTTAAGTGCATATTAGCCAAAAAAAGAGTACAAAGAGCTATCAGAATCAGGAAAGTAAATATACATACAAAAGGATAGATTCAAAATAAAAGAAGAGATACTATTTTCAGTCATATATGAATAAGATGACACAAGTCATTCCATAGTGAGGACGATAGAGGTAAAAAGAAAGAATTGGAAACAAAATAACTTTTAGTCATTCATTTAGAGGTGGCAGTGTGAGTCCTTTCTAAATAATTTGGGAGTCGGTGAGAGTTTGAAAATGTGTGGACCCTAAATAAAGAAGAAGTTGTTAGTGATAGTGAAAGGAGAAATGGAAAGCATTTTTTGTTTTCTTCAACTTCTGCAAAGCCAGAACATAGAAGCTCTACTGCAGTTTGTTCTGAGGAAAAGAGGACATGTATCCCAGAAAATGAGAGAGAGATTTTAATGGCTTATCTTAATCTTTTACACATGATGCTTTCCCTCAGAGAAGTTAGACTGTGAGATTTGTGGCTTGGCTCAGAGCCTTCTAATTTCCCCCAACTTCCCCAGAAACTATGCTTAATTGCTTATGCAGCTTTAATCACTGTGTTGCTTATGTCCCCTCATTACCCAAGTGTACTGATCCCTCTTAACAAAAGCAGAAATTTCTCAATTCTTAATGCCCCTGTCTTGTATGTTATTTTACCTTTGGATTGCCAAACTCCCCTAAATAGTAATTTATATAGTTTTTTCTATTTATTAATTTCTGATTCATGTCTCATTTTAGATTGTTTCTTAAATATATAATTATATAATTATTTTTTCAAATGTTATTAATGATTCTTTAATTGTCAGTTTCAATGGTCATGCCTCAGCCTTTCTCTGGTTGGCTTTTTCACCTTCATATGAAATTTTCCCACCTCATCATCATCAAAATCATCCTTCCTTGATGACATTCGCATATTTCCCAAATCATTTTCTCTTACTTAATGAGCTCCTCAAATGTTTATTCTATGTCATTTACTATAATTTTGTATGCAATTGATTCCAGAAATATTGCACCTATGCAAAATATCTTTCCTCAATTCCAGATCAATCTTCAATTGATTGGACACTTCTGCCTGAATATACATAGAAACCACAAATGGAATGTTCAAAACTCATTAACTTTGTACCCAAAATGCTCATTTGTATTCTGGATCTCACTGAATATCACCAACATACCAAGACACTGTATAAGTAAGATTTTGAGAGTTTTGTTAGCTATTTATTTTTACCCCATCTACTTCACCTGCAACTAATATAATATTTAGTTGTGTCAATTTAACTTCTAAACATTGTTCCAATTTATCTAGTCCTCTCAATCCCTTTTGACATTGTTCTCTACTTTTTTTTAATCACACGTACTGTTATAATAGCATCCCAACTGATTCTATGCAGTCAATAAGAGGTTCAAACTTCTATTCATCCTACTAGATTCTCACTAAAGAAGAAGAAGAAATAAAAGCTGATCTGCACTGATTCAATTCCATGGCTTGCACTTGACCACTGCTATGGTTTTAATGTTCATCTGATCCAAAACTCATGTTGAAACTTAATTTTCAGTGCAACAGTATAGAGGCTGGGACCTAATGGGAGGTGTTTAGGTCATAAGGAGTCCACCCTCACGAATGTATTAATGCGGCTATAAAAGTGCTCCCAGGAGTGAGTTACCTCTCTTGTCCCTACTTACTTCTGCCATGTGACCACCCAGTCTCCCTCCCCTTTGCAGGAAGCAACGTGCACAGAGCCATCTTGGAAAAAGAGAATAACCTCACCAAGTGCCAAACCTGCTAGCACTTTCACCATAGATTTTCCAGCCTCCGGAGCTATGAGTCAATACATTTCTGTTTATTATAAGTTACCCAGTCTCTGGTATTCTGTTATTGCAGCACAAAACAAATTAAGAGAACCATGCTCTTAATAACTTGAGTTTTCTTCATCATTATCGTCATCTTATTAAATGAAGGCTTACAGTGTGGCAGGCACTTACAGATATTTTACATGATTTGTCTGATTATATGAGTCATTGTCCACATTTTGCAGAAAACTAGGTTTTAGGGAGATTAAAAGACTTGCTAATAAATAATGGAGCTTGGATTAGAAATTAGTCTCCATGTGATTGTTCCATTTATGTTTCTGTACTTATCATTTGCATTTATATTGTTTGGTTTAATTTACTTGTTCACTTTTTTCTATCTCCTGGAACAACATAAATGGGAAAACAGTGACTTTGTTCTGACCATAAGTATTTCTTTAGTAATTAGACTAAAACTATGTACACAATACACACTCAATGAATAATAAATAAGCCCAGCAAGTCTATCTATAAAGCCTGTGATTTTATATTAACCAGTACACTGTGCCGGTCAAATGCAATGTGAGTGATATTCTTTTGGAATGTCCTTTCTTCTCTCAAATGATTATATATTTGATGGCCCTATATATTTGGTGGCACCTCTAGATAGCTACCTTTGGACTAGCACCATTTAATCAGTTCATTCTTGTCACAATATTACTGCATAGTAAACCATCCACAAACTCAGGACTTAAAACATCAATAAAATATTCCTGTGTTCACATATCTGCAGATCAGCTGAAATTAAGCTTTCTAGACTGGACTTAGGCTCTGTATTTCAGTCATCAGCTGGGTTTAGATCTGTTTTTCATGTCCTTTGTTATGTGATAAGAAACTGAATATACAGATAGAAAATGGCCAAACTATGTGTATAGAAAAGGGACTTTGACCACAATCTGCAGCAACTATCTCAGGAAGCCAACTCATTAACTTGTAACCAGTCCAGGAGCCCAACCTGCTATCTATAAATCAGACTTATAGAATTTCAGGCCACTATCTGTAGCACAAGTCTAAGAAACCAAACAATAACCCTGATAACAATCAGCCCCAAGTGTAAAAGTTAAATAATTAATGATATTTCTCCTAACTTTTGGTCCTGCTTCCAACTTAGGACAAACCAGACAAAGGTAAATACGTGCCACTATCCAATTACATACGATGTCTCACCTACAGTTAGCCCACCTACAGCTTATACCATGTCAACAACCTACAATCAGGGCATATCTGAAGCTTTCCATTTTTTCTGCTTTGAAGTTTTCTCACTCCTCTTCCTGCTTTTGGGTCTCTGCTAAACACAAATGATACAGTAAACTCTAAATAAGTAGACTTTGCTTGTTCCCATTTGGTTGATCTTCATTTATTTTCACAGTGGTCTGTTCCACATTTATCATTATAGGGCCCAAGCTACAGAAGTTATAATGTCTGCCTCTAGCATCTTTTTGTCATAGTGGTCACTGGTGCACAAGACTGCAAACCTTCCCTACTAGCATATTTGATATTCCAGTTATGTTTGTTTGTTCACATACTGTTGTTTAGAATCTTGTGATATAAATCAGACTCAACCTGAACACTCATGGACTCAAAAATTGTATAATCTAATCATCCTCAGTCAACATGAAATAATGCAACAAGGACAACATAAACATAATAAAAGTTTCCTTTCAAAAAAAGGAAAGGAGAAACACATGATAGCCAATATTGATTTATAAAAATTCTGCATTTTTTTTTTGGAAACTGTCATCTGATTCCCCTAAACTGGAGAAAATAAATGTTATTTGATCAGGCCCCATTTGTACTCCTTAGAAGTGATTTCCACCCCATTGTTGTCCAACACTCTTTATTCTTATCATTAGAAGGTATTTTCTTTTTGTCTTAGGTCACTTTGTGATGCTGTGACAAAATGCCAGAGACTGGGTAATTTATTAAAAATTAAAACTTATTCCTCACAGTTCTGGTGAATGGAAAGTCCAAAATCAAAGTGCCGGCAGGTTTGATGTCTGATGAGGTTCCAGTCTCTGCTTTCAATAGTATTCCTTGAATATTGTATTCTCTGAAGGGGAGGAACCCTGTGTCCTCACAGGACAGAAGGTAGAAGGGCCTAGCTAGTTTCCTCCAGGCTTTTATAAAGTTGCTAATCCCATCTATGAGGAATCTGTCCTTAAGACTTAATCACCTTCAAAAGTTCCAGTCTCTTAATATTATTGATCTAGGAGGCAGGACTAGTTTCCAGACCAGATTGAAGACTGGCTGAAACAGGGAAGAAGCACTGAAAGCACCTCTCCATAAGACACACCCACCAGTGCCATGGCAGTTTACCACTTCTACAGCAACACTGGGAAGTTACCACACGTTTCCAGGTAAACACCTCTAAGTTACCACCCCCTTTATGAGAAATCTGTGAATAACTAGTTTCTTAATTTGCATGCAATTAAAAGGGGGTATCAGTATGACTGCAGACCTGCCCCTGAGCTGCTACGCTGGGAACACTGCCTATGGGGTAGCCTGGCTCTGCAAGGAGAAGTACCTCTGCTGCTGCTGTATGCCCCCACTTCAATACAAGTTGCTGTTTAACACCACTGGCTTGCCCTTGAATTCTTTTCTGGGTGAAGCCAAGAACTCTCCCAGCAAAGCTCCAAATCTGGGGCTTGCCTGCCTGGCATCACTATCACGTTGGTGATTAACCTTCAACACATGAATTTTGAGGGACATTCAGGCTATAATATTTTTCTAATATCCTCCATGTCTATAACTGAACCAGACACTAAAAATACGCCTGCTTGGTAGCTGAGCAAAAATCTGGCAAAACCTTTGCCCATATGGCATTCTCAAAAGCTTTGGTGAGTCTTTCCATATATATGATTTCAGTCAACTCCATATTCAAAAGTCACAGACATAATTATTTTCAAGAATCAGCCCTCCCCATTGCAATATAAACCTAACTGTGGCTTCCTCAAACATAGCTTCTCTAAGACCCTGCGTTTAATCTTTCAACTAGTAGTTTTTTTTATGGCAGAAATGGTCTACAAGGCACAACTGTAATAAATAATGAACGATGGATGTGTTGGCCATGTGCTTGATATGGCTTTACTCTGATGCTTTGTTGCTCCAGCTATACACTTGCCTTTTTCCTTTTGTCTTTCAAGTCTTTACTTGCCTCTCAGTTGCCTTCTCAGTGAGGTGTTTCTGAAATCATATTTAGAATTGCATTTGCCAACTTTACAATATTTCTTATCTGTCTTCCTTTAGCACTTATCACAATGTAACATGACGTCCTCACCAGCTGCATGTGACCATTGTGTTTACTTTAGTGTCCCTAATTTCTATAACTGTGCTTGGAACAGAGTAGATATTCTTTAAATGTTTCTTGAACGAATGAATGATTCTAATTGAGCTCTTACCCTAATTTATAAAATTCAGAGCTAACATCAAGAGAAAAAATACACACTGACTTACTTCAGCGCAGAGAAAGAGAATGTAAAATGCTGTCTCATCTCTTTAAGGAATTTTCTTACCTAGCTTTCCCTGGGGCACTACCTGTTATTGTAGACAAAATCAATTAATCACATTTTGTTTGAGCTAAAAGAATTAACATTTAAAATTATGCCTTGTTATGTCTAAAATTTCTAAGTGCATCTAACAATATTCTGGTACATAGTTGTGTCTAAATTATTTCTTGATTCTGGGATAAGCTTTTTTGGAAGCAGGGGAGATATAAATATTCTAATACCAGTAAATGTGTTTACTTATTCTATTAAATAATATTAAGGAGACATTCTAGTTTATGCATTGACTTTTTAACAAATTTCCTAATATGTTTCAATTACAAGAATCTCATCACTTTTAGAGTCTCTGACAAATTTCAGTTATTAAACCTCTAAAATTTTAAACCAAATGAAAAATACTCTTACACATAACTAACTCTGTAATAATTTACTAACATTAAACAACTAACTATATGTCTGCTATGCTGTATGTGCACTTAATTTTTTATTAGTTATATCCATCTTACTCTTTATTGAGAATGTAGCCATTTATACAATACCAACAATGTTTAGGTGGACATATTTTTTCCAGACATTTATGAACAAAGCTTGCTACCAAGCTTTGTAAATTTTTAAAAATGAAATTGGCATGATATATTAAAGGAAAATTTATTCTGAAGGCTCTATTAACAGTGTTACTACTGCTCATTGAAAATGAAGATTATTTCCCTGACTTAGAAGAGCTTTAAAATTTAAAATTAAAGAGCTTTAAAACTGAAGGCATTAGGTTATTTGCTTTTGAAAAGGAAACTTGGATAATTTTTAGATTATCAGTTTAATATTTCCCACATCCATTTGATTGTTTGTCATTGACAGAGTGACATAAAATAATTGCAGATGCTTTTATAAAAACCTATTTGGCTGAGTTCCGATGATTCTTTCCAAATGGTCCTTACTTCACCTATAGTTTCTTCCTTTTTACTAAATTTGTACTAATTATCATGGAATATATGATTTCTAGGTAAAAAGTAAATAATTGACTTACTCTGATAAATAGCCTAAATCTCTTTTTAATGGAAGATATTTATAGTAAAATACTCCTCATTATAACAGATTTAAGTCAAAATGATTCAAATACAACATTTCACTCCTAAGAACAGGGAATTTCTGAAATATCAGAAACATCATGCCTACTGACAAGGTTCATAAAGTACCAGAGTATTTGTATAAAGGTTGCTAAAAATATCATTTTCGTTTATGTGTACTCTCTTTGATTGCAGAAGTGCTATGAGATGCTATTTTTTCTAATACTGATTTTCTCAGATGAAACGTGTGCTGTGGGTAAGAAGAGAAAGGTCAAAGTAGAAAGATTGAAATTGCTCTTTGTACTATTCAGATTTTTTTCTTTATAGTTAAATTTTTTAACTAATCACATTAATTATATTAACAGGGCCCATCTCTAAATGGATTAGGGAAAGACATTTGCCTAAGTTGCTAATAAGCTTCATGAAAGCTTGAAATCCTTAAAGAAAAGTTACATAAGACACAGAAAATACTATTGAACAATGATAACCACAGCATCAGTAAAAACTGATAGAATAGTATTTAGTTTTTTAGCACTATGTGTATGTCAAATGCACGTAGATATTGTTAACACATACAAATGAGAGTATTTATGAGTAGTAGTATGTGATGTAAATTTAAGTGAAAAATAAAAGATGAATAAAGAATTAAGGAGTCATCTTGCATTGCATTCACTGACTCTTTACAAGATTTTTGGTATATGTTTATGGAGAGACATAGATTCCAAATGTGAAGTTGAATAAGATTTTGATTGCCTCAGCATTACAGTTGTTGTTGAGAGGGTACCGTTTTAGGCAGCATAGTAGATGAAGGGGATGTCATTAGTAATAAACCAAACAAGCAAAACTCCTTATTTTCATGAAGTTTATATTTTGAAGTGAGAGAAAGAAAACAAATAGCATGTACTAAACAGTTATTATGTTATTTGATCCAAATAGCTGAGGGGAAACATATGAACGTGGGAAACAGGATAAGAAATGTCAGTGGGAGATTGTTGACATCTTGTGTAAGGTTTATAGACAAGATTTTTATTTAAGAACAAGAAGGAAGTGAGGGATCTAACTGTATGGACATCTAGGGGAAGAGCGCAGAAAGAGAGGTAAGAGTCAGAACAAAGACCAGAGCAGATGATGTGCCTGATGTTGTGAAGGAACAGGAGGGAGAAGAGTATGACTACAAGACAGAGGAGAAAGGCAGGAAGAATCACAGATGAGGACAGACGAAACCAAAGGCCAGATCCTAAGAGCCTTCTAGCTTCTAGATTATGATCAGGGGCCTCGGCCCTCACTGGGAGAGGGAAAAACCATTGAGGGACTCGACAGAGGCATGAAATAAACAGTTTTACACTTCATGTTGTACTACTAGATACTCTGCTACTAGAGATAATAATACATACAGTATAACTAAGGAGGAAATGCTTGATTCATATCAAATTGGGGGTATTCTCTTTAGAGTTCTACGCAATGTAGAAGAGTTACAAACTCACTGGGTTACAAGTAAAAGGGGTTGGACTATAATCTCTAGGGCTTTTACTGTAGTTCTGTGGTGAGCTCAATATGGTTTATAATATGTTTACAAACAATGTAAGTTCTAAATGTCACATGTATCTAAAACTCGCTTATGGGAAAACACTTTCATCAGAACCACGTCATACGCATGTATCAAAATATCCCATTCACCCCATTAATATGTACAACTATTATGTATCAATAAAATAAATAATAAATAAATAAAATGAAAAAATGGAATGGGGCATATGTAGGCTATTTCCAATGGCTTCTCCTTTCTTTGCTAACAACTGATTTCATTCAATTTTTTAAAGTCTGCTTTTTCAGAAAATGATGAAGCAACAACTCTCTTTACACAAGTGTGAAAGAACTAGAAACTGAGAGCAGTCAATTAAATTTTAGGGTATGTTTATTTTATTTTATTTTGTTTTATTTTGAGACAGAGTCTTGCTTTGTCACCCAGGCTGGAGAGCAATGGCATGATCTTGGCTCACTGCAATCTCCACCTCCCAAGTTCAAGTGATTCCCGTGCCTCAGCCTCCTGAGTAGCTAGGATTACAGGCACGGGCCACCTCGCCTGTCTAATTTTTGTATTTTTAGTAGAGACAAGTTTTCGCCATGTTGTCCAGGCTGGTCTCAAACTCCTGACCTCAGGTGATCAGCCTCAGCCTCCCAAAGTGCTGGGATTACAGGCATGAGACACTGCACCCAATCTGTTTTGCTTTTAAGAAGAGCATCCAAAAACAAAATGATGCACTTGTAAAAATATTTTTGGGGGAAAAATAACAGGATTAACAATAAAGATTCTATACACAAAATTTAAGAATGATTGATGCCTTTTATATATATTCATGTTGAGAAGAAATACTGCAAATTACTGATTTTGGTGAAAAACAATTAGGTAAACAAACACAAAAATGTATAAAATATTATGTTTTAATTTACTTTGATAAACATAATTTAGTTTTAATTATTTATGAGTTTTATGAATTTTCCATATGAAGTAAATGAAATGTAATGGAATTTTTAAAGATTATGAAATATTTATTCTCATCGATTCTTTTCAGCATGTATTATTGAAGTTATTCTTTGAATAAGGAATACTAATCTTAAATATGTTTGTCATGTATATTGTATTTGGAGCTTAATTTGGAAATAATTCAATATATAATCATCATATGGCTTAACAAGAACAAAATCCTATTTAGTAACATGTTCCACTTCATTTATCTCAGATCAAAGGAAAAAGATGGAAAATTAATTGCCTGGTAATACCAAGCACAATAATTTCACAAAAATCACATTTGTTGAATTCATTTAAAAATCATATATTTTAAAAATCTTATACAATATTATTCTTAAAACTACATTGAAGCACAATAATTGATCATGAACTCTATGATGACCTTTGGCAAAAGATTTAATCAGACTGATAAGTATAATCTGGTGACAAAGTGAAAGAAATGGAAGGGAATATGGAGGTTACAGAAATAAATGCAATATTATACATGGTATTAGTCCATTCTTGCATTGCCATAAAGAAATACCTGAAACTGGGTAATATTTTTTTTTTAAAAAAAGAGGTTTTTTAAAAATTTTATTATTATTATACTTTAAGTTTTAGGGTACATGTGCACAACGTGCAGGTTTGTTACATATGTATACATGTGCCATGTTGGTGTGCTGCACCCATTAACTTTAATGGGTAAAAAGGAGGTTTAATTGGCTCATGGTTCTGCAGGTTGTACGGAAAGCATAGTAGCTCTTGCTTCTGGGGAGGTCTTAGAAACTTACAATCATGGCAAAGGTGAAGGGGAAGCACACACATCTTACATGGCCCAACAGGAGCAAAAGATGGGGATAGAGGTGCTAAGCACTTTGAAACAACCAGATCTCAGGAGAACTCCCTCACTATCAAAACCACGGTACCAAGGGGGATGGTGTTAAATCATTCATGAGTAATACACCCCCATAATCCAATCACCTCCCACCAGGCCCCACCTCCAACACTGGGGATTACAATTTGACACAAGATTTGGTGGGGACACAGATCCAAAACATATCATATAGTAAATGGAGTCTAATAATTTCTTCATATCAAAAATTATAGAGGCAAATGGTAAAACTGTATTTAAAAGAAACTTAAATACATGAATATATGACAGAGCTAAAAATAACAGTCAGGCTGGTAATATACTTTAGGTTTGACAGCAGATAGGATAGACATTATTCACTACTTACCTTCAGAGATAATAAAATACTTAATTAAACTGAGCTGATAATGTCCTTCTTGGTGTCCCTAGTGTGCCATGTTCTCTACAGATAGTAAAAATCCTAAAACATTAAATGGGATTTATTATTTTATCTGACTGAATGGGCTACCCACCAAATTGTAAGTTTCTTGAGAATTGAATTTATGTTTCATTTATTTTTTCTAGTGCTTCCTTTAATGCCTGCAACACAGTAAGTAATGGAAGTTGAGTTAACATGGTTGTTGATTTTACAGTAATGGTCTATTAAGGAAAGCCTGAAGGACTAGTCTGAATCACTGTCTCCCTTCTTAGTCACCCATTCTGTTACTCATTCTAGTTGTCTTTTATCCCTGATGACTTCACTAAACAGGTCACTGAATAATATTATCATGTCATAATTTAATTGTTTCTATGTTCACATCTAAGTTAGCCTCTCAGTAGCATTTGCCGTAATTTATTATCCTCATTTGGAAGGAGTTTTCTAGAATTTTTTAACTGTGTCTCTGCTTTGTTTTTTCATCAACTTTCATATATCTCTTTTACTGTTTGTTGTTGTTGTTTTTGGCTTCTGCTCTTCACTTTCATTCCATGTTTTGGAGCATACCAGGACTTTATCCTTTGATTCGTTCATAGGGGATCTCATTATTTTATAAGCAATAATAAAAAAAAATCCAAATCAGATCCCTCTCTGATGCTGGTCTAAACCTTGTTTTTTTCCTTTACCTTATTTATTATACTCACTCTCACCACCTTAATTAAGCCATGCTGGCAAAATCGTAGCCCATTACGTATGTCATGAGAGTGACTACTGGTTCTCACCAATATATATATAATGTGTATATATATATATATATATATAATGTGTATATATATATATATAATGTATATATATATATATATAATGTGTGTGTGTGTATATATATATATATAATGTGTTTCTTTCCTTGATATGGCTAGAGCATAGCTATCAGCTCTACTGGATCTAGATGATGCCATGTAATTAGAGGGAGCCACTGGGATATGTAAGAAGGTGATGCATACTATTTTCAGACATGACTCTTAAAAGCTTTTTTGTAGTCTTCTACTCATGCTCTCTTCCCATGTCCACTGGCCAGATAAACAGATTATAAAGAAAACATTTAATCCATCACAAAGTGCTACATTATATATCACTTCTACTTTGCCACTGGTTGGGTGGTATCTGCTGAATTATTGGGATTATCATTTCCTGTTTTTAAAAAAATTTTTATATACGTGAAAACAGTCTATATTTTTTCATTTCCGTGGGTAGACCTGACCTTTTATTTGTTACCAGATTTCTAGTTCAAGAGCAATCTTTTCTTTTAGTAAAGCAAAATATGGTTTCTTTAGTGGATGAATATTTGTTTGTTTTGAGGAAAATTTGGGGATGTTTTGTTTCTTTCCATGTTTAATTTTCTTATGTCCTTTCCCATTCTAAGTTTCTTTTTCTCCTTGTTAACAGTCGCCTTCCTCTTCAGTGCTCATTTCCCTTAGGGTATGTATCAGTTCATTCTCACATTGCTATAAAGAAATAACACACTGGGTCATTTTTTTATATAAAAACCAGAGTTTTAATTGGCTCATAGTTCTGCAGGCTATAGAGGAAGCATGTCAGCATCTGCTTCTGGGGAAGGCTCAGAAAGCTTCCAGTCATGGCAGAAGGCAAACGGGGAACAGACACATCAGATGGCCAGAGCAGGAGCAAGAGAGAGAGTGTGAGTGGGGAGATGCTACACACTTTTAAACAACCAGATGCCACAAGAACTCACTCACTGTCATGAGAACAGCAGCAAATGGATGGTACTAAACCATTCATTAGAAATCCATCCCCATGGATTTCTCCTCCCACCAGGCCTCCCACCAGGCCACCCTCCAACGGTGGGGATTAAAATTCAACATGAGATTTTTCGGGGACACAGTTCCAAACCACACGAGGATACTTCACACTTGCTTTATTTCTATCCTTAGGGCATTATAATTCCAAGACTGCATTCTCATGTACCCTGTACACTTTTAAGTCT
This sequence comes from Homo sapiens, assembly GCF_000001405.40. NCBI lineage: Eukaryota > Metazoa > Chordata > Mammalia > Primates > Hominidae > Homo > Homo sapiens. Next base: position 41,061,278 of record NC_000014.9, on the reverse strand, counting down.
CTTCTCTGGAGTAAGTGCTCTGATGTGCCAATGAATTTTTTCATTATTTTACTACATAGGGTAGACTTTCTGGGGATTGTTTTCATCAATCTTTGTCTACTTCTCTTTTCTTTGTAGTTTTTCTCTAGATTTCTACCTCTTTCTTATAAGATGTGCAGACAGCTAACATGGATTTGGTGATGCTGTGAATGGAAGTGTTTGACAAGATTCAGTTTTCCAATTTAATCCTTGAAAGCATCCTATAAGCTGCATATATTAATAGCTTTGCAAATATTAATCTTATAATTCTTAAAACAGGTTCATGAGGTAAGAAGTATTATATTCATTTTGCTTTTAAAGATTAGATGATTTCACACCATTGTTGAGAAATAAAAGTAAGCTTGGTCTTCAAAATTTCTAACCATTACTTATTTCTTTGTTCTCTACTCGCTCCCAGATATCAGATTACATGATGACTTGCTTAAATTTTTAACCTTCTCACTTGCCTTCATCTCAGATAAAATTCAGTGTTTTATCGTATTCTGCTAAGAACAGAGACTTTGGGCACTTAAGGTGCAAACTGAAAAATTTATTTCTACCAGTGTTGTTATGTTGATTTGGGATTTCAAAATGCACTTAAAATTCTATTTGATATTTGAATAATCTTGGGCAAATGCTATTTAATCTCAGTCTCCAAGTGACTATGAGTTTAAATCAAAGTGACATTCTTATTTACATTTATAAATAATGGAATCCTGAAAAAGAAAAGTTGTCATAATACTATCTCCTATAATGAGGGATGCAAAAGGTATAGGGTGTATAGGAAGTTTTCATTACACTTTTTATGCAAATTTGGGTGTGTGTATGTGTGTACATGCACTTACATATGATAATCACATAGTCTCATACAGAGGCAAAAAATCATATGAATAATTTCTCAGGATGAGATTGAATCTTTCTATTATAACTTGAGAATTGGATTTAAACATGTCTTGCATTTGTGAATTCCTTGAAATTTTTATTGCCATATTTCAAGTTCTTATTTCCTACTATTTCTTTATTGCAGAATTATGAGTACTTTCTCTGAAAATACCAAATCCTCTAACAATAATTGTTGTCTGCAAACAAAAATTTGTGTATCTCATGATTCCTGACCACTTACAGAAATAAACCAAAATATCCTAGTTTAATATTCACCACAATTTGACACTATGGGAATAACTTACCTTCCGAGTGTCATATTCTCAATACCCTGATATGTCTGTACTGTAACCACAGACTTCTATTTGCCTTTTCCTTTGCATGCCCTCAACTGACTTTCCTATTTATGTTCAAGCTGAGTCTTCATTCTGCTTAAGTACTTTGATAAAGAAGAATTTGTTAATACTGTCAGAATTAAACTCTAGTATTCTTTATAGTCCCTAGACACTTAAGGTACAGTGTGATCTGTTCTGTTGTGGTGGTAAGGTTCAAATACTATAGTTGTTCTCACAGTTGGTCTCATATTCAAAATATATGTGTAAACTTTTTGGTAGTGACCATGACTAAGCTACATACATGAACAATTACTGAATATCTTATAATACTAGGCATTATGCTAAGCACTTCTCATACAATGCCCTAGTTAACAATCAAAAGACATCAACTCAGAGATGAAGAAAGTGGCATGCAAGGAAGTTATAAAAATTGCTCTTCATTTTCACTTCAATTTAACATATCCTTCAATTATAAATAGAAACCATATGTCTTAGCAATTTAACACTTATAGTGATTTTCTCCCCAATAGAAATTGCATATATTTTATACAATTATTACAATTTTTACAATTTTATACAATTATTACAGAAGTTGTATAGATTTAAACATATTGTTATCTTTATCATCTTGAAAATTGTGTTAGTTAATAGGCTTACTGATATATCTTGTTATTTAACATGTAAACAAAGAAGCACCCATAGTACTCTCTTCCAAATTAAATTTTATAAAATATTTGGTATTTCAATGTTGTTGGTTTCTTTGGTAATTATATTTAATTTTAAAAAATGTAAGACATTATTCTGAAAATGCATCTATTATGATTCACTAGGCTGTAAATATCATGGAAAAAAATAACAACTGTGTCTATTATCTGCTCATGCAATAGCGTACCTAATGCAGCGATAGTCACAAGTTCAGTGACTTACAAAACAAAAAAATGGTTATCACACTGGTTTCCAGATTGACTGCAGTTTAACTGATTCAGGCTAAGCTTAGCTCTGCAGCAAGATAGGCTTCGCTCAAGGCAGTGGATTAGGATCAGGTCAGCGACAAGTGAACCTCAATACCTGTGGATCAGCAGATACCTCTGGTATATTGTTCTCACAATAAATTAATCACAAGATCTAAGCCAAACTGGGCAATCACATTAAGGCCTGCTTGAAATAATCCACTAACATTTCATTGGCCAAATCATCTTACATGTCTAAGCCCAACACCAGGAATGTAGTATACCCAACCCCAGGTAGGTATACTCCACCCAAAGAAGAAGAAAGCATTTCATATTTACTGAAAAGTAATCAAGCTACCCCAATAACCCTTGGTTTAGACCATATGATGTCAGCATTTTTTGTTTCTTTATTTTTAGATGAAGAAATTGAGATTGGGATGTTTATATAGTTGTCCTCATTCATTAAATTTAGGAAGCAGAGGCATATGTCAAGATGTTTCTGTTTGATCCCAAAATGTCTGATTTTTCCAGTATACATTTATCTAGCTAATAATTATCAGGAAAACCTTTGGAATTTTCACAACGTATTTCCTGTAATGCAAAAAGTAAATGACATCTTTAAAGAAATAACATTCATTTATGTAGAAAATGATTTAGACTGAATATTTAAGTCTGAAAGTACTAGATAATGATGTTACTGTAATTTAATGCTATATTAAACACTGAATACCAAAGGCATAATAATTATTCAGTTAAAATTAGTCATGACACTAAACATTGGGAGTGCAAATCAAAACCATAAGAAGATACCAATTCACACCCATTAGGATGTCTATTATAAAAAAATAAAATAAGTGTTGGCAAGAATGTGGAGAAATTGAAACGCTTGCATATTGCTGGTGAGAATGTAAAATGGCACAGCTACTGAGGAAGACTGTATGGTATTTCTTCAAAAAATGAAGAACAGAATTATCATGTGATCTAACACTTCCACTTTTAGGTATATACACACGTAATTGAAAGGAAGAACTTGAAGAGATATTTGTAATCCAATGTTCATATCAGCATTACTCACAATAGAAAAATGTGAAAGCAAACCAAATGTCCATTAACAGATAGAATAAATATGTGGAATAATGTGGTAAATAATGTAATATGATTCAGCCTTAAAAGACATGAAATTCTGACATATGCTACAACATGGATGAACCTTATAAACATGCTAAGTAAAATAAGCCAGTCACAAAAGTACAACTACTGCTTCATTCTATTTATATAAATTACCTAGAAAAGTCAACTGTAGAGACAAAAAGAGAAATAGGGCTTCTGAGGGCCTAAAAAGAGAAGGAAATAAGGAATTATTTTTTAATAAGCATAGATTTTTGTTTGGGATGATGAAAAAGTTCTGGAGATGGATGGTGATGATGATTTCACAACAATATGAATGTACTTAATGCCACTGAATTGTACACTTAAAAATGGTTCAAATGGTAAATTTTACATTTATTTTGCCACTGCCTAAAAAGCAGAAATTAAAAGATACTCTATTAAAGAATCCTAAGTGGCTAATTTAAATCTATCAGGATTAAGTAAATAGATACACAATAAAGAAACGGGATAAGACAAAATCCTGAATAAGAGAGAACTTGAGTTGAGAGCATACAATGAAATTCTTTTAGTAAAATTGACGAAACAGGAGGGAGTTTGTCTAGATGTTTGTGATGTTAAGTAAGAAGATGGTGGTGAAATCTCCAGCGTAAAAAAAGGAAAAACTCTACTGTGAGAATTGATCACAGGCTACTAACAAATCTGAAACACAGTATCAGGTAACTGGACTAAACAGCATTGAATTCTTCTTGCCTTGCATAAAGATTTATAGTTTAAGGTGGAGGGAGGCAGAGTTCTGGTTGGCACCAAGTAACCCAGCTGTGGTGAAAATGGGACTAAAGGAAAGTAAACAAGGAAAGACTGACAAATGCACACTGTATTTTATAGAAAGCCTATGTCTGTGACTCTAGTGGTTTTAGTGAATCTGGAATACTTTATAATTCAATAGAATTCTCCTGCAGCAGAGCATAAGTTGATAAATGTGACTTCAGCTAGCCTATCAACAATTGATGTTTGTCAAGAGGAAAAATGGAAGTATTTTCCCTCTGGTACTTTCCTGCAATAAATCAAAACACTTTGGTCTTTGACCAAATAAGACAATGAATCAGCAAAGGGTATCAATAATTGTCTTACTTTTCTATAGCCCAGGAATTTGCTACATTAAAACTGTTTTTGCATTTTAAATTTTACAAATCAATAACATATCTTCCTGATAATTCAAAAAAGTCAATCCCGTAACTAATATCTGATTATTAAAGCTGTGTTGCAAAGAATCAGCCAGATGTTATGTGGCAGCTTTTTACCCAGGTAATAAATTATGAAATAATGATAACTTGACTTTACAAATTTGTCTTCCACATGAGCATAAAATTTATATTTGTCTTAGTTTTTGTCAGCATTAATAATGTGCATCATTAAAGGACATTAGGAGCAGACCTGATGAAAAGGAAAGGTGAAATAGAATAAATCAAGAGTACTGTCTTTAAATCAATGAAGGCAGTCTACATGAAAAGAGAAAAAAAAGATTAAAGAAAAATATTTTAACGTGTTATAAAATAAGGCAAAACATTTAATGGAAGCCATGCTACTAGAAAAACATTTGTTTTATGCTAAAATCAATCAATTTTGTTTACTTTTGGTAAAATACAAATGTTTATACCTATAGTTTATAAATATTGATTGCATAATTAATATTTTGATTGTTATGTATAAATGGCAAGGATAAATGTGCTTCAGTATAATTGTTTAATAATTATTTTATAAATATTAATTTAAAGCAGGTACTACAATTCAATATTCACTCTACTCCAAAATTGAATATCAAATATTTTAGTTTTGCATAATACCAAGTATAATTGACCTTTCTGGAAGGTATGCTATATTAATCTTGTGGCATTTTGGATCTCCTAACTCAACCAACCACTTATCCTGGAATGTTCTAAAATGTTCTAAAATCTACTTTGAAAAAAAAAATCTTACAGAAAGATTGGTATTCTATATTCATTTCTCAGTGTTAATTTTGTGGAAAGTGAGATATCAGAATAGATTTTTTTAAATCTCGCTTTGTAAGGCCTAGACACTCCACTTTTGTTTCTGCCACTTCCTTGCTTTCAGATATATCAGAGAAGGCTGATCTCCAATTCAGAATGAAGAGCAAAAGCTTCACTTGGTGTGGCCTATCTTGGCAGTCATTTGTCAAGTTGATTGATAGATTTGTAGATGAGCACACAATACCTTCCTGCAAATGAAACCCTAGGAAGTCTGCAAGAAATATCACACAAACAAAATTTCAAGTTCCACTAGGAAAGTTATGTTATATGCTCCAGCTGAAAAAAAATTAGTTTGCAGCACTGGAGAGTGACTAAAGCAGGCAGAAATTGAAGAGATATAACCTAGCAAAGAAAGAAATTACAATATGTAGTATTCACATTTATGTATCTTTTTACCTGAGGACACTCTCCAATCTATGAAGCCTGGTGTAGTAATAATTCAAAGAAAAAAATTGGTGTGGCTAAAATTCAAACAAACTTTTATTGGATTCAGGAGTTGGAGGATTCATTCTGGGGGTATCATAGCTTGTGGAAATTTAGAGAAAGGAACCTAGGAAGGAAGAAGTACAGGGATTTTTAAAATGCTCATATAAACTGTACTGAAATCCTTGAATAACATGTGGACTACACATATGCAGGAGGTTTTCCTAAAGTTCTGTCAGAAAACAATAGTTTAAGGCATTAAGAAGGCTGAGTAGGAGGTTTTACCCCACCCCTCAAGAGAGATTGAGTTTGTAACTTAAGTGTCATTAAAGTAAAAACCTTCTAAGAAGATAATCAAAATTCTTATGAGAAATATAAAATAATTAGGTACCCTACAGTGTATCATCCACAATTTATATTATGCAATTTAAAATGCTATATATATATATATATATATATATACATACATATCTGAAGAAACAAATTCATGAACCCACAGAGAGAAAAATAAGTCAGCAGAAATTGACTGCAATGTAACAATGTTAAAATTAGCAGAAAGTGACTTTTAAACAATATTATAAATAGGCTCAATGACCTAAAGTAAAATACAGTCCTAATGAGTAACAAATGGAGAAGCATCACAAATTTTTAAAAAACTATAAAAATATTTATCATAAAAACTACATATAAAGAAGAAAAATCACTACATGAGCTTAACTGCATATTGAAAAAATAAAAGAAAGTGTTGATAACCCAGAAGATAAATTAATAGAAATTATCAGCTATGACAAATAGAATAAAAACTGCAATGAAATGATCAGGTCTTTTATGACCTGTGGAAAAATATCAGGTGCTATAACAAATGGAGCTTCAGTAGAAAAGGAGAGAGAGAATGAGACCAAGGCAATGAAATACGAATGGTGTAAAATTGCTGAGCATTGATGATAAGTCTAAAATTTATAATTTCAAGAAGCTCAACAAACTCACAATAGTTATAAAAACAACTTTTTCAATATACTAGATAGTTGGAATTAATAAGTTTGAAATACCTAGTGCTGTCTAGAATATGGAACAACGGGAATTTTTATATACTGTTTGTAAGAGTGTTAAGTATTAAGTCACCTTGGAAAATAGTTTGATACTTCCTTATAAAGGCAAATGATTAGCTATCCCAGGTTAAGCATTTTTTGCTACTAGGTATTTTCCTAGGATAAATTAAAACCTATGCCTCAGGATGATAGGCCCATTTTTTCCCTGTAATGGTCTAACACTAGAAATAAACAAGATGTGTATCAATCAGTGAATGGATAAAAAGTCATATATTGATACAATAGAATATTGCTTAGCAATACAAATGAAATGTGGATACGTGCAACCACATGGAAGAATTACCCTGATACCGTGTTGTGCAAAATAAGTGAGACAGAAAAGAATGCATGTTGTATTGTCTCCTTTGTGTAAACTTTCACATTAATCAAAATAATCTATGGTGACATACATCAGTTCAGTGATTTACTGAGACAAAAGGGATGTCCCAGTGAAAGAGCTGTTAGGATAATTTTAAAGGTGTTGAAAATCATCAAGATAATGGTTATCCTGATATCCCAATTGTATCCTGGTTTTGCATATTTACATTTACAAAAATTGTCTAATTGTACACTTAAGGTCTGTACATCTTTGTACGTTTTACCAAAAAAATAAAATACTAAAATCTAAACGGTATGTGATTAGTTTCTTATTGCTACTGTAACAAATCATTACAAGCTTAGTGTTTTAAAACAACAAAAAGTTATTTTCTTACAATTCTGGAGGTCAGAAGTATAAAATCAGTCTCACTGGCTAAAGTCATAAAGTGTTCAGGCCTGGTTCATTCTGGAGGATCTTGAGAATAATCTGTTTCCTTGATTTTTAGCTTCAAATTACATATATGCACATACACAAACCTCTATTTGTGTGCATATACATACATATGTATATAAACATAAACATACACATATGTGTATATATGCCCAAATACATTCATATGAACATATATAGCATATAAACAACTATATATGTGTGTATCTACCTATTTATATGTATGTAATGTTCTTATATTGTCTCCTGAAAATAGTTCCTCAGTAGCAATGAGCACACCCAGCACTCGGATCTCAGCCTTTGGCTTCTAAATATCATTCCTTACAAACACACAAAACGTTAACTCTTTAGAGAAATTATAGATTTCAGATCTACGGCAGGGATGTTAAGAGATAAGCAAGAAAAACCTTGTTAAGCCAGAAATAAAAGAAGTGCTAAAAAATGACCGAAATGTGTTGAAAGGGTACAATTACATCTACAGTGCTATCATTAGCCAATTCAGAGACAACTTTACAATCAAAATTACCAAATATTGTAATGAGTTAAATACTATAACCAGCATGTCCATAAGTAAATAAATAAATAACACAAAATTAAAATTCTTCTTTTGAACAGAGTATCAACTAATTAATGTGGATGAGTAATCTATTTAGAAAATGATTAATGTTTACTAAAACTAGTGGGTGAAAACTGTATATGAAACTTATCCAGACAGCTTCAAAATATCCGCTAATATCTATTTAGTTAATACAAAAGGAAAACTAGGAAATTCACAGGAGAGAAATCTGACAGAAACCACATTAACCATTAACTAAGCATTAAACAATTAAGCATTAATGTGCTTAAATGTCAGGAAAAAGAAACATGCCTCTTTATGTGTACTTGTTTACTTTTGCTACTTTTGGAAATTTTTTGAGTTTGAAATTATATCAGAGTAAAATGATTTTAAAAATCAGACATACCACATCATCTTCGATCTTCCCCTCCCCTCCTTGATTTGTGTAGTTGTAATCCCTATGTATCTGACATTATCATATCAACATGAAAGTCTTGGCAAGCATGCTGAAGGTGCAGAGTGAAAGTGGGGGGAAAATTTTAGCCTTAATTACATATTTGAGTCAATGACTTAGCAAATTTTGTAGCCATGAAGCTCTAGAGTTCCTACGTGACATAACACATACCATGTATATTTAAGCCTCTTTTAATTGTGTTTTCATTTATTGCTGCCGAACCCATCAATTCAAACAAACAAAAATCCCACATCTTACAGGAGCCAAACCCTGTTACCACTATAACAAACCAATTTAATAATATATATGGAAAAATCATTTGGAAGAAAATTATTTACCAGTGAAACTGTTTCAACACTCTTCTGATTGATGGATTTCAATCTTGTTAAATAATTTACCCTTAACACTTGCCTCAGTGGCATGAGTATGTTATTTAAATTCTTATGTGGCAAGTTTTGCATCTAATTAATTATCTGAATAGTCAATATGCAAGCAATGCTATTTCCTTACTCAAAATTAATGTCTGGGCCGCACATAGTGGCTTAGGCCTGCAATTCTAGCACTTGGAGAGGCCAAGGGGTGCATTGAGACCTGCCTGGCCAACGTGGGGAAACCCCGTCTCTACTAAAAATACAAAAAACTTAGCCAGGCTTAGTGGCGGGTGCCTGTAATCACACCTACTTGGCAGGCTGAGGCAGGAGAATCACTTCAACCATGGAGGCGGGGGTTGCAGTGAGCCGAGACTGTGCCACTGAACTCCAGCCTGGGCAACAGAGCGAAACTCTGTCTCAAAATAATAATAATAATAATGTCTGAGTTTATTAATCTAATATCTTGTGAAGAAAAAGCAAGATTCAGATATTATTACAATACTATTGGATATTGCTGATGACAAAGAGTGACAGAAAGAGAGAGAGAGAGAATGGACGAGGGGGAAGGAGAGAAGGAACAACTTTTAGAGTCTTTGTTGGTAAGTCATGAATTTTTAATTCATGGAAAATCTACATACATTGTATGTAAAGCTAATAAAATTTCTATAAAACCTGCATCATATCATAATTGTGACATTATTTTGAATTTAATGTTTTAGTCTTTCGTATTAAATATCTCCCTGTTTCTTCATTTTCATTTCAAAATACACATTGAAAAAACGTGTATTTTCCATTTTTATTTCAAATACACAAACAAAATATCACGGCAGTCATACCAAATTTGGGGCTGCTAATATAGTAATGTGTTTGTAATTAACTGCCACCACACAAGGCAAGCAGTCACTGGTAGTTATACTTACTATTCAACATTTCTTTCATTTGAAATTAGAAACATATACAATATCTGATCAATTCACTTCAAGATTTCCACCATTTCTTTTTTGGATAATGTGTCCCTTGTGTGTGATAATTAAAACCAAGTAATAACTTTGGTGTTTCAAACTTGCAAGTCTGAGCAATGATAATGTAAGCCAAGTGAAAGAAACACTTTATTAAACGACCTGATTTTAGTGTAACTATGTACCAAAGTCAAGGTTTACTTTTTTCTAATATACTTTTTAATGTCAATTTTGTTCTTCTATAACATTCTCTTCCAAAGTGAGCTATTTAAGTACACTTCTTTTATCATTTAAATCCAACAATTTTTTATTCTTTTAAAAAATTATAGATATATATGTACTAGTTGGACCTATAATTTCTTTGCTTTTTTGCTTATAAACTCTCTCAATTATGTCAACATTTCTACAATTATATTTTGGTTTGTTAAAATTTCAAGTTCTATTTTTGCCCATCATCTATACTGCAATTTTGTCACCAATTTTTTTTTTTTACTTTCCATTAAAGAAAATACCTATTTTCTTCCTTTCTATAATCTATATCAGACCGATTGTCTCTCTTTCTTTAAGTCATTTATACTCTGTTGTTCTTTATATTTTCATCTAGGTATTTCTCATACTTTACCTGAGATTAAGTTTCAGATTAATTGAATTGAAATTCTATAGTTAAACCTATTATCCCTAGGCTTGATGATAAGTCATGTGTCAAAAAAGTTAATTTGCTTGTGACATTAGCTGTAGTCTAGAAAATGAAATATTGTTCATCCATGAGTCACTATTCCCTCTCGATATGGACTTTTCTTCTTCAAAGTCTTAACTCTCAAATAAAAAGAAGTAACATTTGTAGCCATGAAAATAAGCATTTTATTTTTCAAATCAGAATTTGCCTTTTGTTTTAAACATGCAAATTATAACGAAGGTTTTGGGAGTAAAGCTGTGGTGGTAGTATGATAACTTCATTGATTTTCACACAAGACAATTTAGTAGTGGTTTAGAGTTTAAGCTTTTTTTTTTTCTTTTTTTTCTTTTTTAGTTTTGGCACATTTTAGTCATGTTTCAAGCAACCACTTCCCAAAAGAAATAATAACCCTATTCTTTATCACTTTTTCTCAGGAAAGTAGTTTCTAGTCTTAAATTCCATGCCCTACTAAGCAAGAAGCCATCAACTAGGGGGGAAATGATACTTGAATGAGAAACATCTGTGTTCATTCATGATTTCCCATTAAATATAATTTTTCAAGTTCAGCAACCATTCTGACTTGATAGGTGATAATTTTAAATGCAGGTGAAATGACTATATTAGAGCAGACGACATTTATTTTACATAAGCTTGAATATTTAAAATCTTAGATATGGTCCATAGAACAATATTGGTATATTGTTCCCAGGAAAACAATTACTCTAGTAAATAATTGCATATTCAACAACATGGTTCTATGAACTACGCTCAAACCTTTAAATATAGAAGATATATTACTTTTTACAAAGTTTTGAAATTAATTGGAAAGTAATAAGTGCATTTAAAACACAGTAAACCTAACATCATTCCTACCTGGTAAAAAGAGGAATAATTCCCATTTAAAGAAGAAGGAGAAAAGAAGAAATTTATTTGTAATTACATTGTAATTTTTAAAATATAAGGGCTGGCCGCGGTGGCTCACGCCTGTAATCCCAGCACTTTGGGAGGCGGAGGCAGGCGGAACACGAGGTCAGGAGATCGAGACCATCCTGGCTAACACGGTGAAACCCCGTCTCTACTAAAAATACACAAAATTAGCAGGGCGTGGTGGCGGGTGCCTGTAGTCCCAGCTACTCGGGAGGCTGAGGCAGGAGAATGGCGTGAACCCGGCAGGCGGAGCTTGCAGTGAGCGGAGATCGCACCACTGCACTGTAGCCTGGGCAACAGAGTGAGACTCTATCTCAAAATAAATAAATAAATAAATAAATAAATAAATAAATAAATAAATAATAAGGTCTAGAAATATCTACATGACATTAAAATCTTGCTTTTTGTACTATCCTAATAAAGCATGCAAGAAAAATACATTCATGATTTACAACTAATCCATTTCATGTAGACTTCAAATGTTTTCCTCAGATATCGGAAAGTGTAGTCAGCTCAGTTTTCCACAGAGTAACATTAACCAAGTTACATCCTTGGACAGCTGTTACGCACAAAAGAGCTTTGACTAAGGATTTTTAGAGTTTTTAAAATAATTCTTGTTTGTAATTTTTATGTGTATATAAAATGTTCCCATAGACCAATGCAAAATAAAATGATGCCTAAGTTTGAACGTGGTTCACTACCTAATAATATGAATATAATAAATACTTAGTTTTTCAATTTTATACAGTAATTATTAAATAAATTTCTTTTCAGTACTTTTTTTAAAAAAAATAAACATTTGTTATGACTTGCAAAATACACTGTCATTATATTGACTTATTTATTTATTTATTTATTGAGACTCTTGTCAAGTTTCACTAGTCGCCAAGGCTGGAGTTCAATGGTGCTGTCTCGGCTCACTGCCACCTCCGCTTACCGGGTTCAAGAGATTCTCCTGTCTCAGCCTCCTAAGTAGCTGGGATTACAGACGCTTGCCACCAAGCCCAGCTAATTTTTGCATTCTTAGTAGAGACAGGGTTTCACAATGTTGGGCAGGCTGGTTTTGAACTCCTGACCTCAGGTGATCTGCCTGCCTTGGCCTCCCAAATTGCTGGGAATACAGGAGTGAACCACCATGGCTGGCCCTATATTGACTCATTGATCTTTGAACGTTAGTCCATATCTTTCCCAACACTTGAATTTAGAATTCACTCACCTAGGCAGACAATGACTTTTATCATTTCAACTACATCTTGACGTTGGAATGCCATTTACTATCTCTCAGCAATATGTCTACACACAATTGAGCTCAAGGCTTTATTTGAACTTACTAGTATCATCTCCTGAGAGGTGAAATACTAATGTACTGTTAGTATATTGACAAAATACAGAATACTAGAACATATTCTTTAAATAAGAAAATTCTGAGAATAAACTAAAACAATCTTCATTATTCATTTACAATCCATCATTCCCCATATTGTTTCTGTATATAAAAGTTGCTCTAATATAGATTGATCACATATGTGACATATATTATACTAAAAGTATAGTGAAATAAATACATTTCTGAGAAGACGGAGTAAGGAAAATTATAAATATGGAAGAAATCTGCAAGATGATGAGAAATCTGGGATAATGGAATACATATGTACATAATAATGTCATGGCTGTGAAACAGATCAAATGCACATATGATAGAACATATTTCCCCAACACTGACAAGGCCTCATACAAAAAGCACACATATCAGTGAAACAGGACATTTATCTAGCAAAGTGATGATTGAAAGATGAATGACAGTATAGGCAGATAAAAAGCCAAGGAAAGAAACTATTACAGCAAGCCTCTAGCCTGAAGTCTGAGTGACTATAAACAAACAAAGGCATGAAAGCTACCAGGATATGTTTACAAATACAGTGATGACAACAACACAATTAACAGTAGTGATTCTACTCTCTTCCAATACTTGACGAGTTCTGTACTCCTGAGCTGGTTATATAAGGCTAAGTTAAAATGAAAACATTGTCATTTTTTACAGGTAGCTAAAGCATTCAGATAGAGGGGCACAATTAACCAAGAAGCCCTGACTTTAGAAACCCAAATTATTTTTGTTTGTTTGTTTGTTTTAATAAAGGAGATATTTATAAGAATCACTTATTTACTTGCTTCTGTCTTCACTTGTCAAGTTTTGACCCATGGGTAATAACTTTCTTGCATTTCAGGACTATGTATGTGTGCATACAAAGCAGATTTTCACAGTATGTGTTCCACACCATGGCATCATGAAGTCCCAGAGCAGAAAGCATGAGAAACAGGGATAATTGTCAGTTTGTCCCCACAGGTTCTACTCTGTGCTTATAGGTTTCAGTTTCCCCTTACTTTCCTTCATTCCTTCACTTTTCCCTTATCCCTTACATCCAGATTTTTTCCAGAATGCCTGCAAGGCTGAACTATATCAACTCTGGGCCCACCACCAGACAAAAGAGTAAAAGCCTTCCATAGACTTCTTCAGCAGCACACTTTTATGTTCCATCGTAAATGATATTGATACTTCAACGATCATCTTTCAGATCTTCATTTCTCAGTTTCTCCTACAATTGTAAGGTTTAATTCTCATAATAAGTCCCATTTCACATCACTCGTAGCTGTTGAATTGACCTGACCAACCTCTAAATGACATATGTCTTATTTATAACACTGAGTAGAACATAAATCTAGATGGTTTCTTAGTCAATCTGTAATACAGAATTTTGGTAAATGCCAGATAGTGAATAGCAGAAAAATCAATGTATATACTTGATTATAAATAAGCAATATGATGTCTGTACCCTCAGGAGCCCATGGAGTGGAGCACAAAGCAAATAAAATCTATATTGAAGCAGAATATTATTAAGAATGCCATCACCGTATTAGCAATTTAGCCATTCCTGTTACATTTAATCTAGGAATGAATGAAATGAAAAAGGCAAAAGGCCAGGTTGCTATTCTGTCTTCTCTGAAAGATAGTATCCCTGAGTAAGAAGGGAGACCATAAACACACACACACACACACACCCACACCCACACACACACACACAAACAGAAGCAAATAATCTACTGCTCTACCTTATCTACGTGAAAAAACAAAAACAAAACAACACACAACTGGCTTGTCCAGACATAAAGATCAGAAAGACAACATGAGCACTTACATGAGAACAGGAGAAATTCAATTTAGTGATGGCTTCCATGAGTGGCAGACACTGGTAAGATGAATATATGCATAAAGTCTAATCAAAGTTTTATTCTGGAGGTTCTATATTCTCAGACTTCCATTGGTATATGAATCACCTTGGGGTCTTGTTAAAATACCTATCATAACAAATCTGTGATATGACCTGGTTTTTTGAATTCTTACAAGCTATTGTAGGTCAGGTCACTGCTATTGGTCTTTGGACAATATATTGCTTAACAAAGGTTTCATAGACAATATGTTGCTTAACAAAGATTTCATAGACAATAATTGAAAACAACAAACAAAAGCATACTGTTGGAAAAAAGACATGTAGATAATCAAATATAATCAAATGAGTCAACAAAGTTCATGAAAATAAACATTTCCTGTCTGTAGGTATATTTAATTTCTTTGTAAATTACTTATAATCAGAGAAACATTTTAATAAAATATATTATGAAGAATAAAACATTAAATATATGAACATGCTGAAGATAAAATAAGAAAAGGCCAGGGGTAAACACTCTTTCATCAGAAAATGTTACCTAAAAGAGTTCATAATGGAAAAACTATAAGAAGGTCCTCCTTTTAAATTATTCTCATTTAATTTGTAATATTAATTATAATCAATTTTAATAGACTTGGTCAAGAAGCTCTAAATATCATTTAGAATAAAAAATAGTTGACTTTTTTAAATAAATACTAATACAGACAGTTTATCATGCATTAAAATCCATATAATATAAAATAAACTGTATTTTTACAGGCACGTGGTTAGATAGATAAATCAAACATAAGAAATAATGCACAAAGAGATTCAAACGTATATTAGAAAATAAAAAAGGACTGGTTGCGGTGGCTTGCACCTGTAATCTCAACAGTTTGGGAGGCAGAAACAGGAGGAACGCTGGAGCCCAAGAATTCAAGACCACCTTGGGCAACAGAGTGAGGCCTCATCTATATAAAAAATAAATTTAAAAGATTAGCCAGATGTGGTGACATGCACCTGTAGTCCCAGCTACTCAAGGGTCAGAGGTGGGAAAATTGCATTAGCCAGAGAGATGGAAGCAGCAGTGAGCCATGATTGTGCCACTGCATTCCAGCCTGGGGGACAGAGCGAGACCTTGTCACAAAACAACATCAAAATAAAAATGACATTGAAATCTATAAATAAAAATGTTATTTAACAAATATTACTGTCTAAAATATTTTATCAATATGCTACATATGCCGACATAAATTATGTTTTAAATATTTTAGGGTAAAAGTAAATTGTAATATTTTAATAATATTATGTTGAAAAAATACAATATAATAAGGGTATAAAATCTTTAAAAACATAACACAAGAGCAACTGTAAAACAAATTATTATATCTACCTCTGTTAACAGTAATACTGACAAGAATACATTTTTATGGCATAATATTAACTATAAAAAGGTAAATGAATAATTTGAAAAAATATGTTGCAAAGGAATTATATTCTTAAAGATAAAATGTTTTTTAAATTATAATGAGAAATAAGCACTGAGAGTAAAGGTACATGCAACTGAAAAAACTATGTCCATTGTAGAGAATAGAAATTTGAAAATTTAAAAAAAATTCTTCAAAAAAATAACAATAAAATAACATGTCCCACATTTCTCCTTAATTAATTTCACAGAGTTAAAAATTATTTAAAAACTCATACTGATGAGTATGCAGATGGGTAGGCAAACTCATAAATGACTTAGGGAGTATAAATTGGCACAACCATTCTGGAAGGAGACCAAATTAACATACTTAGCATTTAAAATGTATATACGGCACTTGACACAGCTAATATACACCCAGAAACTGTCTGCAATATTTGAGGCAAGAATATTTACTTATAAATATTTATAATTGCAGGAACATGTTAAAACATATACCCACTAATAATCCAATGGTAAAAATTACAGAACACATTGTTACAATGAAATTTTTTCTGTGTTAAAAAATTTTCTATAGAGTATATTTGCATGACAAAGAAAAGTTTTCAGACAAATATCTAGATTGTGACTATATACTTGGGTCAGTTTATGTATTGATTCACATTCACTTATTTTGACCAATATTTCTTTCTTTTCTTTTTTTTTTTTTTTTCTGAGACAGAGTCTTGCTCTGCCGCCCAGGCTGGCGTGCAGTGGCTCGGCTCACTGCAACCTCTGGCTCCTGGGTTCAAGCGATTCTCCTGCCTCAGCCTCCCAAGCTTCTGGATTACAGGCATACGCCACCACGCCTGGCAATTTTTTGTACTTTTAGTAGAGACAGGGCTTCTCCATTTTGGCCAGGCTGGTCTCGAACTCCTGACCTCAATGTTCTGGGATCACAGGTGTGAGCCACTGCACCCAACCTGGCCAATATTTCTTTCCCCAAGCCCTGAGAACTCCAGAACTCAGCTTGTTTTCCAGCTGGAGCTGCCCTGCAGATAAATCACATTTTTGCTTTGATCACAGAGACCAGATAGCTGCACTGGTTGAAAGGTAACTGGAATGACTGGACATCATACTAGCTAGACAGTCCATGTAGCCCAACCAGGATTTCTGGAGGAGTAACTCTGGTCACTGGAAGATGGGAAAAAGGATGAACACCATGGGTAAATCGCTGCCTTTGTCTATATCCCGTCCCCCTGAGACTGTTCTGAGAAACTTTAGATTTCACAGAGGCTCTCTGAATACATTACATGAGACAAAGTAATTGACCATAATTTTTTTGTGAAGCATTGGACGGTTTGGCAATACAATCCCATATACTGTACATATATTAAATTTATTGTGCTTCACTTTATTGCACTCTGCAGGTACTGCACTTTTTTTTTTTTTATTTTAACAAATGGACAGCTCTGGGCAACCCTGCATCCATCAAGTTTCTTGGCACCATGTGCTCACTTCGTGTCTCTGTGCCACATTTGGTAATTCTTACAATATTTCAAACTTTTTTAACATTAAAACTGTTACGGTGATCTGTGGTTGGTGAGCTTTAAATGTGACTGTTGTAATTGTTTTGAGGTGCCACAAGTCACTTCCATATAAGATGGCAAAGTTAGTCAATAAATGCGTGTGTTCTGACTGCTCCACAAAACAGCCATTCCTTGTCTCTCTCCCCTCCACTGGCCTTCCTATTCCCTGAGACACAACAATATTGAAATTAGATCAGTTAATTACCTTAAAATGGCCTGTAAGTGTTCCAGTGAAAGAGTTGCACATCTCTCATTTTAAATCAAAAGCTAATCTCAGTGAGAAAGACACATCAAAAACTGAAATAGGCTGCAAGTGAGACCTCTTGTGTCAACTAGTTAGCCAACTTGTGAATGCGAAGAAAAAGTTATTGGAGGAAATTAAAAATGCTACTACAGTGATCACAGAAATGATAAGAAAGCAAAACAACCTTATTGCTTTTATGAAGAAAGTTTCAGTTTTCTGGATAGATAAACAAGCCACTAAATTATATTAAACCAAGGCCTAATTGAGAACAAGGCCCTAACTCTCCCTTTATTCTGTGTGGACTGAAATGGTGAGAAAGCTGCAGAAGAAAAGTTTGGTTTATGAAGAGGTTGTTTATGAAGTTCACGAAAAAGAAACTGTCTAAAAATGCAAGGTGAAGCAGCAGTTGCTGATGTAGAAGCTGCACATGTTCTCTAGATGTTTTAGCTAAGATAATAGATAAAGAGGGCTACACACACACACACAAAATATATTTTTAATGTAGGCGGACTTAAACTGGAATACAATGCCATCTAATACTTTTATAGCTTGAGAGAAGTCAATGCCTGGCTTCAAAGCTTCAAAGGACAGGCCTCTTAGGAGCTAATGTAGCTGGTGACATTATGTTTAAGTCAATGCTCTTTGACCATTTCAAAAGTCCTAGGGCCCATAAGAATTATGCTAAATTTACTCTGCTTGTGCTCTCTAAATGGAACTACAAGCCCTGGATGTTTAGTGTACACAATTTAGTGTAACTTTTATATGCACTGGGAAGCAAAATGTCCTGTGACTTGCTTTATTGAGATTTTTTCAATAGAGTAATTGGGCTAAGATTTTATTTAGACAGACAGACAGACAGACAGACAGACAGATAGATAGATAAATGATAGATAATTTTATGTAGGCATAATGACTATACACATTTCATTTATTGATCAGTTACTACTAGGTCATCTTTCTCCTTCCTTCTTTCCTTCCTTCCTTTTTTTTTTTTTTTTTCAAGATTTCACTCTGTATCCCAGGCTGCAGTGTGGTGGCACAATTACGGCTCCCTTCCCTGTGGCTCTGGCCTCCTGGGCACAGATAATCCTTCTGCCTCAGCCTCCTGAGTAACTGGGACCACAGGCACAAGCCACTGTGCCTGGCTAATCCATTATTATTATTATTTGTGGAGATGGGTGTCTCGCTATGTTGCCCAGGCTGGTATCAAACTCCTGGGCTCAAATGATCCTCCTGCTTCTGCCTCCCAAAATGCTGAGATTACAGGCATGAGCCACTGTGCCCAGCCCACTAGGTAAGTGTCTTTTGGGCACATTTAATCCTCTGAACCATTATATGAGTTTAATGGTATTATTACCTCAAATTACAGATGGGAAAACCGAGGCAAAGAGTGATTATATGCTTTAAAGTCAGGTAGGTGGTAAATAGTGGAGTTGTAAAGTTTGTTTTCAAGATGGATTTTTAAACTCTGTGACACATTGTCTAACCATTTGAGGAGAAACACCTACCCTTCCAACTTTTCTACAATACTTATAATTGGGTAACTAAAAAGCAAACAGAATAAGCTAGTTTAGTCAACAATAGATTCAGAGGTAGTTTAATAATAAAAAACTCATTGTATGAATGTAGCCCTACTATATTATTTTGCAGAAAGTCATCGAAAATCTGAAAACTCAGAATATTTTTGGCTTTTTAAATCTGGATCCAAGAGGTCTTTTTTAAGCCATAGGTGATGTGCTAACCCAAAAGTAACAGAGGGTAATTGGAAAATTTTCATTGCCTATCACATCTTTGTGGAAATGGAGTTTATGAATAAACTTCTTTTCTACTTTGAATAAATCTAAAATGGTTGCATGTACTTCCAAAGTTTCTAATGGTGATACATAATACAAACAATGTAATCTAGGTAACAAATTCACAAATCTATTTAAATCTGCAAAATCTATTTATCTTTAAAATATGCTATCATCATATCAAATCTGCAAAATCTATTTGTCTTTAAAATATGCTATCATTTGCTGTATGACATATTTCAAATATAGAGTACAGAAATGGCCAGGGATAGTAGCTCATGCCTATAATCTCAGCATTTTGGGAGGCCAAGGCGGGCGGACCATTTGATGGCAGGAGTTCGAGACTAACCTGGCCAACATGGTGAAATCCCATCTCTCCAAAAATACAAAAATTAGCCAGGTGTGGTGGGGTGCTTTTGTAGTTCCAGCTACACGGGAGGCTGAGGAGGGAGAATTGCTGGAACCCAGGAGGCGGAGGTTGCTGTGAGCTGAGAACATGCCACTGCAGTCCAGCTTGAGTGACACAGCGAGACCTTGTCTCAAAAAAAAAAAAAAAAAGTACTTGCACATACTCATTTATACCCAGACTAAGCTACATCATCTTAACATGTTGACACATTAGATCTTTTTGTCCATAAAGTAAAACATTATGGGTACATTGAAATTTCCAGTGAAACCCTCTGCTCTCTACCTGTTTTCCCTTGATTTAGTTTAATTGTAATTAGTATTACTACATTCCTATATTCTTGAGTGATAGGAGCATTATGTAAAATGATCTGGATGTCTTGTTAACAGTGGATAAAGTTTTAACAGTTAGATCCATTACTTGAATTTCCATTATACTATTAAGATTTCCAGCTTGTTTCACAGTAAATTTTGGTAAGAACTAATTTTTTTCTAGGAAATTGGATATACCATTGATGTTTTCAAAGTACATGGCTTAGAATTTTATTTAATATATTTAATGTTGTTTTATGATAGGTGTTCAGAGCAATTAATTACCTCAAAGTGAAAACATCCATGCATCTTCTAACCAAGTCAAGAAATATACCATTATTAGACACTTACTATGTTCTGTTCCCTATGACTCACCATTCCTCCTCCTTCTCCAAACCTGATCTGACTTCTAATTCCATAAATTAAGTGGAATTTACTTTTTAATGTGAATAACAGAACCATAGACTACATGTTTTGTGATTGACTTCCTTTATTCAGCATATGCTTGTGAAATGTATCCGTATTGCTTCTCATATAGCAGTTCTCATATTACATTTGGTTAGGTAGGGAAATGATCATTGCCACATAGCATTCAAATGTATTAACATATTATAATATATTCTATTATATAATTATATGAATATGTTATTTAGTACCTTGGTACTCAAATTAGCAGCAATAAAGTTGACAGACTGAAAGTCCTGTGGTAGTGCTCATGTGCACGTGTCATTTAGGAGTGGAATTGTCAAGTAGCAGCATTTAGAAATACGTTTCGCTTTATCTAATTCCACTGAGTAATTGTCTTAAATGTTTATAGTAATTTATATACATACTTGTACAATATAAAACTTCTTTCTTCACATTCTAGCCAATACTTGGTTTTCCCAGGATTTTTTATTTTAGTTATTCCTGTAGGTGTGTTTTTGTATGTTATTGTGATTTTAATTTACATTTCCCTTATTATTAATGAGGTTGAGCAGTTATCACCTCACCAGAGGGTCACACTTAGCCTTATTAGTAGCAAGAAAACTGGCACTGCACGGCCATGATGATATTCATTACAAAATACAGAGAATTTATCTATTTTTTTTTTTGCTCAAACTACTTAACCTGTATCTATTCATGCCTTAAAAGCTGCCAGTTTACATAAAATAGTCATTAGTAGAATAAGGTAAACAACATATAAAGATATAATTAGAAAAATTTATAATGTGAGACATGCTTGCTCTAAAGCTCCATTGGCATACTGTCCTCAAAATCAAGTTACTTGGTAGGAGAGATGAAGATGACAGAATTGTTCTAGATCAACAGAAACTAAAGAGCCATGAAATAACAGGAAAATCCTTGAAACTTGGTATGGTCTTTTAATGAAAAAGTAGTAATTGAAGGTGTTTCCTTGGGGTAGGCTCTGAAGAAATTTAAATATGGAATGGATTTTAAATATTATGCAATTTTAATTTTTAAATTAATGATAAATAACTTCGGGAGATGAATGCTGAATTATGAAATATTATGTTATTTTCAAGTTACTTTTTCAGCAATTGAAGGATAGAGGGATTGTTTATTATTTCATCTTATTTTTTTCAATGTGAAGTAGTAAAATTTTTATCATACATATCCTATTAGTCTTAATATCTTAAACTCTCAGTGCTCAAGTCCCAGAATATAAAGGGCTTAGAGTTCAAAGTGAAAAAGAGTTAAGTGTATGCATCTTCAGATTATATTATTTTGTACATAGAATTTCCTGAGGAATTAATAAATAAAAATTAATAAATTAATGGAGTAGGGTCACAGGATACAAAATATGACTATATACAAACATAAATTATCTTCCTATATACCAGCAACAAGCAACTGGAAACAGAGAAAAAACTATTTATAAGATAATAAGGACCTAAAATATCTAAAATATCTAAGATTATATATATGTATATAGTTATGGTTCACAGGCAATGGTTTGATCAATGATAGATCATATATATGACATGTTCTGCTAAAGAAAGCAATAAAAAAAGACAAGACACCAAGACACAGTAGAGCAAGACAGTGGAAATGGGAATGTGACAATGAGAATGTTATATATCATGATTTGGGTGTTAATTACATGGAATTCATATATTCGTCAAAGTTCATCTATAGCTGGGGGGGAGGGATAGCATTAGGAGATATACCTAATGTTAAATGACGAGTTAATGGGTGCAGCACAGCAACATGGCACATGTATACATATGTAACAAACCTGCACGTTGTGCACATGTACCCTAAAACTTAAAGTATAATAATAATAAAATTAAAAAAAAAGAAAAAAAGTTCATCTATAGCTTTTACTGCATACCACACTATACCTAATTTTTTTGACCTGTCACTATTTATTATTTCAGCACTAAAACTGAGGAGACTGAACTACTGGCTCTTATTCCCTTTGTATTTGTGTAAGGATCGCTGCACTAGCATAAAGTGTTTTAAAATACAAAATGTACAAGAAAACACTATCCCAAGTGCTATAAACATAACTGAGACCAGTTCCTTTACTAAACATCCATTTTATAAAATAGGAGGCTTCAACTTGAGCCCATCTGAGCCTTAAAGGGGCTTAATGCAGAAACTATTTATCATTTCTCATGATTCTGTGAGCAGCAGCAGCTACATTATTTGGAGGGCCTTGTGCAAAATGAAATGCCTTTGGGGAAAATTATCATTAAAGGCCCTAAATGTAAAACTTTTTTTCAGTCTTCCCATGGGCTCTCTTTCTTTCTCTCATGAGCTATGATAGTACTATTTTAATTTGTTATTTCACGGACAGTGAACACTCACTGGCAAGTATGAACCTGACAGGCGTTGGGAGTCCCATCCATGGCCTGGCACATGCCTGTGGCTCGGTTGCTATTAAATT
The DNA here is from genome assembly GCF_000001405.40 of Homo sapiens. Taxonomy (NCBI): domain Eukaryota; kingdom Metazoa; phylum Chordata; class Mammalia; order Primates; family Hominidae; genus Homo; species Homo sapiens. The sequence goes on along the minus strand of NC_000014.9, from coordinate 41,037,868 downwards.
CCTTCTCCCGCCAGCTGCCAGAAAAATGTGCTATGATCCTACAAAGGGCAAGGAAGTCACTCAGCCCATTCCGTGGTCTCAATACCCCAACCAGTGACAGACAGGTGACCCCCAAAGGATCACAATCTCTATTCAGGGATGTGTTTATCCTGGATCAAGGGAGGGCCAGGGGCTTGTTCCAGCTGAAATAACTATAGAAAATGTCTTGGCAATTCACCCTAGGGCAAGGACAGCTGCCACCATTCCCCAGGCTGAGATGCCAAGGAGTGGAAACTAAATATGGCCCTGACAAAGCTCGCACTCAGGCGCTTGAGGGCAGTAGGGTAAGGAGGGAAGGCCAAGTAGAGTCTTGGGCACCTGGGGAAAGTGGAGTAACTGCTGAGAATATGTTTCAGGGAGACAGGGAGGATATGGGTTGCAGGATTCCATGTGAACAAAAATTCCAAGTACTTCCTATACGCTCCATTGCCCATGAGACTTCATTTGGAAAATATAATTTAAAAAATAAAATTATTAGAAATTTCAAGACAGAGATCACAGTATATTTAGCCCCAGGAGCTTTTACAGTATTGATCTCAGAGTCCTGTGTAGTTACAAACTCATGAAGCCACATCTGTCTGTTTACCCTTGGAGGTTCTTCGGCTATGGGCTAACTCAGACAATCTCCAGTGTCAGAGTCCTAGTTTGAACTAAATTTCTAAGATGGCCACATTCACAGTTGTGGTGTTTGGTTAGATTTCAGCTGGAGCAAGAGATGGCTTGATCATGTGTTGATCATCATTCAATAGACTTGTTTTGCCTTTTTCAAACAGTTGTGGTTTAAGGGTTTCCAAGAGATATACGCAAGCTCATCCTATGTGAAAGTATTTTCAAAGGCTCTGCTTTAGTCTCATGTTCCAATATCCCACTGGGCAAATCAAGTCTCAAGGCCAGCACAGAGTCAGCATAGAACTATATTTGCAAAAGGCTTGTTTAGAAGGAGAGGGACAAGTTGCAGCCTTTTATTTTTTTTCAATCTACTAAGCTCATAAAACTGTATACTGCAGATCTATGTTTTTCCTTTATGTAAATTATGCAAGAATAAAATCAGTTAATTTTAAAAATCAATGTACAATCTTGGAGAACACCAAGCCCAGCAACTTCTCCTGGAGCTGTTACTACATTAGCTCAGGTGGGTTGATTTGCTTTCCAATTCATTCTTTATTCTGCTCCAGGAATTTTTATATTTTATTTTGTTGTTCTTGTAAGCAGTTATGCATTTAAAATTGTTTTCTTAAGCATTTTCTAAGGTTTCTAGCAGATGGATTTTCAAGGTAACTAGTTCATCATTTTGCTCAAATAAGCAGCTTGCAATGTGATTTTAGAATGACTCAAACATTAAAAGAATGAGAGCTATTATATTTGTGAAAAAGAAGAATAATGCTATTAAAAGAGAGTTAAAATCATATGAACACATTGTAAATACAGATTGCTATAGAAAGAATATGGCTATGATAAGATGGTGGTTGAAATAAAAAGTCATGTAAAATCCACCTTTTTGCCATACATCTAGGATATTTCTTTAGCTGCTCTTTTTCTATAATTCGATTATTTAGCATAAAATGACAAACAGTCTATGTCTCATTCTTACAGTGATGGATCATCTATGGAAAGAATGTATGTCTACAAAAATGAAATGTGAATTTCAATATGAAAAGTTCATATGTGTAATCACAGTATCATTTAATTTTTAATGCATTATAGCATTTTATGAATGACTGAATTTTATTTGCCCCAATGTACAAGGCTGGTATAGAATACATGTCCTACCTTTTTTTGTGTGCGATATATCGTATAGATCATTATTCAATTAAAAAGTGGAATTTTTAAGTCTCCAAATACTGTATTCAATTCCAAGCCATTTCTATTAGTAACATTTTTCTTTGATAGTGAAAGCATCTTTTCATAGATTCAATGGCTTGTCTTCAATGGCATACTTTTTTTCCATTATATTATAATCCTTTATTTAAAAAGAGTAGTGAAAGCCTTTTTAAACGTCAGAAAATTATATCAAGGGCCATCCTATGTGAATTTTGTATCACTGTTCCTAAAAGAAATTCAGTCTTACTGCAATCCTCCTTTTGTGAATTCCTGCTGACCAAAATGAATTACATTCCTAATATTTAGGTCACAATGGCAGATAGTTTTGTGTTCAGTTGCTCTGAAATCTTGACATTTACAACCTGAAAGCTGCTAGAATTTAACCTAGTGCACATTATAGTTTTCTTTCAATAAAATTTTCCTCGTTTTGCTTGTAATTTTGTATTCTTTTTATTTTTACTCTTTAAGCTTTCAAGTTGTAATGCAGAAGCTGTTTATTTATTTCGTCTCAATTTCAGTGTACGTCCAAATATATTTATTTTTTCATACATGTTTTATCTCTTTTTTTTTTATCATTGCCTTTTGAATTTTCACACAGCCAAATACTTAGCTAGAGGACATAAAAATACTTCTCCCTCCTAAAATAAACCATGTTTTCATATTATGAATTTTGAAAGTATTTCTTCTCTATTATTTATATCTTTCTTTTTGAAATTTTTGTTAGATTATGCCTATCTATATTTGACTGCATTTCATAAATCCCAAGAGGCATGATTTCCATATTTGAATGCCTCTGAAGTTGAGTTTGTCTTAGAGTGATGTCATCTTACAATTACTTCTGCTTGAATAGCTATCATGACATAGTTACCATTATTTGTGAGTATGCAAAAAGTGATCATATTTGTCATAATTTTGTCACATCAATTAATCTACATGTAGAGCTGATACTAAATTTTAGGTTTAATTGTCATATTTAAACATTACTTTAGATTCAGCATTGCAACAGAAATTCATTGTGTACATACACATGCGTAGTATCAAACCATGGAGGTATAAATGTGATCATACCAAAGCCAATAGTCATCATTGGAGGAGTGACGGAAATTATCTATTTTCTTGCAAAACAGCAATCAAGTGCTTCATATCATCTAAGAAAGGAAGATATCTATGAGTAGTTTATTTATATTTCAAAGCTACAACCAAAATATTATCACACATCAGAATGGAACTGATTCAAGATAATTATATTTTGAAATAATACATTTTAGAATATGTGTGCATGCAAATGGAAAGAACTTAATAGATAATAAATTGACATACAAAAAATAATTTTTAAGGAGAGAGTTCTTGAGAAAGTTAAAGGGGTTAAAATATGGCTAGAAGTTGAAGCATGGGCCTTAGAATAAAATTCTAGAAAGATTTTCCAAGGCTGGTAAGAAATAAAACTAAAGCCTAGTCATAGGTTCTGGCTCTTATATTCATGTTTTCAACAATGTGTACTGAGGATTTATTATGTGTCAGACCTTGTGCTAGGCATGGGAGATGGAAAGAGAACAGAATAAATATTCCTCCTATTAAAGGAACTGGGTGTTAGAATAATTGTCACTCCTAAAAGTTTTAATTATACACTGAGGTGGGTTAAATTGTGTCCTACACAAAAGATATGCTGAAGTTCTGAATGTTGGCCCTCACAAAAGATATGCTGAAGTTCTCATTCAGTACCTGTAAGTGTGACACTATTTAAAAGTAGTGACATTGAAGATGTAATCGAGATAAGATAAAGTAATACTGAATTTGAGTGGGCTCTAATCCTCATGGCTTGTACCCATATAAGAGGAGACAAAGACATACACAAAAAGATGGATATATGACAATAGAGGTAAAGATTAGAGTGATTACAAGCCAAGGAATACCAAAGTTTTGAGGAGTGGATCTTCTCCTATTCTTACTGGCAGTTTTTCTGACTATGTTTGTGAGTCAGATTTAGCGTATAAATAGGTATATGTGAGAAGGCATGTATATGCATGCCAACATAGTAAGCTCCCTAATAACAATGCATTTAGGATTTTTCTTTTTGTTTCAATATATAAAATGCTATACATGATATAAATAAATTACTTTTTAGGGAAAAAGCACCATTTTCAATAATCTTAGTATACTGCAATTTTACAGTGAGTGTTGCTTTCACCAAATACAATGTAAAATACAGGACATAAATGAGGAGATATGTTAGAATCCTGGGAAATTATTCTGACATTATTCAGTTTTAAAAAGTATTCTTTTTTTAAAGACAGTGGATTCAGTGAAACTGCCATAGTTATTAAAACATAACTGGCAGTAGCAAGGTAAAGTATTTTAATATCCATTTGGGTTACCCATAGTAGCAAAGAGATATGAAGTAAAAGTAAAAATTGGGAGGCCTAGGCAGGCGGATCACAAGGTCAGGAATTCAAGACCAGCCTGGCCAGCATGGTGAAACCCCATCTCTACTAAAATACAAAAAAGTTACCCAGGTGCAGTGGTGCATGCCTGTAGTCCCAGCTACTCAAGAGGCTGAGGCAGGTGAATTGCTTGAACCCTGCAGGCGGAGGTTGCAGTGAGCTGAGATCTCACCTTGTTGACAGAGCGAGGCTCCGTCTCAAAAAAAACAGAAAAGAAAAAAAAATCTAAAATCCTTCATGATTAACCCCCACCCCCCAACAAACTAGTCATAGGGAGAACATACTCAAAATAGTAAAAGCCACAGCCAACATTATACTGAATAACCAAAAGCCGAAAGTATATTCCTTAAGAACTGGAGCAAGATAAGGATATCCACTCTCACCAATGCTGTTAAACAGAGTACTGGAATTCCTAGACAGAGCAATAGGAAAATAATGATAGACAAATTCACGAAAGCATCAGGATACAAAATTAAGGCACAAATCAGTTGCATTTTTGTATACCACCAATGCTCAAGCTAAGAATTAAATCAAGAACTCAATTCCATTTACAACTGCCACACACATGCAAAAAACTAGGAATATATTTGACCAAGGGGATAAAATACTTTTATCAAGAGAACTACAAACCCCTGATGACAAAAAGGATAAGTGACACAAACAAATCTAAACATTCCATGCTTATGGATAGGGAGAATCAATACCATTAAAATAAGTATATTTTCCCAAGCATCTAGAGATTCGATGCAATTCTTATCAAATTACCAATGTCATTATTTTTGTGGAATTAGAGAAAAATTCTAAAATTTATATAGAACCTAAAAAGAGTCCAAATAATCAAAGCAATCCTAAACAAAAAGAACAAAGCCAGAGGCATTACATTATTTGATATCAAACTATACTATAAAACTACAGTAATCAAAACAGCATGGAACTGGTACAAAAATGGACACATATATCAATGGAATAGAATAGAGAAATCAGAAATAAATCCATACACTTTCAACCAACTCATCTTCAATGTAGTCAATAAAGGCAAACAAAGGGGAACCCAACACTGTTTTCGATAAATGATACTTGGGAAATTGATTAGCCATATGCAGAGGAATTAAACTTGACCCCAATCTCTCACTATATACAAAAATTCACTCAAGGTAGATTAAAAACTTAAATGTAAGACCTCAAACTAAAAAATAAAATAAAATAAATAGAAGAAATTTTAAGAAAAACTTTTCTAGATATTGGGCTAACCTAAGAATTTATGACTAGGACCTCAAAAGCAAATGGAACAACAATAAAAAATAGACAGATGGTACTTAAATAAACTAAAGTGATTCTGCAGAGCAAAAGAAACAATCAACAGAGTAAACACACAACTTCCAGAATGGGAGAAAATGTATGCCTCTGACAAAGGAATAACATCTGGAATCTATAAGGAGCTTAAACAAATTAACAAGAAACAGTAAATAACCCCAATAAAAGTGGACATGAGACATGAAAAGATACTTTTCAAAAGAAAACTTAACAAGTTGCCAATAACATGAAAAAAATGCTCAACAAAACTAGTCATCAGAGAAATACAAATCAAAACACAATGAGATGCTATCTCACACTAGTCAGAATGGCTACTGTTAAAAAGTCAAAAAATAACAGATGTTGAAGATGAGGAGAAAAGAGAATGCTTATAAACTGTTGATGGGAATAGTCCAAGTTCTATGGAAAACAGTATGGAGATTTTTCAAAGTACTAAAAATAGAACTACCATTCAACCTAGAAATCCCACTACTGGGTATCTACCCAAAAGAAAAGAAGTCATCTTACCAAAAGAATACCTACACTCATTTTCTTTTTGTTGCAGCACTATTCACAATAGCAAAGACATAGAATCAACCTAGGTGCCTATCAATGGTGGATTGAATAAAGATATCATATTATACATACACCTTGGAATACTACACAGACATAAAAAATAATGAAGTCATGTCCTCCACAGCAACATGGATGCAGCTGCAGGTCATTATCTGAAGTTATTTTCTCAGAAAGAGAAAATCAAATATCACATGTTCCCGCTTAAAAGTGGGAGCTAAACAGTGGGTACACAAGGATATAAAGATGAAAACAATAAATACCTGGAACTCCAAAAGAAAAGAGTGTGAGGAGTAGGGGAGGGTTGGAAGCTACATATTTGGTATTACGCCCAAAATTGGGGTGATGAGTATACTAGAAGCTCAAACTCCACCACTGCAATATACCTTTATAACAAACCTGCACATGTGCCTCCTGAATCTATAATAAAAACACAGAATAAAATAAAATACAATAGAGATTAGACAGAAGAAAAGGATTATGAATATTCTCATTTTAGAATTAATGAAAATAACTCAATATTGGAGACCAGGCTTAACAGTAATTAAAGGAAAAATGTTATCAATAAAAAAACAAGAAGTACAAATGACAAATATATCTAATATATATACTTAAAAGCAAATAACCACAAATATGCAAGAATTATTTTTGATGATTAAATAAACTAAAACCGATGAATTAATGAGTTGTTTACCCATTCAACACGGAGTAAAATCTTAATGATTTTACCCAGTGTTGGCATTTTCAGTGTTTTAAAAAGCTTTTTCTTTTGTAGCAGAGAACTCACAATTATTTGGACGATAGAGTGAAAAGCTGAATGAGCACTTGAAGAAGATGTATCCTCTGACCTAAACAAATGCCAAACCCAAAAGAGCCACATCTATGTCTGTGCAAAGGGCTGTGAAACTGGATGTTGAGCTGCTGAGGTAAGGGGATGCAAATTTGAATTGTTATTTTTTTGGACAGAGGTGAAGAGGATGTTGATATGTCCTCTGTGAATAAAATGGTCCAGAAGTGGATTGGAGCAAAGCTTTTAGATGTTCCTAAACATCTGTTGTCATTTTCCATTGTTTACAGATATAGGTTGGAAGCAACTCAGGATGAAATATCCAAGTCTCCTTGTAAACATTTGTTTAGTTAATGCCAAAGGAACAAAGCTTTCAAAGCAGTCATCATTTATTTTATCCCTTTTTCCTTTATGTGTCCTGGATGTAGGTGCCAAAGAGAAAGACACCAGGTCGTTAATGATCAGTCAGAGGTCATAAATCCACTTAAAGGAATATCCACAAAACAATTGTTTACTCTTTCGCACCATGAACACTTCTATGTTACATTTTTTACAACACTTTAGCCTATCCTAACTAATACATTTATCTAGGGCTGTAAGCAAATTGATGTAACTTTCTGGTGGCTAGCTTGGCAATATGTTTCAGGATCGTTACAAAGGTGTGTTCATTTTCAATTTTTTTTTTTTTTTTTAGTTTATTATTTTGTGTGGAGACAGTGTCTCACCATGTTGCCCAGGCTGGTCTTGAACTCCTGGCCAGAAGTGATCCTCCTGCCTTGGCCTCCCAAAGCGTAGGGATTACAGGTATGAGTTATTATGTCTGAACTTAATAATTTTTAAGTAAGGCAAAATAACACTCTTCTCTAAGGATTTACATACAAGTTTTTCAGAAAAGTGTGGTTTACTTTTAAGAATAAACTTGAAATAACTATAATAACCCAAAATATAGAAATAATATCAAAATTATAATGTGTCCTCATAAAATGATATTCTGCAGCCATAAAAATTCTGCCTTGGAGTACTAAAGATTAACTTTTAAACCATCAAAATATAATAAATAAAAATAAATAATAGCACTATATACTATATATTTTATTTTTTAAAAAAAATTTTATAAAGATCTATGAAAATTTTAATTATTAGTTTTCAGTTGGTGGGACCATAAAAATTTGCATTTTATATATTTATGTGGTAAACATGTTTCCTAGAAATTAATGTAATGCAAAAGCTTTAAAAATGTTTACTATTTTAGTGGATTCTAATTTGAAATCAGTCAGAAGTACATATTGACTTTCAGAGGCCAGATCATAATCATAATTTATAACTAAAACTGTTAGGTAAAAGTAATTTCATTAATAATATAAATATAAAAATTGTGAATTGAATGTAAAGAATTATATACAAGAAATTATTGTCATCAAACGTAATTATGCTGATACTATTCATATACAAAGTAGAATAATAAACAGCATTTTATTAATGCATATTCAAAAACATTACTTAATGTATAAAAAACAAAGTCTTAAAAACTAGAACACAGACAATACCAAATGCTAACCAAGATGTGGAGCAACAAGAACTGTAACTTATTGCTGGTTGGAAAGCAAAAGCGTACAGCCATTTTGGAAGCCAATTTCGTAGCATTTTTTTTATAAAACTAAATATGCTCTTACCATATGATCCATCAGTGGTGCTCCTTGGTATTTACCTAAAATAATTGAGAATTTATCTCCACACAAAAACTTTCACATAGATTATTATAAAAGGTTTATTCATAATTGCCAAAACTTATAATCGACCAAGATTTCTTCCATACATGAATAGATAAACAGTAGCACATCAAGAAAGTAGAATACAATTTAGCATTACAAAGAAATTCAATTTCAAGCAATGAAAGTAAATATAGAAAACTTAATGCAATTACCAAGACTCCCAAAAATCTCAATCTGAACAAGCTGCTTACGGTTTGAATCCAACTATATGATATCTATATGCAAAAGGCAAAACTATGAAGACAGTAAAAATAGCAGTGTTTGCCAGGGTTTGGGTAGGGAGGTATGAATTGATGGAGCAGAGGACTTTTAGAGCAAGGCAATGAAACTACTCTGAATGACGCTATAATTGTTGATACAAGTAATTAAACATTTGTCCAAATCCATGGGATGTACAGAATCAAGAGTGAAGCCTAATGTAAACTATGGACTTTGGGCAATAATTATGTGTCAATGTAAGTTCATTGATTGTAACAAATACATCACTCAGGTGGGGAATATTGATAATAAAAAAAATATACACATTTGTCATGAGGAGTATACGGAAAAGATCTGCACATTCTGCTCAACTTTACTGTGAGTCTAAAATAGTCTAAAAATAAAGCATGTTTAAAAATATTGAATAACCATGGAGGAAAAAAATGTACCTTTTCTAAAATGCATCATTTCAAAGAGCTTCTAAGATTATTCAAAAAGTATCAAAGAATATATTTAACCCAGAGAGAAAATGTACAATGCACGTGGTTTTACTAAGATAAGACATTCTAGCCCTGTGTGAAATATTTGTATAATGCAATCTGACCCTCCTAGGGCAAGTCATTATCTCTGCACTATTTTATTTCCTGAAGTATGTATTTTCCTATTTGATTAGATTTTAAAGAAAATAATCAACAGTGAATTGACTTGACTGCAGGTAGAACAGCATCTGTCATAAAGTAGCTATTCAATAAATAATTATTATATAAATGAATATATTAATGCCACCATAAAATATTTAGCAAAATTTCCAATATTACTAAAAATTAAAAATTTTTTACCACCTAAATAAGACCATATAATATGCAATCACAATATAAAAATGTGCATGCATAATTTTTTGAAAGATTAATACATTTTACCTCCACTGATCGTTACAAATTTTATAGTGTAGAATTATGTAAGCAGAAAGAGATGGTAGACAATTTAACCACAGGCTAAAGGGCCAGAGGACCGAAGGAACAGAGTCTATAGAAACAGAGCAGCGTCTTGATCATTAATGATCATGCACTTGTGAAAGTTCACAGCCTCCCAGCAGTGAAGAATGTAAGACTTTGGAAGACAGGGACTAGGTTCTATTTCACTCTGCACTTGTCGCTTCTATGTCAGTGACCAATACAGATTAAATAGGAAATAACGTTTTATTAAAATAAATAAGTGACTTTGAACAATTACCTAGTTTTAGAAAGCAAATGAACCATACAATATGAATCACCCAAGCATAGTCAATCACCCATAGTCATTTTAACTGAATAGCACTTAAACTCAATTTCTTCATAGCTTTCTTTCGAAATTGAATGTAAACATTTCTTACTTTTCCTACCTCTTTAACTTGAAATATATGGATTTAGAGAAGCTTGCTGACAAGATAATAACAGAATAATTTTCAATTTAAATGACTGTAACCAGAATGTAGTTACATTTATTTTAGCACTAATTTTAAAGAGCAGAAGAAAGTAATGGATCAGTGATTTTGTGATTTTGTATATACTTTTAATAAAAGGAAAATGTAATGTATTTTTTAACATTATTAATTATCAATTCATGAGCTACACTGGTATATCAAACAGACTAAAACATATTTATATAGCAGTGTAAATCCACACTAATATATAAATTTTTTTTTAAATTGTGAATTGGGCCTTGGTCACAGTTACATTATAAAGGATACTTGCTCTTGGACAAAACTACCATATATTTCTACAACTAAGTTAAACAGTCCTTGGAGCTAGATGAACCTCATATGACTGAATTGTCTACAGTATTTATGACTGGCTAATGTGAATATTAAATACTACTAGGTGCATATTATCTTTTATTGGTAGAAACTTTATTTTTACTAGAAGTTAAAGACTTGTGAAATTCAACTATAAATGGAATATTCAACTCCTGCCCTTACCTAGACAAAGTGTATTAATCAAGGAAAAGGTTTTATGTAGACAATGAATATATAATATGTTCTTAAGCATGGATTTCTTAATATTGAAAACAATAGTCATATGTAATTTATTGTATCTCCTGCCATCAAAATTTGATTAAATGGTAAACCTACTAAAACCAAATGAAGGAGCAAAGGATACCTAAAGCGTTTTCAGGCGTTTGTTCTTTAATCAGGATCCTTGTTATTTTATTTTATGTTTGCATCAACTACATATTCTTTCCTTTCTGTGTCAGCTCTATCCTTCAGTGGCTTCCCTCAAATAATTGAGTGATTTTAGAAGATTCAGGCTTTAAGTTACAAATTACATCAGGAAGAAAGAAATCTCTGTTTTAATGTTCTAAGTCAATTTTCTGAAATTCAAATGCATTGAACCAAATCTGAACCATTTTCTGTGGTTAAGCCAATGTCACCACACACCACTTGTTTTCTGCCTGGGTTATAAGAAAAAATCAATGGTGGCAGAAAGCATAGGATAATCCCGAATGTTTTAAGTGTTGAAGCTGAGGGACTAGGCATGCCAATTCAACTATGTGTTACACAATCGGTGGATAGTGGAAAGAAGGTTACAGAGAAACCCCAGTATCCGCTACAGCATTCCTAAGTAACAGAGATAATAATGGAGAGTTCAGCGTGGGATGAGTGCATTTGTGTGTGTGTGTCAATGTATATGCAATTACTTAATCAGAAACATTATAAAGCAAGCCTTATTAAGGATCATTGCAGAGTAACTTTTCTTATGGTTGATGAAGTAATAACATTCTTTGTATTTAGATCTATATTCTTGCCATGACTGTAGCCCCAACTAATAAAACCTGAAGATAATAAAGATCTATTAGTTGGTAGCATGGCTACTTTTTTTGCAGAAAGGATTTTTTAAGGTACCAGTAAGGATCATTTTTTCTAATGCTAACCTTGAGTGTTATTGTAAAGTAAGAATTTCAAAACAGTTTGTGTTTAAGAGTGGTGTTTTAATACCATTATAATGAGATTACTGTCTCTGACTTGCTCTGTGAAAAGTCAGATGAAAGTCGTGAGAGAAAAAACACAACATAAATATTACTTTATCAATTCTAGTGGTTCATAATGTATTTAATTTATCTTATATGCAATTTGTCCTTTTATTTATCTTCAATATTTCCTTTCATTGAGAAGCTATGCAATATAGGAGTCATGTTCTATAATCCTAGTCTCATTGTTTTTATAGAAAAGTCACAAAATAGTTTATTCCAAAGAAAAGACTCTTTTTAGTAAATCCTACAGAAGGAAAAGCATAATCCTTAGGATTGAAGTTGATATAAATAATGATGAGCAGGCTGAGCATGGTGGCTCACACCTGTAATCCCAGCACTTTAGGAGGCCAAGGTAGATGGATTACTTGAGTTCAGGAATTGGAGACCAGCATGGGCAACACGAGGAAACACCACTTCTACAGAAACAAACAAACAAAAATTAACTGGGCTTAGTGGTGTATGCCTGTGGTCCCAGCTACTCAGGAGGCTGAGGTGGGAGGTTCCCTTCACTCCAAGAGGTCAAAGGTGCAGTGAGCCCTGATGGAGCCACAGAACTCCAGCCTGGGTAACAGAGTGAAACTTTGTCTCAAAAAAAAAAAAAAAAAAAAAAAAGATAAGCAATTGGCAATTGTATGTTTAGCTACATACCAAGTTATTTGAGTAAGCTGGTTTTGTAATTCAAACCATTTAACTTATAACTAAAAATATTAAATGATTGTCAGCATATATGAGTTACTCTCTCACTTTTATTGAGAATTACAGCAAATAAAGTGACTAGTGGATTACTAAAGAAATTATCAGTTTAGATGAGTGAGTACATTATTTAACATGGTGACAAAATTTATATATTTGAATAATAATACATTAAATAATTTATTGACTCTCACATTTTGTTCTTCACATGATTTACTAAATTTATATGTTACCCCTTTTAATATCACCTTCAGATTACTCATAATACCTACAACACTGTAAATACTAGGTAAATAGTTGTTATCTTTATTCTTTCATTTGCATTCTATTTTATTCTATTTTTCCTAATTTTTGATGTGCTCTTGGTTGAATTTGTGAATGCAGAAGCCATAAATATAAAATCCTGAAGACCCTATGAAAAAACTCCTAGATTTGACAAGGTAAGTTTAAGGATTCAAAATAAACATACAAAAAGCAGTAGTGTGTCTATACACCAATAACAATCCAGGTGAAAACTAAATCAAGAAGGCAATCCCATTCACAATAGCTACAAAAACAAATACTTAGGAATATATTTAACAAAGGAGGTGAAACAGCTCTACAAGAAAAACTATAAAACTGCTGAAATAAACTCTAGATGACACAAACAAATGGAAAAGCATCCCATACTCTTAGAGGAATTAATAATATTAAAATGACAATTTCAATCTACAGATTCAATGCAATTTCCATGAAAATATGTCATTTTCCACACAATTAGAAAAAAAAATATATTCTACATTCATATGGAACCATAAAAAAGCCCAAGAGCCAGAACAATCAAAATTAAAAAACAAAGCTGGAGGCATTCCACTAGCAAAAAACAAAGCTAGAAACATTCCACTGCCAGATTTACCAAATTAATAGTATCCAAAACAGCATGGTACTCCTATTAGACACACAGATCAATGGAACGGAACAGAGAATTCAAAAATAAAGCCACATATTTACAGCCTTCTGATCTTGAAAAAATTAACAAGAACATTCATCAGGGAAAAGATAACCTTTTCAATAAATGGTACTAGCAAAATTGGCTTGCAATATGCAGAAGAATACAATTGGACCCCTATGTCTCACCATCTATGAAAAATCAACTCAGATGGATTAAGTTCGATGGAAGACCTCATATTATAAAAATACTAGAAGAAAAACCAAAGGAATTTCTTTTGGACATTTGTCTAGGCAAAGAACTTATGATTAGGACCACAATAGTACAGGCAGCGAAAACAAAAATAGACAAATTAGATTTAATTAAACTAAAAAGCTTCTGCACAGCCAAAGAAAGAATCAACAGGGTGAACAGACTGCTTTCAGAATGGAAGAAAATATGTGCAAACTATGCATCTGACAGGGGACTAATATCCAGAATTTGCAAGAACTCGAACAACTCAACAACAACAAAAGCAAAAACAAATAATACTATTTTAAAAATGGGAAAAGGTCATGAATATATGTTTTTCAAAAGAAGATATACAAATGATCAACAGGTATATGAAAAGATTCTTAACATCACTAATCATCAGAAAAATGCAAGTTAAAACCACAGTGAGATATAATCTTACACCAGTCAGAATAGCTATTATTAGAAAAACAAAGAATAACATGTTGGCAAGGATTCGAAGAAAAGAGAATGCTTATACACTGTTGGTCTGAATGTAAACTAGTACAACCTCTATAAAAATATGAAGATTTCTCAAAGAATTAAAAATAGAAGTACCATTTCATCTAGCAATCCCATGACTGAGTGACTACACAAAGGAAAAGAAAACATATCAAATAGATACCTATACCAGTGTGTTTATTGCTGTACTATTTACAATAGCAAAGATATGGAATCAACCTAGGTGTTCATCAATGCATAATAGGTTAAAGAAAAGGTGGTATACATACACAATGGAATACTATTCAGCCATAAAAAGAATGAAATCACATATTTTGCAGCAACATGAATAGAACTGTAGGCCATTATCTTAGATGAAACAAGTCAGACAAAGAAAGATGAATACCTCATGTTCTTACTTATAAGTGGGAACTAAATAATGCTTACATGTGGCTGTAGATTGTGCAATGCTAGATAATGGTGACTCAGAGGAATGAGGGTGATGGAGTGGAGCATAAGACATTACTAAGTGGGTTCAATGTACAGTATTCGGGTGATATGGATACCCTAAAAACCCTGACCTCACCACTTTGCAATCTATGCATGTAACAAAACACTTGAACCCCACAAATTTATATAAAAAGGTACGTGAACTAAACACTCCCACTAAAAAACAGATAGTAAAATGGATTTTAAAATGCAATATAATTCAACTATATGCTATCTATAAGAGGCATATATATTAGATTCAAAATCACAAAGAGCTGCCTTTAAGATTTTCTCTTAAGCATTGACTTTGGACAGTCTGGTGGCTATGTGCCTTGGTTATGTCTGTTTCATATAGTATCTCTCAAGTGTTCTCTGGATTTCTTATATCTGTATGTCTACCTCTTTAGCAAGATTAGAAAAATTTTCTTGAATTATTCCCTCAAGTATGTTTTCCAGGTTGTTTGCTTTTTCTCCTTTTCTCTCAGGAATTCCAATAATTCATAGGTCTGGTCACTTTGCATAATCCCATATTTCTTGGAGAGTTTATTTTTAAAAATTCTTCTTAATTTATTTTGTCTGACTGGATTGGTTCAAAACAGTGATCTTCACATAGAGGGAAAAACGCACACTGGGGCCTTTTTGGAGAGTGGAGGGTGAAAGGAGGGAGAGGATCAAGCAAAACCACTAATGAGTACTAGGCTTAATACTTGGGTGATAAAATAATCTGTACAACAAACCCTCATAACAGAAGTTTACCTATGTGACAAATGTGTACCTGTGCCTCTGGACTTAAAATAAAAGTTAAAAAAAAGTCTGGTCTTAAAGCTTTGAAATTATTTCTTCTGCTTGGTCCTGTCTATTGATAAAGCTTTTAATTGTAGTTTGAGATTCCTTACATGAGTTTTTCAATTTTAGAAGCTTTGGTTGATTTTGTTTTAAGATGTTTATCTCTTCTTTCATTTTCTGGGTTACTTTAGAAGTTTCCTTGTGTTGATTTTCAACATTGTCTTGGATCTTGCTGAGCTTCCTTGCTGTCCATGCTTTAAATTATTTGTCATTTCTGAGTTTCCATTTTGGCTAGAGGTCATTGCTGGATATCTAGTGTGATCCTTTGGTAGTGTCAATACAGTTAGATTTTTCATGGTGCCAGAATTTTTGTGCTGGTTCCCTCTCTTGTAGAGACACTGATACTTGTATTTTTTTGTAATTATTTTCATGAAAGTAATTTTTTTTGTTCTTTCTTTCTCTATAATATTATTGCTTTCTTTCTTTCCCTTTTTCCCTTCCCCAGAGAGTGTGACTGTAGGGAATGCCAGGTAGAGTGTTTTGGCAATTCTTCTGGCATGTTTTATACTGGACTGTGCAGTGTGACCTACAAGCCAGAAGATGATACTTATAGGTAATAGCTGGGAGCAGGCAATATAGCCAGGTATAAATTTGATCCTTATTTACAGGCATAAGCTCTGTGCTGGCTCAGCCAATGGGATACACAGTCAGAAAAAAAGAATGAAATCATTCATGCTTTTTGCAGCAACATGGATGCACCTGGAGGCCATTATCCTAACAGAATAAATGCAGGAACAGAAAACCAAATATGATATGTTCCCACTTACAAGTGGGAACTAAACACTACATATTCATGGACATAAAGGTGGCAATGATAGAAACTTGGGACTACTAGTAGGCAGAGGTAGGGATGGGGGTAGCCATTGAAAAACTATTAGGTGTTATGCACAGTACTTGAGTGATGGGATAATTTGTACCACAGACGTCATCATCATGAAATACACCCAGATAAGAAACCTGCATATGTACCTCTTCAATCTAAAATAAAATTTAAAAAAATCACAAATAGTTTAAAAACAAAAAAATGGAAAATGATATACCATGTAAGCATGACCAACATAGAGCTACAGTGGCTGTAATAGTTTTCAGTATTCTAAGACAAAAATGGTTAATATAGATTGAAAAATTGTAATGATAAAAGGTAAATCTATCAAGAGGTGTACCAATTATAAACCTATGTGCATCTAACAACAGAGATCCAATACATAGAGAGCAAAATTGACAGAATTGAAGGGATTAGCATATATTTCAATAACAATAATTGGATATTTGAATGCTCACCTTGAAATAATAGCTATAATAAGACAGAATGTCAATACTCAAATAGAAGATTTAAAAAACATGATAAACTACTTAGACCTAAGAGATATCTATAGAACATGTCAAAAAAACACAGCAGAATATACATCCTTCTCTAATAAATATGAAACATTCTACAGGAAAGAACAAAAAAAAGCCTCCATAAATTTTAAGAATTGATTGCATGAAACTAAAAAGCTTCTTCAAAGTAAACAATGAACAAAGTGAACAGACAACCCACAGATTAAGAGAACATAATAGCAAACCATGTATCTCTGATAAAGGACAAAAATCTAAAATATATAAAGAACTAAATAATTCAACAGCAAGAAAACAAATATCCTGATTATAAAATTAGCAAAGAACCTGGCCAGACGTATCTCAAGAGAAGACATATGAATGGTCAAAAGATATGTTAAAAAATGCTCAACCTCTCTAATCATCAAATAAATGCAAATAAAAATCACTATGATATATTTTATCAAGCTCTTTTGAATGACTATTACAAAAAAGACAAAATATAACAAGTGTTGGTGAGTACCTGAAGTAAATGGAGTCCTTGTACACTGTTGGGGATGTTAACTAGTACAAGCATTTTTGAAAATAATATGGAATTTCCTCAAAAACCTAAAAAGAGAACTACCATATGATCAACAATTCCATGTCTGGAATATATAAAAAAGAATTGAAATTTTTATATTAAAGATATATCTGTCCACTCATGTTATTTGCAGCATTATTTACAATGGCCAAGGATGGAGCAATCTAAGTGTCTATCAATGAGTGAATAAACTTTTTAAATGCAGTATATATACACAATGGAATACTACACAGCTTTTTTTAAAAAATGACATTTTTTTCATTTGTGACAACATAGAACTGGTAAACTTTATGTCAAGTGAAATAAGCGAGACACAGAGAGATAAAATAATGTATGATCTCACTTACATGTGGAATCTAAAGACATCGATTTCACAGAGGCAGAGCATAGAAAGTTATTACCAGTGGCTGTGGTGGTTTGACAGGGGGAATGGGAAGAGAAGATATTGGTCAAAGTGTACAAGGTTTCAGTTAGATGGCAAGAATAAGTTTTCATGATCAATTGCATTTCATCATGACCACAGTTCATGATAATGTATTTAATGTTTTAAAATTGCTAAAATAATGGATTTTTAATGTTCTTACCATAAAACTATAATAAGTTCGTGAGATAATGGATATGCTAATTAGCTTCATTAAATTTTTCTATAATGTATACAAAGATCAAAACATAACATTCTATCCCATAAGTATAATTACTGCCAATTAAAAATAAATAAAGAAATATTTTTTGAAATGGTTGAAATTCACTGACCTTGGTTTAATGGCATTAGAAATCAATGGCAGAAGGAAATATGGAAAATTTAAATACGTGTGAAAATAAACCAGACACTTTAAATACTAAACAAGTCAAATAAGAAATCAGAAGAGAAATTATAAACTACGTTGAGATGAAGGCAAATGAAAGCATAACACACTAAAACTTATGGGAGGAAACTAAAACAATGCTTAGAGGAACAATTTATAGCTGAAAATATAGATATTAAAAAAGAAAAAATCAAATCCATAACAGAACTTTCCACCTTAGAAAACTAGAATAAGATGACAAATCAAATCCAAAGCAAGCAGGAAAAAAAGAAAACATTAATAATTTAAGCAGGGTTTAAAGAAATTCTAAATAGAAAAGCAATAAGAAAATCAGTAATATTAGCAGTTAGTTCTTTTAAAAGATCAATTTAATTGATAAACCTTTAGCTAGAATTACCAAGCAAAAGAGAAAAGACAAATTGCAAAAAATCAAAAATAAAGGAATGATCATTATTACTGACTGCAGAAATAACTATACAAGGAAATATCATAAACAACTGGATTCCAACAAATTATGTAACCTAGATGAAAGGCCTGATAAGGCCCTACATTCCCACCTCTGGCTAACCTTGAGGGTTTACCATTATAAAGCTAATATAAGAAAGACTCTGTGGTACTGGCATAAAGATAGACATATAAATCAATAAAATAGAATTTTATTGCCCATAAATTAACCCATTATTTTATGGTCAATTGATTTTCAACAAGGCTGCCAAGTTAATTCAATGGGGATAAAGTAGTCTCTTTAACAAATGGTTCTGGAATAAAACTAGATGCCTACATGCAAAACCATGAAGACAGATCTTTGTTTTCCATTATACACAAAAATTAACTAAAATGGATCATAAAATTAAATATAAAAATTAAAACTAAAAAAAAACTCCTAGAAGAAAATATTTGAGAAAATATTTATGATCTTGGATTAGGCTAAAATTTCTTAGATATAAAAGCAAAAACACCAGTGGAAAAAAACATAAATTGGACTTCATTATCAAGGAAAAGAGAAAAGACAAATTACAAAATCAATATTAAAATTAAAACTGTATTTCAGCAGACACTATAAAGAAAATGAAAAAAGGCATTGACGGAATGGGAAAATATTTGAAATCACATATCTATAAAAGGTACTTTTATCCAGAAGTTAGAAGGAATATCCATAATTCCATATTAAAGAGACAACCAAATTTAATAATTGGCAAAGAATCTGAATAGATATTCCTCTAAAGAAGATACAGTAAATAATATACAAATAGAAAATATTCTGGAATTGTTTAGTGGTAATAGCTGCACATCTTTGTGAATACACTAAAAACACTGATTTTTACTTGAAAGGGTAAATATTATTATATGTAAATTACACATCAATAGAAAGTCACAGTCTGACTGTCAAAATTTGTACAGATATTATTGGTTTTAGGTAGACTAAAATAAGTGCTGAATATTTTTGTCGTTTTTTATTATTGTAGCATGAACTCAGGAATAATCCAATGTAAAATGGATACATACAGGCATTTAAGACTCTGGAAAGAATACATTTCCAAATGAAATAAAAGAAATGATCAGAAGCAGAGTCATTATTAATTCCTCTAAAATAATGAGTGTATATATATATCTAAATTGCTAAGTTTAGAACATAATATGTCTATGATCAATTAAGCTTAATTATAGGAAGACAGATGACTTTTCTTTAAGTTTATATGTACGTTGTTTCACCTGACCAGTGACATTTATATTGATGCAACGTAAAATATGAACTATTCCCTTTCTTGCCTCAGCAAAAATAAATCCAGGGCTGTGATTGGATCCTGGTTAATGTATATAAGCTTGGCCCCTAGAGCAAAATCAATAGTCGTTTTTCAGTTCTGCGAAATTCAATGATAAAATCTGGATCAATTTTTATTGTTGCTTATACACTTGTTGTTGGAATAGCAGCCCAAAAGTGCACATGAAGAAAATCTATTCTCTTTTAGGAAGCAATCCTGAGTTGTCTGTGCTTTCCTTATTTTTCATGTTTCCAGGTATAATTCCCAAGGAAACATGGTCCTCTGGAGTGGTAGGGATTTTTTATATATTGAAAGTTCTAGTAACTGCATCATAAATACAAGACAGGGTACATAAAGTAGTCGATTGAAAGTCTGCTTTCCACTTAAGAACTAAACTCTGGTGAGGAACATATTGTCTAATTTATCATATCAGGAATAAGCCAATTATCCATCCTTTGAGATTAGTGGAATTCTCTTAATAGAAATGAATAATTCCTGAGAAGCAGGCTGGAGAATGTTTGAAAAGAACAAACAGACTGACTACTGAGGTGAGAATAGCTCCTATATCAATTGTTCACCCTGGGGAACTCAGTTATGCTCACAGCGTGAAATGGTTTCTACAGAAGCATCCTAGTAATTTGTGGTGAGAGCCTGATTTTTAGAAGATTGAAGGTTGGAGTTAATACAGATGAATAATTCTAGTATAAAATGAACCAGTTAAAGGGAATATTTCCTCTGTAATATTTAATGAAATATCAATTAGGTGTTTATTAGGAGCTTAAGTTGTAGCAGATAGAGCTAATCATCAAAAAGATTCAGAGAAAAGAGCAGGTAAATGATATATTTAAATGTGAGAAAGGATAGGAGGGTCAAGAATGTGGTAATGATATAAATGGAGTAATATTTTGAAAAATCCTTTTAGGACAGTTGCTAAGGTTCATTTAAATAAAGTAACAAGTAACATAGTAAGAAGAAAAAAGGATAGTAAGATCTCAAAACAACATTCTTTTTCTGTTATTGTAGATGGAATCTTTCAATTTTGTGCCAACATTGTATTGATTTGAAGGTCTTGGTTTACGGTCTTTAGCCTGAAGAATATTTACTTCTAAGGGTTCTTAAGTTTAAGGTCTCACTGAGAGGAGGGGCCAGCTGGGCTTCCTGGGTCGAGTAGGGGCTCAGAAATCTGTGAAACTCACTCAGTTTCCTACATCAGGACTTACTTCGTTCCTGGATGAATAATATTGAAGATATATGCTTAAAATATTCTTAACACTAGGATTTGTGCATGTTTGCTTCCCCAAGAAAGCTACAAACAGCAAAAATTTTGCTGTAAGTTTCCCTGAGTCCTCTCTCCCTCTCTCCCTCTCCTTTCCCCCTCCCCCGAAACGAAAAGGAATGTTAACTGCCTGTTTTTCTGTGACCAGGAGACCTTACCTATACTCACAATTCCAATTCCTTGTAAACATACTTTGTAAAGTCCTCTGAGATCCTGTCTCCTTTGCCATGCCACTGCAAGGTCATAAAGTAGATAAAACCTAAGCTGCAATTCCACATCCCCTCGGTATTATCCAGCAAAACAGACATAACAACCATTTCAGATGGTTGATATTTGAATACGATTGGAGTTAATAATAAATCTTTATGGATTAGGAATGGGACAATTTTATTTGAATACAGTGACATTTATCCTGAGAAAGTACTTCACAAGACTTAGAAGAAATACAGAGATTTGGGGGAGATTAAAACTTTATTTTTTTTTTTTTTACTAGTAGACAACATATGGTTATCTTTTTCTTTTTTTATTATTATATTTTAAGTTCTGGGGTACATGTGCAGAGTGTGCAATTTCGCTACATAGATATACACGTGCCATGGTGGTTTGCTGCACTCATCAGCCCGTCACCTATATTAGGTATCTCTCCTAATGCTATCCCTCCCCTAGTCTCCCACCTGCTGGCAGTCCTTGGTGTATGATGTTCCCCTTGCTGTGTCCATGTGTTCTCCTTATTCAACTCTCAATTATGAGTGAGAAAATGCGGTGTTTGGTTTTCTGTTCTTGTGATAGTTTGCTGAGAATAATGGTTTCCAGCTTCACCCATGTCCCCCTGCAAGGGACATGAACTCACCCTTTTTTATGGCTGCATAGTATTACATGGTGTATATGTGCCACATTTGCTTTATCCAGTCTATCATTGATGGACATTTGGGTTGGTTCCAAGTCTTTGCTATTGTGAATAGTGCCACAGTAAACATATGTGTGCCTGTGTCTTTATAGCATAATGGTTTATAATTCTTTGGGTATATAGCTAGTAATGGGATTGCTGGATCAAATGGCATTTCTAGTTCTAGATCCTTGAGGAATCGCCACACTGTCTTCCACAATGGTTGAACTAATTTACACTCCCACCAACAGTGTAAAAGCATTCCTATTTCTCCACATCCTCTCCAGAATCTGTTGTTTCCTGACTTTTTAATGATCGCCATTCTAACTGGTGTGAGATTGTATTGCATTGTGATTTTGATTTTCCTTTCCCTAATGACCTGTAGGGATGAGCATTTTTTCATATGTTTGTTGGCTGCATAAATGTCTTCTTTTAAGAAATGTCTGTTCATATCCTTTGCCCACCTTGTGATGGGGTTGTTTTTTTTCTTGTAAATATGTTTATGTACTTTGTAGATTCTGGATATTAGCCCTTCGTCAGATGGATAGATTGCAAAAATTTTCTCCCATTCTGTAGGTTACCTGTTCACTGTGATAATAGTGTATTTTGCTGTGCAGAAATTCTTTAGTTTAATTAGATCCCGTTTGTCAATTTTGGCTTTTGTTGCCATTGCTTTTGGTGTTTTAGACATGAAGTCTTTTCCCATGCCTATGTCCTGAATGGTATTGCCCAGGTTTTCTTCTAGGATTTGTATGGTTTGTCTTAAGTTTAAGTCTTTAGTCCATCTTGAATTGATTTTTGTTTAAGGTGTAAGGAAGGGATCCAGTTTTAGTTTTCTGCATATTGCTAGCCAGTTTTCCCAACACCATTGTTGGATACTATGCTTTTTTATTGATATTTATTTTATTTTTATTATATATTATATAATGAAACTATATATTATAACTATATATTAAACAATACCTATATATTATATTTGTTGCGAATAATTTCCCAGGCAACTTGCTATTTTTATTTTTTTATTTGTTTAAGTTTTACATACGATCAATTGTACTCTTTTGATAACCTTTCTATGTGTTTTGGGGAATGTAGAGATCAATTTAACCACCAGACAATCAAGATACAGAATAGTTCCATCACCAAAAGGAATTTCTTCCTATTTTACTTGTCATCAGTCCCACATCTTATACCAATGCCTAGCAGAATCTAATGTATTTTTCTTTGCTATAGTACCCCCTTCAATAACTTTTTTGTTAATTTTTAACTATATCCAGACTAAAGAAAATACATGGAAATAGTACAGAGAGTTTCCATATATCTCTTACCCAGCTTTCACCAAACTTAACATATTGCATAATGTTTTACAATTATCAGAAACATTATCTACTTTGAAGACTCTATTGGAGTTTCACCAGATTTCCACTACTGTCTTTTTTTAATCTTTCAGGATCCTATTCAGAATTCCACATTGTATGTTTGCTTTCCTTTTCCTAAGCCTTTTGCAAGCTGTGATGGTTTTTGAGTATGTCCTTGTCTTTCATCCTTTGACACTTTTGAAGCACACTGATTATTGTGTTGAATGTCCCTCCAACTAGATTTTTCTAACGTTTCCACACTGTTAGACTAAGGATATGCATTTTTGTGAAGGGTTCCAGAAAAATGAGGTGTCCTTTTTAGTGCATCGTTGTCATTTTCATCGTGTTAATATGTCTCACTACTAATGACATTGATTTAAATTAGTTAAGAAAATGTCTGCCAAGATTGTCCACTCTAAAGTTATTGTCTTTCCTCTGCAAATAAGTATCTTGGGACAGATATTTTGAGGCTATGAAAACTCTATTTTCTTGTTTGCCTTTGACTTATGTTTATTTTGTTTGAAAAACTCTAGTTTAAACCTTTTATGTATGATTTAACTTAAAGTTTATTCTGACATCTGTCTCTGGATATATGCATAGAAGAGACATATCCACATTTCTGTGAGTTAAATTTCATATTAGTTCACCTTTTAGATTTTATGGCTTGACATTTTTAAAAAGTTTCAAATAGAATTTTGTATTCAGTATATTTCTCTGAGAAATGTAATATAAATTCAGATGAGCTAACCAGTTAACCAAATCAAAAATTTTATGAGATTTTTAAAAGAAATAATACACAGAAAAAAATAAATCTCAATTTAGATTTAATGTTAGTTCAAACTAAAGAACTAACCTCAAGATATGGTCTATAATTTTCTAAAAATCAATTACTATATATGGGTGTTTGTATGTTTTCAGAATAACAAATGAATTTGTTTTTAATTAAAACTATGGGTAAATTTTATACAATGCATTATTTTTAATATTCATAGCATTAACAATAGAAATATTTAAAAATAGATAGAATTTTTAATAAATAACCCTTATTAGGTTTCCTGTGAAAGGTTTTCAGACCCAGCTTCTAATTGTATTAATGAACCCCTTTCTATTAATTTCTCTCTATTTGTCTTGGATAAGTTTGGACTTTCTTAATTATTTTACTAGTTCAAAGTGAAGTTATTTTCACCTTCTCTTAGGTTACAACTTTAAAAATTATATTATTTTATATCTTTAAGTATTTTACTTTCTACTGGCCTTGCCCTCCCCAATACTTGAATGAAGCTAGAACTCACTAGCTGTGATAAAACCAGTTAAAATAACACAAGTATGTAATAACACTGTACAGGTAATAGTAGATCATATTCTCCCTATACTCATTTGTCCACTTAATAAAATAATCAGATTCCTCTCAAAGAATTTTTTGAAAATATACATTTTTTGCCTTGTGTAGTTACTCTACATAAATTCTACTGTATGAAATAGAGACAAAACAAAACAGTACATGTGAGTCACTTACTTTATTCACATTATGTTTAAATAGACAGCTTTAATTTTCTATGTCTTCCAGTTTTGATTTTATATGTCTTCTAGCTTCAGTTTTGCTTATTTTTTCATCAAAATATTAGTAATTACCATGCTTTTTCTCAGGAACTCAATGTAGAAATTAGTTTCAAGTTTCTTTGGCATTATGACTTTCAATTGTACAGAATTTGAATCTTCAAAGAATCAGTTATAAATTAACTGATTGTTTTTATGCACAAATTTATAAATTTATTTTAGCTTATGTTTTTCTTTCTAAAGTCATCTCCATTGTGTTATTTTTTAATAAAAGTGGAATCTTTTCCAACTACCTCTACTAATTATAAAAATGTCAAACTTGTTTACTTATCTATATAATGATATTCATGCCCATTTCCATATATTTTGTGTGATAATCTCTTTTTGAGTAAAAGTTTATATGCAAATCATATTCATATCTGTCACATTTTTGTAAATCACATTTTTAACTTTGTAATATGACACCTGTAAAATTATTTCTACATATGATTTTATGATTTTTACTTGTCTACTACTGCAAGCATTGTTGAGTGGTGTTCAAGATAGTAAGAAATGCAGTACCAGTACTTATTATTCAGCAGCAAATGAGTAACAAACTAAAAGGAAGATTATTTTTGTGATTTTGTATTTGTGGGCATCTATACATTTAGGATCTGCCTACTTTTCTGAGTCTGAAATAGTCTAAATCTGTGAGAGTGAAATGTTTGCTCTTAGTGTGTGTTTGGTTTTTGTAATAACTGGACATTAAATCCTTTTGATAATGCCATATGAAATAGCCTTTACTACATATGCTCTTCAGTTTTAGGAGAGATCTTCATGATGTATAGCAGATGATCTATGGCCTAGTGTCTTTAGACTTACATATGGTATTAGCACACATGAGTGATTTTCTATTTGTCATGATATAATTGATCACATAAAAATGAATCTTAGAGTGGGAGGGGTGATGAAGGATGACAAATTTCTTAATGGGTACAATGCACACTATCTAGTGATGGTTACATTAAAATCCCACACTTCACTATGACTCAATAGAACCATGTAATAAAACTGCACTTATACACCTTAAATTTTACACAAGTAAAAAAATTAAAATTACTTTCACAAATCTATGTTTGACAAATGATTCATTACTTTAGTTTTAGAAACTCTATTTTCCTCTCATTAGTAATAATTCCAAAATATATTACCTAGGATAGCTATGTTCTCAGAATGAAATTAAAGGAATAATTAAGTTAGAATAGGTCCTAATCTAGATAAAGTGAAAGTGAAAGAAAGGAAAAGAATGACAATATACTCTCTTAGCCATTATGTATCTAATTAAGATACATTTGAATATTTTTTTTCTAGTTTTCAAACTGCCTTCTAGATAGTTACCGAAATAAAACACTAACACTTGCCAATTAATGCATTCAAGAAGCATAACATCAATGCTGCAATAAAGTGGTCACAAATTTTATTTGAAAATGAAAAATTTCACAATCTAAAATTATGTTAGTTTTATGTTGAAGAAATGAGTTCACGCTTGTAACATAAAAGAAGGGAAAGCAGCATAGCCTAACAGTTGGTGAAGAGATGCTTTAGATACAAAAGCCCAAGGTAAAACCAATAGGCAGGGATTTATCTGAGATGGTGTCGGACATAGAGAAAGAAAGATGCTGCCATTAACAAAGTGATGTCATGGTAGAAATTTTTTCCTAAAGTAGGAGAGAAGATATGGAATAATTGGATGTTAGATACAGCAGGGTAGGGACAGCAAGGGTTGGGTAGGTGGAGTTTTGAGGTTACAGAAGATCAGGTCTCTATTAAGAGATTAAGTAAAGATGAGGTAGATTAGTTGGTTGGGGCTGGGTCATGCTGGACCTACACATCCAGATAGGGATTTCAATATTATTTTTAAGGCAGATGCCATGGACTGAATGTTGTTTTCCCTAATGCATATGTCGAAGCCCTATTCCCCAATGTGATGGTATTTGTTATTGGGGCCTTTGAGAGTTAACTTGGTAATGAAGATGAAAGTGGAGGCTTCAAGATGGGATTAGTGCCCTTCTAAGAAGAGACACTATAGACCTTACTTTTTTTTTCCCCACCATGGGAAGATACAGCAGGTAGTCCCTCTAGAAGACAGGAAGCAGGCTCTCACCAGACATTACATCTGCTGGAGCCTTGAACTTGGACTCCCCAGCCTCCAGAACTGTGAGAAACAAATGTTTGCTGTTTAAGGCAGCTAGTCTATAGTATTTGGCATAGCTGCTTATATTGACTAAGACAGAAGTGGAGAGCCATATTAAAGGTATAGTGGCATACAGTGACATTATAAAAACTGCTTTTCAGAAGCTTACTGCAGCCACAGTTCAGAGAATAACTAGAAGAGAAACAGAACTCGAGAATTTCCACTGTGACAAATGAATATTCCAATGTGCACATATGTCCAACTCTTATATTACAAATAAACTCATTTTAGTAAGATTATATATATTTAAACAAAGACTAGTAAGTGCAAAAGTTGCCCAAAATTTGCATGTGCAGTCTAATTAATAAAAGTAAATTATTAAGAAACTTAAGTTGCTAAAATGCTGCACTCTAGAAACATAAATAGGACTAAATAAAATGCATAAAAACATCTATGTTTTTCTGCAACTTGTGTGTTTTCCCACCAAAATCCATAAAAATATAATACCATTGCATTACTGTGAGACAAAAAAGAAACTGCTGATATGATTGAAACAGAGTAATCTGGCACTAGACAATTCCCCAGAGTAATATACATATAGCACAAGGGTTTTTGTTGTTGTTGTTTTTGATTTTCAGTAAAAATTGGCAGGAAGCAAGCCTACTTATCAAAAAAAGATTGAACATATAATTTTGCCATTAACCCATTATGAAATTTCAAAACATTACTATTGTGAACTCTCAAAAATTCAAGGATAAAACAGACATCACATTTTTATAAAACAAATTCAAAGGAATAAATCACACGTAGTATCATAGTTCTCATAAATTTTTTATAAAGATTTCAATTTTTAAAATCTAAACTTTGATGTTTAGCCAAACTTTCAATCTAACCTATATGTAAGTTAAGTAAAATTTCAGATTAGCAGATCTCACAAAGTTTATTTCACCTGTAGACACTCCTTCTGAAGAAGTTACTTGAGAATAAACTTCAGGAAATCAAGACAGTAACTTAATAAATGTGAAGACTCGACCATAGAGTATTGTTATGTACTTTGCAAGGCTGAATACAGAGTGACAGTTTTAATGTCCTGAAAAGAAGAAACAAAACCCTATCTATTTAAAATGCTATATCTAGTGAAATGTATTCAGTAATTAAATATTAATAAACAAGATAATATTAGTAACTTTATAGTGAGAAAACCTGGCAGGCACCACCTTAATCAAATGATCAAGGTTTACATCACCAAAAATGAGGCATGTGGCTAAAAGATGCAGAGACAGGCACATTTCTCCATGCAGAGATGGGCACGTGACCTTCATGGTAGTCTTCCCTCAAATCTCTAACCTCAGTCAAACTGTGGGCAAACATTTGTCAAATTCAAACTATCTACCTGTTCTCTTTAAAAGTGTCAAAGTCATGAAAAAGAAAAAAAAAGAAAAACAGAGGAACTGCTACATATCAGAAGCAACTAAGGAGGCATGACAACTAAAAGCAATGTGGGAGCATGTATTATATACTAAAAAGAAATGAAACATTTATGGAAAAGCTAGTGAAATCCAAATATATTCTGTACTTTAGTTTGTGATGTTGGAATAATGTTAATTTTAGTTGCAACCATTATAAGACGGTTATATAAGTAATAAGCATTACTAAAAGCTGTATGAATGATATATGACAACTATTCGTGTTATTTTTCTAACATTTCTTTCAGCCTAAAATTATTTCAAAATTAATCAAATAAGATAAAATAAATTAATCAATCATTGTAATAAATATTCCAAGAAACAGGCAAGATGCTCTGATGGAGAATGAATGGTGAGCGGAAGTGTTCAGGGAAGACCTTTTTGACAAGGCAATATTTAAGGTAAAATTTAGAATATGCAAAGCTCTATCAACTTGGTAGGTGAAAAACATCAGACAGAGTATAGGTACAGAAACGAGTTTGGTACAAATTAGGTTATAAGACCAGTATAGTTGAAATGTATAGAGAAAAAGAGGCTGTAGCAAGAAAATTTTGAAAAGGAAGAGAGAGAAAGGTAATGAGGTCAATATCATTTGTATTTGACTCCATGCATTAAGAAGTCACTGAAATATTTAAAGCAAGGTGAGGATGAAACATCTTTAGTACTTAGCATAGTCACTTCATTTTGAATGTGCTACAGATTATATTAAATAGTGCATTTCAGAAACCTTAATATCTGATTTTCTGGTTTCCAATTTTCTGCCCAAATTTGAATAGAAACATTTAAAAAATAACAAACATGCAAGCTATTACTGATAATCAATGGAGACTGTATGGTTTGTTTCTCCTTCATGCATAATTAATTGCCAATTATTTATGCCTTAACACATATTTATAGAGAGCCTATTATTTTGAGATACTCACTGTTTAGTAAGTGGACACTTCATAGGTGAGGAATATAGATGGGGTGCTGAAAGTTTTCTAGAATAAAATGGCTAGAATATACCACAATTAGAATGGAAATCCATACTTTCTAACTCCCAACCCACATTTGTAACTACTACATTAAATTTTATCTTAGTATAAGGGGAATAGCTTTAACTACGGTGTAATTTAACTTTTACTAAAACCACTGCATTTGAAAGTTACCAAGAAAAGCTGTTTTGTTTGTATTTTTATGGCAATCCTGTTCTGGATTTGCTTATTTAAGAAAATTGTTACCACATGTTTACCTTTGTTATCTGTTTCTGCACACTAATTGTAAAAGTAGTCTTTCTAGAATGTTAATAATTTGATATCCTCAGATATGTTTAAACATTCTATTTTGTTTCTTTTTAACATTGAGGAGCATGGAATGCTTGAATAGGAAAAGAGATTATTCTTAAGTATCATATTTAGAAGGCCCTATCATGTATAATTTTGAAACATAATAAAAATTCAATTACACGTTTATTGCAAAAACTACCACACACACACCCTGTTTGACAAAAAAATGAAGATCAGTCATTATTCCATTCCTCTTAGTTTGCCACTCTTAATACATCATAACAGTTGTTTCCGGACTGTTATACATACAATAGCAATTAATTTCTTAAAATGCGAGGGATGGAAACTGACTCACTCTAAGACCAGAATAATTAACATACTGGAAGAATGTTGGGTAGCCAAATTATTCTGATGGAAAATCAACTAACAGGACAGGAATATAGGAAATCGATAGATTTTTCTATTTTGACATGTCTTTCAGATAATTAAGCTTTTCTTCTGCTCTTCTATGTGTTTACTGAAAACTCAGATTTCTTAGTGAGAGGATCTCACTAAGGGTTATGGTGTTAATCTGCTGGCCAGGATATTATAGTCCTAGATTTGCCTGACCAGAACCAAGAGGATCAGTCAGGGGAGACTAATCAGTCAGATGTCCAAGGGAAGAATGAACATAGAAGAAAACAGATTCATACACAATCATACTTATGTTTAGCACGTTATGTGTATGCACATGTACCTCACACATATGCCCTCCACATACATATTTATTGATAGGTCCTTTAGTGAACAAATAAAAATGAAAGTATATTATGGAAACTAAATATTAAACTTATTTGGGAGTGAGTTTTGTTACTTTATGTATTTTAATTGATTTATTTATGTATTTTTTAATTCACTTCTAAAACAACTGATTTAAAAACTTGTAAATGTCCATGTTTAAATTCCAAACATATCTTAATATAAAGTTGATTGTATAATTCCATTTGATAAGTAATTATTGAAATGTTACCATGCACAAAAGAATCAACCCTGAACTTCGGGGGAAAAAACAATTTAAATTCAGAGATTGATTTGTTACTGCTTACAGTTAAATAAGGAGCCAAATAAATATTCAGAATTATAATAAAATGTTTTTTTGATTTTTATAATAAGTTGTCTTTGTGTATGTCTAGCTATATCAAATTTTGAGAAGGAGAGAATGGTTATTTGGTTACAAAAATTATTATTTTCCAGCTCCTTTTACTTCCCTTTCTCTAATAAAAAAAAAAAAGTAATGAATACAAAAAAAAAAACAGAAAGCAGGTACATCTGTAGCTTGGAGATATTGCAAGTTCGTTTCCAGACCAATGCAATAAAGCTAATATCAGAATAAAATGAAAATGAATTACACTAACTTTTTGGTGTCTTGGTGCACTAAAAGGTAGGTTTAGACTATACTGTAGTTTAGTGTTCAAAAGCATTGTGTCTAAAAAAAGTGCATAACTTAATTTAAAAATACTTCATTGATAAAAAATGTTAATCATCTGATTCTTCAGTAAGTCATAGTCTTTTGGCTGATGGAAGATTTTGCCTTGATATTGATGCCTGCTAACTGATCAGGGTGGTGGTTACTGAAGGTGAGGGTGGCTGTGGAAATTTATTATATTAAGACAAAAATTAAGTTTGCTGCATTGGTTGAATCTTCTATGAACAAAAAGATTTATCTGTAGCCGGCATCATTTTACCCACAATAGAACTTCTTTCAAATCACTGGGGCCTAACTGAGGGTGAAGGGTGGGAGGAGGGAGAGGATCAGTAACTAATAGGTACTAGGCTTAATACCTGGGTGATGCAGTAATTTCTGTCCCCAAACACCCATGACATGCAGTTTACCTATATAACAAATCTGCACATGTGCCCATAAATGTAAAAGTTAAAAAAAAATTGGAGTCAATCCTCTGAAACTCTAACACGTTTTGTCAAATAATGTTTATGTAACATTCTACATACTTTGTTGTCATTTCAACAATGTTCATAAGATTTTCACCAAGAGTGGATTCCATCTCAAGAAACCACTTTGTTTATTCACAATAAGCAATTCCTCATCTGATGAAGTCTTAGCACAAGGTTGCAGCAATTCACCTGCATCTTCAGGCTTGGTTTCTAATTCTAGTTCTCTTGCTATTTCCAGCATATCTGCAGTGACCTCTTCCGCTAAAGTCTTGAACATTTGAAAATATTTTGTGAGAGTTGATTTCAATTTCTCTTAACCTTCTGTTAATATTGATAATTCAGCCTCCTTCTGTGAATCATAAATGTTCTCCTTCCTCCCTTCTTTCCTTCCTTTCTTTTTTTTCTTTTCTCTCTCTTTTTTTTTTTTTTAGACGGAGTCTTGCTCGATCACCAGGCTGGACTCCAGTGGCATGATCTCGGCTCACTGCAACTTCCCCTTCTCGGGTTCAAGCAATTCTTCTGCCTCAGGCTCCCGAGTAGCTGGGACTACAGGCACGCGCCACCATGCCCAGCTAATTTTTGTATTTTTAGCAGAGACAGGGTTTCACCATGTTGGCCAGGGTGGTCTCGATCTCTTGACCTCGTGATCTGCCCGCCTCAGCCTCCCAAAGTGCTGGGATTACAGGAGTGAGCCACCGTGCCCAGCCAAATGTTTTTAATGGGATCTAGAATGGTGAAACTTTTCCAAAAGATTTTCAATTGACTTTGCCCAGATCCGTAAGAGGAATCAGTATCTATGGCAATCATGGCCTTATAAAATGTATTTCTTAAACAATAAGACATAAAAGTTGAAATTACCTGACCCATGGGCTGAAGAATGGATGTTGTGTTAGTAGGTATAAACACAACATGAATCCCCTTGAATATATTCATCAGAGCTCTTTGATGACCAAGCGCATTTTCATGAGAAGTAGTATTTTGAAAGAAATCTTTTGTTGAGACCTAAACAGTATTTCCCAACAATAAGCTTAATATATTCAGTGAATCATGCTGTAAATAGACGTGCTGTCATCTAGGCTTTGTTGTTTCACTTATAGAGCATACAGAGTAGATTTAGCCTAATTCTTAATGGCCCTAGGATTTTGGGAATGGTAAATGTGCATTGGCTTCAGCTTAAAGTCACCAACTGCATTATCCTGTGACAAGAACGTCAGACGTCCTTTGACACTTTGAAGCCAAACATTTGCTTCCCTCTAGCTATGAAAGTCTTAGATGACATCTTATTTCAATTTTAAGCTGTAACAACCCTCATCAATAATCATAACTATATCTTCTGGGTAACTTGCTGCAGCTTCTACATCAGAATTTGCTGCCTCACCTCGCACTTTTATGTTATGGAGAAGGCTTCTTTCCTTAAAGAACATTAACCCACTGCTACCTTCATACTTTTCTGCTGCAGCTTCCTTACCTCTCTCAGCCTTCATAGAGCTGATGAGAGAGCCTTGCTCTGGATTAGCCTTTGGTTTAAGGGATTGTTGTCGCTGGTTTAATCTTTTATACAGACCCCTCAGACTTTCTCCTTATTAGCAATATGACTGTTTAGCTTCCTTGTCATTCATGTGTTCACTGGAATAGCAATTTTAATTTCCTTCAAGAAATTTTCCTTTGCATTTGCAACTTGGCTGTCTTTCACAAGAAGCCTAGCTTTTATCCTATCTTGGCTTTCAACATGCCTTCTTCAGTAAGCTTAATCATTTCTAGATTTTGACTTAAAGTAAGAGACATGCAACTTCTATCAGTTGAACACATTGTAAGGTTGTGTATTGGCCTAATTTTAGTATCGTGTGTAATGAGAAATAGGGATGCCTAAGGAGGGAAAGAGATGGAAGAAAAGCTGTTCAATGGAGTACTCAGAACACACATTAACACTTATCATTTAAGTTCTCTAACTTCTATGGGCTCAGGTAGTAGCACCCCCAAACAATTACAATAGTAACATCAAAGATTACTCATAACAGATATATTAATAATGAAAACTGAAATATTGTGAGAATTACCAAAATGTGACACAGAGACTCAAAGTAAGCATATGCTGTTCCACAGACAGTGCTGACAGACCTGCTCAATGCAGAGTTCAGTTTGTAAAAAAAAAACACAATATCTGAAAAGTGCAATAAAGCAACACACAATAAAATGAGCTATGCCTGTATATTGAAAAGTAACTTTTCTTTTCGCTGAAAAAAGTTATCATTAATATTTATTGCTTAGTTTTATCCATCCTAGCAGTGAGTGCAAGAGGAATAAGGCAGAGTACCTGCTCTTACATTTCTCAGAATATTCAGAAACAAATGGAGTCTTAATAAAAATCTTTGCCTACAATCTTAACTCTTCACCAGCAAACTGGAACATGCAATATGTGAAAAAGAAGAAATAAGGAATAATTTCCAAACATCTGGCTTGGGTGACTATGTGAGTAGCAAAATTATTAAGCAAAAATTGAAAATCAGTGGAGGCCAATATAGAAAAGATATTGAGGTTATTTTGGAACACGTTGATGGTGACATGTATGAGGCATATCCAAGTGGAGATATCCAGTATATTCTTGTGTGTGTGTGTGTGTGTGTGTCTGTGTATATACAGTTTGCTCACTTTATGAAAAATTATATATACACACATATGTGTATATAGTATATGTATATATGTATACATAGGTATATGCATGTATATATATGTATAAGTATATGTATATATACATATATGTGTAAAAATATATATTTATATATAGATATACTTTGCTAATTTTATGAAAAAAGAAACACTAATAAATGAGTCACAACTATTTAAAACAAAATTCTCCATTGCTATTTTAATGAAAAAATTTGTATTG
This sequence comes from Homo sapiens, assembly GCF_000001405.40. NCBI lineage: Eukaryota > Metazoa > Chordata > Mammalia > Primates > Hominidae > Homo > Homo sapiens. Next base: position 41,003,002 of record NC_000014.9, on the reverse strand, counting down.
ATTATTTTAAAATTGCTTTAATCAATCAATCATTATGGTTATATTTTACCTGGACATTGACATATAACATAAAGAAATATTACATATTCAAAAATATTTTGCATTAAAGGGCGTGACAACATTTTGCCTAAAGCCTAAGATTACTTTGAACGATGTGCTGTAATAAACAAAAAGGTATCTCCATCACTGCAATCAATTTGCTTAGGATTATTTAACTTCAAGTCTATAATTATTTATTTATGTACTTCTTTCTTTATGTAATGTTTGTGTACACCCATGGATATCTATGTGTGGATATTATAAAACAGAAAGTCAATGGCATTTACAATATATGATGTATTTTATATATATATATATACACACACACACATACACACATATACATAATACATGCACATACATTTTAAAATAATCTAATAAATTTATATTCACAAGTATATTCTTACTTTTTTATGTTTGGTATTTTCAAGGATGTGTCTCATTAGAATTCAATGCTCCTCTATCCATGTCTTTAATTTCAAGCAACCCTGAGGCTGACAGAGGAAAACAAAATGTAGAAAAGGAGAGCAATAAAAGAAAGAGCATTCATCTTACTGGAAAATTGGGAGGACTCAAGAAATGGTCTTGAAGCTAGGTTTCTAGGAATCATGCCTAAATCTACTTTGAATAATTGGCAGGAGATCTCTTAATGCCTTTTTCACTGCCATGTGAATGCAGTGGCCAGGAAGCTACAGTAGTGTGTATACTGCACCCACGAATATGATCTTCAGCAGCTCCTACTGTCACAAACCACCAAGCCATTTCTGCATTATGGATGCAAACTTGCAAACACCAATGCTTCTAAAATTGGGGTGTTTGTATTGCTATCTTCCTCTTGCACTGTTTCTGCTTCTTCACATTGTTTAAGGTGATATGACTGTCTTTCACAAAAGGCCTAGTCAATCAACTGCTAGTGTGTATGTAGCAAACAAGCCTACAAGTGTAAATGTTTAGCTTTTACGTTGGGGAGATAATCTGGAGATTTTCCAGAACTATAGAAATATGTTCAAAAATGACTGGGCAGTGAGACAAAATAATGATACTGATTTACTCTGTTAGGCAGTGGGAGAATCAGTATTTACCCCACTGCAGGTTGAAAAGTTGCTCAACCCACTGTTCTGTGATAAAACAACAACAACAACAACAACAACAAAACACAAACAAACAAAGCAGTCAAAGTCTCTTTCTACATTGGAATGCAGATCACATAGTCAAGGACACCAGAATTTACAGGAAGTGTTATTAAAAAAAACTAAAACAGGCCGGGCACGGTGGCTCACGCCTGTAATCCCAGCACTTTGGGAGGCCAAGGAAGGCGGATCAGGAGGTCAGGAGATCAAGACCATCCTGGCTAACGTGATGAAACCCCGTCTCTACTAAAAATACAAAAAAAATTAGCTGGGCACGGTGGCGGGCGCCTGTAGTCCCAGCATCTCAGGAGGCTGAGGCAGGAGAATGGTGTGAACCCGGGAGGCGGAGCTTGCAGTGAGCCGAGATTGTGCCGTTACTCCAGGCTGTGCGACAGAGCGAGACTCTGTCTCAAAAAAACCCAAAAAAACCAAAAAACTAAAACAAAAAAAAGGCGAAAAAATGAAAATGTTAATTTGATTTTGCTGACTTTGTGCAACTGTTGGAAAAGTCTTGGAAGAGATGAATTAAAAGACTAAAAGCTGCTTTGCTGAGGGAGGGCCTCTCTACTTGCAGCCTGAAATCTAAATTGTGTGAAAGTTCTTCTGCTCAGAACTTTTCCAGACTCAAAAAGCCACATGCTCTGTATGTGCTGATGCTATTAGATGTAGAGAATGTCAAGTGGCAGCTTTTACCTATCTACAACTAGGAGTTCAGAATGTTCTAAGCACCATCCATTAAGCTCGTTCTGCCAAATAAAATGGTGGAGAGAAGCTAGTATATTGCAGTGAAAAAGTAGAATGGTGTGGTCAAAGCAGCGGCCATTAACTTGTGAACTAACACATAGGCATAACTCAGAACACAAACTATTAGTCTTCAGACTAAAAGGCTCTGTTGATGTAATCTGTTGGCTGTGTTTCGAAAAAAGTGCAAATGATAAGAACATAATAGGTTATAAACTTTTAAAAGTCTTGAGACAGTTATTTTGTCAACATGAAATTGTTCAATCCCTAAAGCTATTTCTAAGACCCCAATTTCCACGAACTCAAAATGGGCTCTAAGTCTGTGCAGCCTGACAGAAGAGTATCCTTCCCAGCGATCCATTCAGAAGGGACAATCATTGTAATACCTAAGTCGGATTCTTCTAAAGGCAAAACTAAGGTTTTTATATTGGCCAAAATAGCAGGTTTTCCTCACATACACATTCACTAAAATTGACTTGTGCTAGAGATAAGTGATTCTTCAGGGTTTCCCCTTAGCCCCTTATGAATGAAAACCTTGTTTCTTCTTCCTTTGCTACCACTGTACACTGTGTGAGTCATCTGAAGATAAATTGTATTTTTAGATTATAGGCTGCCAGATCCTTAGAAACAACATCCAAATTTGTGACAAGACAACATCAAATTTCGGGCCATATAGAGTAACTGGATGATACTTAAGGTCAATCTTATGCAGAAAAGAAGTGAAATGTTCTATTTAAGGGGGCAGTGAATGTAGATAATGGATACTAATAGAAGTCTTTGGCCTGCACCATGGGCTGCTGACAAAACACTTAAGTATGTATTCTGCTAGCTTCATTCTAACAAAGCATCAGCCCATGTCACATAGTTTAGGTAGGAAGCAATTGGGAATCCTTGAGAAAAGGGTATATATTGAATTGATAAAGCATTTCCTGTTTTCATTGCTACCTTTTTCCTGCACAAAACGTGGTTATACTTCAAAGACTCGGCTGCCGTCTTAAACACATGAAATGGAATATATGAGCATGAAATAAGGCAGAGGGGAAACAGAGAATTTTACTTTCAATTTTACAGACAAATCTTTATCAATTTCAGCCACTGCACAAAGCCATTTCTATAATAACTAACACTGTCTCCCAGAGTGAAATGTTACTTATTTGTGTTATTTATAGATACAATATGAGAATATTCAAAAGTATTTTAGAAAACAGATATCATCTAAATTATAAAAAATCCCTAAGCAAACAAAATGAAAGTAAATATTATCAAGTAGTTTAAAAATAAAAAAGATTTTATTCCTTTTTATAAGAGTAACCATTATTTCACTGGTTTTTAAATGTTAGGGTCTTTTAGAATCACATGGACATCTTGTTTAAATGATTATTAAATGGATACAAAAGCAGGTGAGCCTAGGAGTAAACATTTTATCAAAGACTATTGATAATTTTGATGTCGAATTTTTATAAACCTGATGTTCCACTATTCATATTTTTCGGAAAGAAACAACATACTGGTTGGAAGGACAATTTTTGAGCCAAACTACCTGAGACTAAATCCTATGGCTACTACTATGAGCTAGGTGGCCAGGAGCAAATGGTAAAAGTTTTTTGCCTCAAATTCTCATGTATAAAATGCACATGTTCATACATCTACCTCATAGGACAGTTGCAAAGAATAAATATAAAGAATGTACAAGATTCCCTGGGATGTGGCACATATTACGTAAATATGACACATAATCATAAAGCAGTCAGGTCTATTATTGAGTGAAGACAGAAAATGAAATAGATTGATTTTGTTCATAAAAAGAACTAATAAATGTGAAAAACGTTGTGCATTTGAGACCAAGAACCATTTAGAACATAAGATAAACGCAATAATTAGCCTTATTAGCAGTGCTATAGGCTGTTGTCTAACAAATGTAAAATAGGGGAACAATATGCTAAGTCAAGTACATGCTGACTGGTAATTTTGATGTAAAACTTAGATAAAATTTAGAACCTACACTTAATCATATTAACAAGAGGGCTTAATTTTAAATTGAAGTGTTGATGATTTCATGAGGCAGAACATTTTAATTACTAACTGGACAATTTAATATTATCTGAAAGTAAAACAGTACAGATGCTTATTAAGTTTTGGGGATGGTATAATTTAAATAAAATTGTCTAATTACCTATAGATTTGAAGCCAAAGAATATGCAGGTTTATTCAAATCAAAAAGGTAACAGACCCCAAAATTTCTTGTTAAATTTGGCTTTGCTCTTTCTTGACTTCAGAACATCTTAAAGCCTGATCTTTTCCCACGAAGTATTTTCATGGGATTTTCTAAGCCATCCCCTCACCATTTTAAGATTGCCTTTGAGGATTTCACATGTGCAGGGCTTTTAGTTTTTATTTGCTTGCTTTTGTTTTTGTTTCAATCGTCTTTTGGAGGGAAACTTTGATGCATCCTTCTCCCTGACAGACTCCAGCATGCAGCTTTTGACGAATTCAAGCCCGATACTCTATTGCCATAGTCCATTCCAGGCATCTTCTGACCTTCTTAGCTGCGTTTCAAATGCAAGTACAAATTACAAGAGAGTCTTAATAATCTCTCTGTTTGATCTCCCAAAATCCACATTATTGTCAGTATTAAAGAATACTAAGAAACCTATAAAACTTTCATAAATTGATAAGTGAATTTCAGACAGCGGTAGGATACAAGATCAATTTACTAAAACCAATTATATATTTACTACTACTAATAATAATTATTGCTTACTACTAGTAATAATAATTTGAAATAATCACATTGAAGTAACGTTACATTACTATGTAACATTAATGTCAAAATTTGTAAATATTTTAAAGCAAATGCCACAAAAACCTGACAGATTCCTACAGTGTAAACAAGGCATAACTCATTGAAATTAAACAAGCTTTAAATTAATGAAAAGAAATGTTATACTCATGTATTGGAAAAGCTAACATTTGAAAGATGTCAACTTCTCAAAATTTGTCTAGAGTCAAAATAATCTTAATTAAAACTCCATATGCCATTTTGTAGAGGTTAACAAGTTAATTCTACAATTTATATGAAAATGCAAAGAATCTAAAGTAATAAAAGCAACTATGAAGTAGATGAACAAATTTGGGAAACATATACCATCTGATTTAAAGGAGTATTATAGAGTAATAGCACACAGGAGAGAGTAAAATTGGAAGAAAAATAGAGACAGAAATCAATGAAATGGAATAAAGATTCTGGAAATAAAGTCTCACATATTTGGCCAAGTGATTCTTGGCAGAAGCATAAAGCTAATTTAAGGGAGAAAAAGGAAAGTTTTTTTCAAAAAGTAAATATTTTAAACAAATAGTAAGGTACCACTGGATATCTGTACGAGAAAAATGTACTTCAACCCCTATGTTACCCCAAACCCCCCAAAGAATTCAAAATTAGTCACAAGTCACAGTGTAAAAGGAATCCTATAAGTCTTCAAGAATAACAATGAATCTTCACAAACCTAAGGCAAAAATTATTAGAGAGATCACAGGAGCACTAATTACCAAAAACAACAAAACCAAAACAAAAAAGGTACATTACACTGCTTTACAAAAGAATTTTAACATTACTCTTTAAAAAGACAATGATTGAAAAACGCAAAACAGAAAACAAAATATGACCTACACACTAGCAGAAAATATTTACAGTACTTATATCTGACTAAGGACTTGAATATAGAATATATGAAATTATATCTGACTAAGGACGTAAACATAGAATATATGAAAATCTTTTATGACTCAGTAATGTGAGAAAAAATATCTTATTTTTTAAATGGGCAAAAGTTTGAGAGAGACACTTCAAAAATGACAGCTGATAATCATATGAAAAGATGCTCAATTAAAGAAATACAATTTAAAACCACAATGAGGTGCCAATGTACATGTATTAGAATGGCTATAATTAAGAAAGGTTTGATCTGGTGCAGTGGCTCACACCTATAGTCCCAGGTATTTGGGAGGCTGAGGCAGAAGGATCCCTTGAGACCAGGAGTTTGAGACAACCCTGGGCAGTATTTTGAGACCCCATCTCTTAAAAAACAAATTGGAACAGTAGGAATTTGCCTGTTTTGTACAAATTTTAATGGGACTTAAATTTCCACAGCTGCTTAAAAAATTAAAAATACAGTTACAAAAACCCCTCAGTTTTACCCAATACAAATAAAATTACATGGCCACCAATAATTTCACATATACATTCATAGTATCTATATTCATAATGATTAAAATGGAAAATAAACCATATGTTTATCAACATTTATACAAATAAAAAGATGTAGTATACTATTCAGCAATATAAAGGAAAAAGTTATGCATGCAAAAACATGAAAAAAATCTCAAAAGCATTATGCTAACCAAAAGAAAATAAGAATAAAAGAAAACACGCTTTATGATTTCATTAATATGAATTTCTAGGACAGTTAAGCTAATCTATAATAGCATAAATGAAATCTATGCTGGGCCCTGGTGAGGGCATAATGGTGGAATGAGTATATTGAAGCATGAGGGAATGAAAGAAAAGGTTTTTAATCTTGATTTGTGTGGTGACTATACATGTATGCTTATTTGCCAAAACTCAGAAAACGACATTTTAAAAACATTTTTATTGTACATAAAATATACCTTTATAGAGTTGATTTTCTCAAAGTGGCATGCATAGAATAATAATTTTCTTTCAAGCATCTCTAAATAAGTATACCATGTATTGAGGCACTATTATCTTTCAGCAGTGTCTTAAGAAGGAATACTACGTCCTGAATTTACATTTTAGAGGGACAATCAGTAAATTCACATAAAAATTAGATGAAGTGTGGTGGTGGTTTGATAGAGTTCTATTTCCTGAGACAGCAGAAAGCCTTAAGCTGCATGAGATGAAAAGGTTTTTATAAGATCCTGTGTATAATAGAATTATTTGTGACTGCCTTTTCAGAGATCAACAGTAAATAAGGGAGAAGACAACTACAGAGACTAAGGAATAATATGAATGTGTACAAAGGAACAGAGTTTTAGATTCATGGCATACCTAGGAAACTAAAAGAATTCATTACAGTTTGCAGAAGCAGGGAACTTTGAATGCTGAAAGAGCTGTAGGAAAGCTATACAACTGTTTTCAAAGGAACTAACATCGTATATATATATATATATTTATATATACCATTTTCCTTCTACATCTTCTATGTATGTAATATGTATGTATATATATAAAATATGTAAAAGGAGAGTGGAATATATTATAGAAAATAAAATCTCCAGTTAATAGAGAAAAAAAAGTTGACAAAAATTATTTGATACTCTCACATAATATAAAAACATTGACTCTATAAAACACAGTTCCTAGACAACTCCTGGTGCTAGACTGGGCCTAGAGCCAGTGAACAAGGGTGGCATGTGACCTAGGGATACACCAACTGGCGTGGATAAAAGAGGGCTTGTGTTATCCCTCCCCTAGCCACAGGCAGTGCAGGTTGTAGCAAGAGAAGTGACTCCTTCTTTCTGCTTAAGAAGGAGTGATTGAAGAGTAAAGAGTACTTTGTCTTTCATCTTGAATACCAGCTCATAGTAGAAGAGGGCACCAGGCAGAGTGGTGAGACCCCCAGTCCAGGCTGAGGTGACATTTCTCCCAGGTGACATTTCTAGACAGACCTGAGCCAAAAAAAAAATACCTGCTACCCTGAAGGGAAGGACCCCATCCTGTCCCGATTCATCATGAGCTGAATTAAGAGCCCTTAGTTCCTGATTTACCACCAGCATTACCCAGGGAGTATGGCATAGGCCTTGGGCTCTGTGACATGCTGATTTCAGGGGAAACTAAGCACATTCCTGGCTGTGGTGGCTATGGTGAAATATTTATTGTTTGAGAAAAGCAGAGGGAAAAGTAAAGGGGACTTTGTCTTGCACCCCTCAGCTCAGCCACAATAAAGTAGAGTAATAAGTAGAATCTTGGGGTCCTTGAGTTTAGGAGTAGGCAGTACTGGACCTTCACTGGGACAGAAAGAATCCCATTTCTCTAAAGGATGAGGCCCAGGCCTGGCAGCATTCGCCACAAGCTGACAGAAGAACCCTTGGGCTTTAAGTAAATATAGTGTTGGACTGGCAGAACACCCCATGGACCAGTGGTAGCAATGGCCACAGGGAGATGACCTTCTCCCTGGGGTAAGGGGAAGGAAGAGTGGGAAGGACTTTCTATTGTGATTTGAGTGTCAGTTTAGCCACAGTAGAATAGAACATCAGGTAAATTGGTAAGGTTTGTGAATTCAATCCATGTCTCTCAAACAGCATATCTGGACACGTGCAGGACCTGGGGGATCTCACCACCCTGAAGGTAAAGGCCTTGGGCATGGCTCAGTGCTATACTGGCTTCAGGTCTGACCTAGTTCAGTTGCAGTTGTAGTGGCTACAGGAGTGCTTACATCACCACAACCCACTTCTCAGGTGGCTCACCACTGAGTGAGAGAGAGAGACCACATGTTTGGGAGAAAGTAAGGGATAAGAAAAAGCATCTCTGCATGGTAATCCAGAGAATTCTTCCAGATCTTATTCAAGACCACCAAGGCAGTACCTCTAGGAGTCTGCCAGATAACATTATTGATGCTGGGGCTGAAGTCCTTTTAAATCTTTGAAAGTCTTCCTACAAAGAAAAGACATAAATAAGCTCATACTGTGGAGACTACAATAAATACCTAACACGTCAATGCCCAGACAAGAAAGAACATCTACAAGTAACACCAACATAAGGAAAACATGACCTCACCAAATGAACTAAGTAAGGCACCAGGGACCAATCTTGGAAAAACAGAGATATATGACCTTTCAGACAGAGAATTAAAAATAGCTGTTTTGAGAAAACTCAAAGAAATTCAAGACAATACAAAGGAATTAAGAAATCTATCAGATAAATTTAACAAAAAATTAAAATAATTTAAAAGAATTACGGAAAATTCCGGAGTTAAAAAAATGTAATTGACATGTTGACAAATGCATTAAAGTTTCTTTATAGCAGAATTGATCAAGCAGAAGAATTAACTAGTGAGCTACAACACAGGCTATTTGAAGATACAGTCACAGGAGACAAAAGAAAAAACTGAAACAATGAAGCATGCCTACAAGATAAAATAAATATCCTAAAAAGAGTAAATCTCTCAATTTGTTTTTGTTTTGGTTCTTGAGAGGGAGTCTCGCTCTGTCACGCAGGCTGGAGTACAGTGGCGTGATCTCGGCTCACTGTCACCTCTGCCTCCTAGGTTCACGCAATTCTCCTGTCTCAACCTCCCTAGTAGCTGGGATGGCAAGTGAGCACCACCATGTCTGGCTAAATTTTTTGTAATTTTAGTAGAGACAGGGTTTCACAATGTTGGCCGGGTTAGTCTTGAACTCCTGACCTCAGGCCTCCCAAAGTGCTGGGATTATAGGCAGGACCCACCATGCCTGGCATAAAAAGAGTAAATCTAACAGTGATTGGCCTTAAAGAGGAGGTAGAGAATGAGATGAGGGTAGAAAGTTTATCCAAAGGGAGAATATGAAAGAACATCCCAAACCCAGAGAAAGATATTAACATTCAAGTATGAGAAAATTATAGAACACCAAGTAAATTTTAACATTCAAGTATGAGAAAATGATAGAACACTAAGCATATTTAAGCTAAATAAGATTACCTCATGCCTTTAATAATCAAACACCCAAGGATCAAGGAAAACAAAAAAGAAAGAAAGAAAGAAGGAAAGAAAGAAAGAGAAAGAAAGAAAGAAAGAAAAGAAAAGAAAAGAAAAGAAAAGAAAAGAAAAGAAAAGAAAAGAAAAGAAAAGAAAAGAAAGATTGATTTTAGGTCTTATGTTTAAGTCTTTAATTTGCCTTGAGTTACTTTTTGTATAAGGTGTAAGGAGGGGGTCCAGTTTCAGTTTTCTGCATATGGGTAGCCAGTTTTCCCAACACCATTTATTAAACTGAGAATCCTTTCCCCATTGCTTGTTTTTGTCAGGTTTGTCAAAGATCAGATGGTTGTAGATGTGTGGTGTTATTTCTGAGGCCACTGTTCTGCTCCATTGGTCTATATATCTGTTTTGGTACCAGTACCATGCTGTGTTCGTTACTGTAGCCTTGTAGCATAGTTTGAAGTCAGGTAGCGTGACGCCTCCAGCTTTGCTCGTTTTGCCTAGGATTTCTTCTAGATTTTCTAGTTTATTTGCATAGAGGTGTTTATAGTATACTCTGATGGTAGATTGTATTTCTGTGGGATCAGTGGTGATATCCCCTTTATTGTTTTTTATTGTGTCTATTTGATGCTTCTTTTTCTTCTTTTTTATTAGCCTGGCCAGCAGTCTATCTATTTTTGTTAATCTTTTAAAAAAAACCAGCTCCTGGATTCATTAATTTCTTGAGGGTTTTTTGTGTCTCTATCTGCCTCATTTCTGCTCTGATCTTACTTATTTCTTATCTTCGGCTAGCTTTTGAATTTGTCTGCTCTTTCTTCTCTAGTTCTTTTAATTGTGATGTTTGGGTGTCGATTTTAGATCTTTCCTGCTTACTCCTGTGGGCATTTAGTGCTACAAATTTCCCTCTTAACACTGCTTTAGTTGTGTCCCAGAGATTCTGGTACATTTTGTCTTTTTTCTTATTGGTTTCAAAGAATGTATTTATTTCTCCCTTAATTTCATTTTTTACCCAGTAGTTATTCAGGAGCAGGTTGTTCAGTTTCCATGTAGTTGTGCGGTTTTGAGTGAATTTCTTAATCCTGAGTTCTAATTTGATTGCACTGTGGTCTGAGAGACTTTTAGTTATGATTTCCCTTCTTTTGCATGTGCTGAGGAGTGTTTCACTTCCAAGCATATGTTAAATTTTAGACTAAGTGTGATGTAGTGCTGAAAAGAATGTATATTCTGTTGATTTAGGGTGGAGAATTCTGTAAATGCCTATTAGGTCCGCTTGGTCCAGAGCTGAGTTCAAGTCCTGAATATACTTGTTAGGCAATACCACTCAGGACGTAGGCATGGGCAAAACCTTTATAACTAAAACATCAAAAGCAATGGCAGCAAAAACCAAAATTGACCACTGGATCTAATTAAACCAAAGCACTTCTACAAAGCAAAAGAAATTATCCTCAAAGTGAGCAGGAAACCTACAGAATGGGAGAAAATTTTCACAATCTATTCATCAGACAAAAGGATAATATCCAGAATCTATACAAAAACAAATTTACAAGAAACAAGCAAACAACTCCATCAAAAAGTGGGCAAAGGCTATGAACAGACACTTCTCAAAAGAAGATATTTATGCGGCCAACAAACATGAAAAAAAGCCCATCATCACTGGCCATTAGAGAAATGCAAATCAAAACCACATTCTCACGCCAGTTAGAATGGCAATCATTAAAAAGTCAGGAAATAACGGCTGCTGGAGAGGATGTGGAGAAATAGGAACATTTTTACACTGTTGGTGGGAGTGTAAATTAGTTCAACCATTGTGGAAGACAGTGTGGCGATTCCTCAAGGATCTAGAACCAGAAATATCATTTGACCTACCAATCCCATTACTGGGTATATACGCAAAGGTTTATAAATTATTCTACTATAAAGACACATGCACACATATGTTTACTGCAGCACTGTTCACAATAGCAAAAACTTGGGTCAAACCCAAATGCCTATCAATAATAGACTGGATTAAAAAAATGTGGCACATATACACCATGGAATACTATGCAGCCATAAAAAGGATGAGTTCATGTCTTTTGCAGGGACATGAATGAAGCTGGAAACCATTATTTTCAGCAAACTAACACAGGAACAGAAAAACAAACACTGCATGTTCTCACTCATAAGTGGAAATTGAACAATGAGAACACATGGGCAGAGGGAGGGGATCATCATACACAGGGGCCTGTTGTGGGGTGTGGCCTAGGGGAGGGATAGCAATAGGAGAAATGCCTAATGCAGGTGGCAGGTTGATGGATGCAGTAAACCACCATAGAACGTGTACACCTATGTAACAAACCTGCACCTTCTGTACATGTATCCCAGAGCTTAAAGTATAATAATAAAAAAAGAATCAATGTAATAACCATTCTAATAGTTGGGTCAAAATTTAAATAATTTTATAAGTTTTGTGTAAAAATATAATTAGGATATAATTAAGATCACTTTAGCTCATGTCTATGTTAAAATAAGTTAGCAAAAATGAAAAGCATATTGTAATACAAAATCAGGTTAATATATATCATGTGAAAAATCAAAGAATGTTATGAATTCAAAATTAAGTCTGTACTGAAAAGCCTTCAGATTTCTAAGAAAGATTTAAAAATACATGGAAAAGAAAGAAGAAAGAAAAGAAAGAAAAAGAAAGAAAGAAAGAAAGAAAGAAAGAAAGAAAGAAAAAAACAAGAAAGAAACTCCAATACTCAGAGTAGGCTTTTCAGTGAAAACCTTATAGGCCAGGAGAGAATGGCATGACATATTTAAAGCACTGAAAGAGAAAAACTTTTACTATAGACTAATATATTCAGTGAAAATATCCTTTAAGCTTGGAGGAGAAATAAATACCTTCTCAGAAAGACAAAAGCTAAGGGATTTAATCAACTTCAGGCCCTTCCTGCAAGAAATGCTACAGTGAGTTTTACAATCAAAAAGAGCAGGATATTAATGAGCAAGTACAAATCACCTGAAGATATAAAACTCACTGGTCATATAATAGTAAGCACACGAAAAACATATTTATATGACACTGTATTTGTGATGTGTAAACTTGTCTTGACTTAAGTAGAAAGACTAAATGATGAACCAATCCAAATAATAACTTTAACAACTTTTCAAGACATAGTCAATACAGTAAGACATAAGGAGAAATAACAAAAAGTTAAAGAGGGGGATTAAAGTGTAATTGTAGGGATTTTATTAGGTTTTTATTTTCCTGGTTGTTTATGAAATCAGTATTGTTTTCATCACCTTAAAATAATTGATTATAAGATAGTATTTATAAACTTCATAGTAACCTCAAATCAAAAAACATACAATGAATACACAGAAATGCTAAAAAATTAAAGCATACCAACATAGAAAATCTCCTTCACTAAAAGGAAGACAGGAAGGAAGGAAAGAAGGAGGAGATGGCAAAACAACTAGAAAACAAATGACAAAAAGGGAGAAGTAAGTCCCTATTATAAATAATAATGCTGAATATAAAGGGACTAAACTCTCTAATCAAAATACACAGAGTAGCTTAATGAATGAAAAAACAAGACTCAATGATCTGTTGCCTACAAGAAACACACTTGACCTATAAAGATACACATAGACTGCAAATAAATGGAGAGACAAAGGTATTTTATGTCATTGGAAACCAAAAAAAAAAAAAGAGAAGAAATGACTATATTTATATCAGATAAAATAGATTTTAAGAAAAGTAAGAAGAAACAAAGACACCTATTATATAATGATAAAAGAATCAATTCAGCAATAGAATATAACAATTGTAATTACCTATGCACCCATCATTAGAGTGCTCAGATATATAAAGCAAATATTAGAGCTAAAGAGAGAGATAAACTCCAAGACAGTAATATCAGGAGGCTTCAATACCCCACTTTCAGCACTGGACAGATCTTCCAGAGAGAGAACCAACAAAGAAACCTCAGACTTAATCTGCACTGTAGGCCAGATGGATCTAAGACATATTTACAGAATATTTTAGCCAATGGCTGCAGAATACACATTTTTCTCCTCAGCACGTGGATCATTCTCAAGAATAGGCTATATATTTGGTCACAAAACAAGTCTTAAAATATTCAAAGATTTGAAATAATATAAAACATCTTCTTTGACCAAAATAAAGTAAAATTGCAAATCAACAACAAGAGGAATATTGGAAACTATACAAATACATGAAAATTAAATGGTATGCTTCTGAACAACCAACTGGTTAATGAAGAAAATAAAGAGGAAATTGAAAAATTTCTTAAAATAAGTGATAAGGAAAACATAACTTACCAAAATCTATGGGATAAAACAAAAGCAGAAATAAGAGGAAAACTTACAGCCATAAGTGCCTACATCAAAAAAAGAACTTCCAATAAATAACCTAATTATGCTTCTTAAAGGATTGAAAAAGCAAGAGCAAATTAAACCTAAATTTAGTAGAAGAAAAGAAATAATAAAGATCATCACAGAAATAAATGAATTTGAAATGAAGAGAACAGTAGAAAAGATGAATGAAATGAAAAATTGAATTTTTGGAAAGATAAACAGAATTGACAAATCTTTAGCCAGACTAAGAAAAAATGAGAGAAGACCCATATAAAAATAATCAGAGATGAAAAAGGAGACATTACCTTTGACACTGCAGAAATTCAAAGTAACATTAGAGACTACTATGAGCAACTATACGCCAATAAATTGGAAAATCTATAAGAAGTGAATAAATTACTAGACACACAAAACATGACAAAATTGAACCATAAAGAAATCCAAAACCTGTACAGACCAATAACAAGTAATGAGATCAAAGCCATAATAAAAAAAAAAATAGTGTCCCAGTAAAGAAAGCCCAGAACCTGATGGCTTCACTCTGGATTCTACCAAACTTTCAAAGACGAGCCAATACCAATTTTACTCAAACTATTCTGAAAATTGGAGGAAGAGGGAATACTCCCAAACTTATTCTATGATGCCAGTATTACCTTTATACCAAAACCAAAGACACACACACACACAAAAGAAAATTCCACACCATTATCTCTGATGAATATTGATGCAAAAATCCTCAACAAAATACTGGCAAAATGAATTCGACAATACATTAGAACAGAGACCCCCAACACCTGGGCCATGAACTGGTACCAGTCCATGGCCTATTAGGAACCAGGCCATACAGAAGGAGCTGAGCAGCAGGCAAGCAAGTGAAGCTGTTTGTATTTACAGCTGTGCCCTGTCACTTTGCATTCCCGCCTGAGTACCACCTCCTGTCAGATCAATGGCATCATTAGATTCTCATAGGAGCATGCACCCTATTGTGAATGGCAAGGGATCTAAGTTGCGAGCTCCTTAGAAGACTCTAATGCCTGATGTTCTCAGGTGGAGCTGAGGCAGTGATGCTAGTGCTGTGGAGCAGCTGCAAATACAAATTAACTTTAGCAGAGAGGTTTGACTGCAAGGAGACCATAGTAAATTAATTTCTTACAGACTCAAATCAAAACTCTATCAGTGGGTAGCAAGTGACAAGCTGCATTTAGTAGCAGGCTTTATATTGGTAAGTGAATTGATGTACTTCAATTGTACAGCTGTATCCGGTGGTAGGCTTTAAGTCAGAATCTGACTCATTTTATTTACGTATAGTGCAACCATTATTTTATTTACTACTTCCAGATGTGTCTCTTTCCTGCATTGTACACTTGTCTGAGTCACAGTTTTGGTAAGTTCACAAGGCAACCCTAGCCAAAGTGAGTAAAAAACAGATGCCACTTGAGAGCTTCTTTGGACAGGGCAAAAGACACAATGATGAGATAGCAGAATACTTTAAAACCGCCAACAAAAAGAAAGCTGTGTTTAAAAGGAAATACTGAGTCCTACTTAAATTATGGGTTCATAGTAACAGGTGATTCACATTCTGTAAGCCCACTTTGTTTAATATGTGGTGACCTGCTATCAAATGAGGCCTTGAAACCTTCAAAACTGCTTTACCACATGGAGACAAAGCACCTTGTATTGAAAGATAATGCTTTGATGTTTTTCAAAAGAAAAAAAAAACATGAGAACAAAAAAACAGAAGGAATTATCAAAGGTTATCGCTTCATCAAATTTGTCTGCACTGAGAACATCATTCTTAGCGGCTAACCTAATTTCTAAAGCTAAGAAGCCCATTACTATTGGTGAAGTGTTAATCCTGCCTGTGCTAAGGACATTTGCGGTGAACTGCTGGGGGAGGCTGCAGTTCAAAAGGTGGCTCATGTTTCTCTTTTGGCTGGCACCATAAGTAGATGAATTGATGAAATAGCAGAGGACATTGAAGCACAATTGTTAGAGAGGATTAATGAGTCGCTGTGGTATGCAATCTAGGTTGACAAGTCTACTGATGTTGACAACAAGGCAACAATGCTTGTTTTTATAAGGTACATTTTCCAGGATGATGAGCATGCAGATATGTTATGTACACCAGTTACCAACCAATGCCACAGCTGCAGAACTATTCAAATTTTTGCATGATTACATATCAGGAAAACTGCATTGGTAATTTTATGCCCATATATGCACAGACCTAGCAGCTGCCAAGATTGGACAGCTTTCTGGTTTCTCTAGTTGGGTCAAAAAGATTGCTTCTTAATGTGAGTTTACAGACCATGTCATCCATAGAGAAATGCTGGCTAGCCAAAAAATGTCACCTGAACTTAACAACATTTTGCAGGATGTGATTAAAATTATCAACCAATTAAGGTACATGCCCTTAACTCATCTGTTCATGCATCTCTGTAAGGAGATGGATGCAGATTATACATGTATTCTCTTATATACAGAAGTGAGATAGATTTCTAAAGGTATTTCACTGGACAGAATTTTTGAGTTGTAAAAGCCACTCTAGAGATTTCTTTTACAAAAACAGTCACCACTGGTAGTACATTTCAGTGACACAGAATGGGTTGCAATACTTGCTTACTTATGTGACATATTCAACGTGCTCAATGAACTCAATCTGTCACTTTGAGGGAGAACAGTAACTGTGAGTGGAATTATGGGGACAACTAGTGAACACTCGTATTTTTGACATGTTTAAATATTAGCAGAGATTTTGAAAGAGACTGAGCCAGGGCCTTCTTTCTTGCAGCTGGTGCATGATCACCTATCTCAGCTTTCAAAAGAGTTTGAGCATTACTTTCCAACACAAACGCCCCCAGAACTGGCAAACAATGGATCCACAACCCATTTGTGAATAAGCCAGGTAAATGGGCTTTATCCAAGCTGGAAGAGGATCAACTGCTTGAGATTGCAAATTATGATGACCTTAAAAGTATGTATGAGACAACTTTAAATCTCCATTCATTCTATATTAGAGTCAAGGTAAAATATCCTGAGATTTTCACAAAAGCATTGAAAAGCCACCTCCATTTCCAACATCCCATTTTTGTGAAGCAGGGTTTTATGCAGTGACAGCAACCAAAACAAGATTGTGGAGTAGACTGGACACAAGCAAACACTTCGGGTGTCACTATCTCCCATCACCCCTAGATTAGACCCTCTTGTTGCAGGAAAACAAGCTTAGAGCCCCCACTGATTCTACATTTTGGTGTATTGCGTAATTGTTTCATTATATATTAGAATGTAACAATAATAGAAATAAAGTAGACAATAAAGCTTGTGTGCCTGAATTATCCTGAGCCTCCCCCCGCCAACAGACACACACACACACACACACACAAAATCGGGGTTCCTGGTGCCAAAAAAGTTGGGGACTGCTGCATTAGAAAGATCATTTAAGATGACCAAATGGGATTGATCCCTGGGATGCAAGGATGTTTCAACATATGCAAATTTATCAATGTGATACATCACATCAACAAAATGAACAACTAAAACCATATGATCATTTCAATTAATGATGAAAAATCATTTTCTGAAATTCAACATCCCTCTATCATAAAAATCTTAGAGAAAATAGGTATAGAAGGAACATACCTCAACATAATAAAAGCCATATATGACAGACCCACAGCTAGTATCATTACGAATGTGGAAAACCTGACAACCTTTTTTTTTCAAAGATCTGAAACATGACAAGGATCCCCACTGTCACCACTGTTATTCAACATAGTACTAGAAGTACTAGCTGGAGCAACCAGACAAGGGAAAGAAACAAAGGGAGTCCAAATTAGAAATGAAGAAGTCAAATTATCACTGTTTGCAGATACTATGATATCATATTTGGAAAAAACTAAAGACTCCACTAAAAAAACTATTAGAAATGATAAACAAATTCAGTGAAGTTGCAGGATACAAATCAACATGCAAAAATAAGTTGCATTTTCACATGCCAACAATGAATAATCTGAAAAAGAGATTTAAAAGTAATCCCATTTACAGTAGACATAAATTAAATACAGAACAATTAACCAAAGAGTGAAAGATCTCTACAATGAAAACTATAAAACACTGAAGAAAGAAATTGAAGAGGACACAAAAATCTGAAAGTTATTCCATGAGTATGGTTTGGAAAAATCAATATTGTTAAAATGTGAATACTACCCAATGCAATCTACAGGTTAAGTTCAATCCCTATTAAATATCAATGACACTCCTCACTGAAACAGAACAAACAATCCTAAATGTATATGAAATCATAAAAGATCCAGAATCGCCAAAGCCACCCTGAGCAAAAAGAGCAAAACTGGAGGAATCCCAGTATATGACTACAAATTATACGACAGAGTTATACTAAGCTTAACATCATGGTACTGGCATAAAAACAGACTCAGACCAATGGAACAGAATAGAGAACCCAGAAACAAATCCACAAGACTACAGTGAACTCACTTTCAGCCAATGTGCCAAGAACATACATTGGGGAAAGGAGTCTCTTCAATAAATGGTGCCGGAAAAACTGGATATTTATATGCAGAAAAAATGAAACTTGACCCTATCTCTCACCATACAAAAAAATCAAAATATACAAAAGATTTAATCTAAGACCTCAAACTATGAAACTGCTAAAAGATTGGGGAAACTCTCCAGGACATTGGTCTGGGCAAACATTTTATAAATAATACCTCACAAGAACAGGAAACCAAAGGGAGAATGGACAGATGGGATCATAGCAAGTTAAAAAGCTTTTGCATAGCAAAGGAAACAATTAATAAAGTGAAGAGACAACATTCCTGCTAAATGGGAGAAAATAATTGCAAACACTCACTTGACAAGGGATTAATAACCAGAATATATAAGGAGCTTGAATAACTCCCTTAAAAAATCTGATAATTTGATTAAAAGGGGCAAAAGATTTAAATAGAAATTTCCCAAATAAAGACATACAAATGACAAACAGGCATGTGAAAAGTTGCTCAACATCATTGAACATCAGAGAAATTCAAATCAAAACTACAATGAGGTATTATCTCACCCCAGTTACAATGGCTTTTATCCAAAAGTCAGGCAATAACAAATGCTTGTGAGCATGTGGAGGAAAGAGAACCCTCATACACTATTGGTAGGAATGTAAATTAGTACAGCCACTAGAGAGAACAGTTCGGAGTTTCCTCAAGAAACTGAAAATAGAGCTGCCATATGATTCAGCAATTCCACTGCTGGGCATATACCCAAAATAAATGAAATAAGTATACCGAAGAGATATTTACACTCCCATGTTTGTAGCAGTGCAGTTCACAGTAGCCAAGATTTGGAAGCAATCTAAGTGTCCATCAATAGATGAATGGATAAAGAAAACGTGGTACTTATACACAGTGGAGAATATTCAACCATAAAAAAAGAACGAGAGCCTGTCATTTGTAACAACAAGGATGAAACTGGTGTTATGTTTAAGTGAAATAAGCCAGGCCTAGAAAGGCAAACATTGTATATTCTCACTTATTTGTGGAGTCTAAACATCAAAACAATTGAAATCATGGAGATGGAGAATAGATGGATGTTTACCAGAGGCCTGGAAGGATAGTGGGGAGTTGAGAGTGGGAAGGAGGTGGGAATGGTTAACGGGTATAAAAAAATAGCTAGAAAGAATGAATAAGATCTAGTGTTTGCTAGCACAACAGAGGGGCTATAGTCAATAATAATATAACTGTAAATTTCAAAATAACTAAAAGAGTATAACTGGATTGTTTGTAACACAAAGGGTAAATGCTTTAGGGGATGGATACCCTATTCTCTATGATGTGATTATTACACATTGCATACCTATATCAAAACATCTTATGGAGCTTATAAATGTATACACCTACTAAGTACCCACAAAAATTAAAAATAAATAAAAAAAAAACAAGCAAACAAACACAAAACACTTATGAGAGTTTTAATCTTTGCCAAGTCAAGATGGTGTTCAGCAGTGAAGGTAAATTTCAAAAATAAGAAAAAACAAAAATCTATTTGTACAATTAGTCTCATCATACTCAGAAATGGAGAAGCATTGGAGTATTCAATGTAGTATTAAAAAAGGAGAGTTTAGGTAAGCATGAACCATATTAAGAAAAGGTTTATATGTAATATGCCAGAAAAATGTCCTTTCTGCTTTCCTTCCTCTTCTCTTTTCCCTATCCATCTCTTCCTCCTACTCTTCCTTTTGTCCTTAGGTTGCAAAGTTTCCTTGTTGAGAGTGATTGGTGTGGACTTCTAAAATAGGGCACTTGGGCCAAGTAGTAAAAGGAAGGCCCCTGATGGAGCATAAGTTCCTTAGAAACACAGAGATGCTAATGGTAAAGTCTGAAAGAAATAGGGGGAAAAAAAACCCCCAACATTTGATGAAACTGTACCGTGGGAATTCAGTGTGTTTTTCCCTTATCTATGCACTTTTTAATTTCTTTTGTTAGTTCTTCTCATACCTGTTTTCCTCTTTTCTGCTGTGTTTCTCCAATGTTGAGCCTCACTGAGATACCTTCTGAACTCTCTCTTTTTTTTTTTTTTTGGCCTTTGTTTGGGAGAGGCATCATTTAATCTGATCTGAAAAGAGACCAGAGGATGGGAAAGACCAAATGGATCATTTCTTTCCTACTCATTGTGTTGGTGCCTCTTATCCTAGTTGATTCTGTCAGGACCTCAGCTTCAGACAGACCCTACCACAGGTTACAGCTCTCACTTTGTATTGGTAACACT
Organism: Homo sapiens; assembly: GCF_000001405.40. Taxonomy (NCBI): domain Eukaryota; kingdom Metazoa; phylum Chordata; class Mammalia; order Primates; family Hominidae; genus Homo; species Homo sapiens. The sequence continues at coordinate 40,982,262 of NC_000014.9, read as the reverse complement.
CTTTCTTCCCTTGCCCCTCTACCGTAGGAGTAATTGTATCCTGCTATTGCTGGTGTCTGGGTGCATTGCCATCTCTTGTTTTTATTTAATGTTGACCTTGCATATGAGCAGTGTCTTTATTAAAGTCTGCTCATTTGAAATAATGGTGTTGAATTGTGGCTCTTGCTAGGACCTGGATTCGTGCATTATTTTGAGTAACTAGTAAAATTTATAACTAACATTAATAAACTTGAATATTAAGAGATCAGATTGAAGCCCTAGTTGGTTGTAATTCTTGAATCTGTAGTGATTTCAGGTTGTGCACATTATTTCAGAGTGGCTAATATCACTGATATAAAATGTAAATGCTTCAAACCAAAAATCCATGAAAAAATTAGCTAACTGCTACTCAAGCTCAAATAATCCTACTATTTTACCTTTACTAAAATAAAATATACAGTATTTTTTTCTGGTGTTCTAGAATCAGAAAACGCAAATGCAACAAGATCTCAGTAACTGACACTATGTATTGAGAAATTAGAAGCTAGGAAGAAATTTTATTTTAAAATGACAAACATAATTTTATTAACTTATTCAAATTCCACATGCATCCAGGATTAGCTCCAGTGGGAAAAGCCTAAATCCAATGATAAGAAAAATGGAATTTCTCTCTTTGGACCCCATTCTTTCAACAACGTTATGCAGAATACATCAGTTCAAACAACACCTGAAGGGCAGATTCAGAAGAGCCTGAAATTCATCAGAACTGCTAAGGTAGCAAACCATAACATGACTCAGAGGACCCATCATCCCTGTTGCTATAGGAATGGAATTTATGGGATGTATGGTACGTAATCACTGCAGCATAGTTTCAGCAAAACTGGTAATGCTACCTCTTTCTCCACTGCTAACTGGCTCCCTAGATCCCTGTTCTCGCATCACCAGAAGAAATCCCCTGTTCTCACTCTCTCTGCTTCTTCCATATTTTACCCCTCACTCCTCTCCAATAAAATAATATAAGAAGAAGAAAGAGGTCTGCAAATTATCAGGTTTTGATGCATATATTTGGAACTATGCCATTTTCAAGTCTATTTTTTATTTCTTCTATATTATGAAAGAATCATTGTGTTCTTTGTTCATAATTTTTAGTTTCATTTGATATTCAGGCAAAATGAGATTTTAAAAATGTGCAGGAAATTACTTAAATTGTCAAAATGGAATCAAAGGTTTTATATTTCCTCAGAATGGTCAGGGTGTAAAGAGTATCAAAAAATGTTTATTCTATTTTAGAATAGTGTTAAAAATACAATATAAATTGGGTTCAAATTTCTTGCAAATATTGGTCATTTTATCACCTAGTATTCTGAATTAATTGGACTTAATTTTAAAAAATTTATAATTATGTTTTAATAATTATTCATTGGTATTGAAGAAAAATAGTTTGGATAAAGGTCAACCTTTTCAAATACATGTAACTCATAAAAATATTGTTCAAATCTCATGCTAAAGCTGATTTACAGTTATATCAACATAAAATATTATTTATTCTAGAATATAGATTTTATTGGAAACATTAAATTTTTTTGTATAGAATTTTATATCCAAAGTGTTGTATAGCTCTAGTGAGAATTGACATAAACTCAGGAAATTGCATTTTGGCATTCATCTTGTTTATTGTCCCACTATAGCTTGATTCTCCTTGTAATTATGCCTTAGTTGAAATGAATATGTGATGAAACTATCTGAAAATTACTAAATTCTCAAAGACATGCTTTAAAAAAATATATTATAGTGTGAAAGCATCTAAACCACATTTCAAAGCAATTCAATTTATTCCAGTGAACTCTCTCTTTTTTGATGAAAGATGCTTTGAGGCAAAATTATAAAGAAGGTATAAAGGAAAATTTACAGTGAATAGGTTTACAAATATATTTATCTTTGTGGAAGCCATATGTATTTAGTGTAAGAAGCTATGAATTTATTGTAGAGATAACTAGGACTTCTTATAGGCATATAGGTTTAGAATTAATTAGATTATTTCTGAACTAGTGATTATTTTAAATTGAATATCTATTACTGGAAATGTAGGCTAGAATAATAATATTAGTAGTGTTATCTCAAACAATGAGCATTATTTGATTATCATTGTGATTTAAATATTCAGAAGTTAGTCTCATTATGCATGAAATATAAACATGGTATGCATATATTGCCAAATAATATTTATTTTTCTTTTTTATTATTCTACATAACATCTTAAACCAAAACAATAGCTTAATAATTGCTCACAATGTTTTACTTTTGAAATGCCAAATAAACACCTGTCTGTTATTTAATTCTATAGGAATAATATATTTTGATTGCATAAATTATGTAAAAACAAATTTAGAAATCACAATATGAAAAGACGTCATCCTCACTCAAAAAAAATTAAAATCTTCCTTTAAACAAAGGTTAAAAAATGAATTTATACTATTTCAACAACAAAAAAAGTGGGAAAATAAAACTTCAAAAAAATCTAAATTATTAGTGTTATTTTCTATATTATTTGTATCTAACTTTTTGTCTACTTAATTCTTTATTATTATCAGGAAATAACTTAGAAATAACATAGATTGAGCTTCATAAAGTGAATTATTCTTGAAAACTGTTTGCAAAATCCCTACAGAACCACCATGATACAAAACTATTATGCCTTTTGGGGCATGTTGCTTTAGAATACATGATACATGAGAAAATACAAATAATTTCAATATGACAGATTAGTTAAATTTCAATGGAACTATCACCATTTTTTCCCTTGGAATTTGTTCTTTAATTTATGTATCTAACTTCATTCCCAGAATATTATCCCTAAAAGAAGAGATCCACTCTTGTAAGAGTTTATTACTACCTGTTTGCTTTTTTAAAGTATGAAGGGGAGAACAGAAACATCAATATTATCTGGGCCTTGTTAGAAATGCAAATTTTCAGGCCCCTACCAAACAACTGAATCAGAATTTCCAGGTATGGGCCTTAGAAAATTAAGAAATCTGTGTTTTAGCAACATTTTCAGGTGACTTTGAGAAGTACTGTTCTTAGCTACATTTGAACCACGGTCAAGTGTTTCAATGCAGCACTAATGTCAACAGTAGGCAGTTTATGCACTCATTCTTAAAACCTCTCTTTCTCATGAAAGACTATATACTTTGGATGTCTCGAAAGTGATAATCCAGCTATTGTGATTACTGTCATATAAAATATATATACAGGGCCTTGATAGAGTGTGTTACAGTTTATTCATGCCTGTAGCCCCAGCTACTCGGGAGGCTGAGGCAGGAGAATCATTTGAACCCAGGAGCTGGAGGTTGCAGTGAGCTGAGATAGCGCCACTGCCCTCCAGCCTGGGCGACAGAGTGAGACTCCATCTCAAAAAAAAAAATAACAACTTCAACCAAATTTTTTAAACTTGATTTTCTACCTTACATATTATTAATTCATGTGGCAAATGGAATATAATGTTAAGTATATTTCAACTAAATTTTATTACATATTATAAAGGCTCTTATGTTTCACATATCCAGTTAACACATCCAGAGGAGCTGGCTTATATGCACATAATATATTTGATAGACAAGTCCTATGAAATTCCACTCCCAGGAAATAGTTTTACAGAACAGGCAATATAGATAATATATTCAGAACTTACTGAATCAAAATTGAATTTTACTAGTTATGAGAGAAAAATATAGATAGAATTATAAAATTCAAATGAATACTGTTAATAAGCATTTATTAAACTAATTCAATGAGAATCTAGCTTAGGAAATTTATTCTGATTTACAAAATAACATGGAGTCTTTAATATGTACAGTACCGATGGAGATGATAATGTTTATATTACAGTCATCAAGCTGAATATAGTTTTCAGGGCTTCTTGTTCTAAAATTTATAAAGGAACTTGGATAGTTAAATCACATAGTTTGATTAATATATCACAAAAGCCTAAAGACTGTATCAAACTAGTCTGTAGGCATTTATCTGTACTTCAAGAAGATCAAGCTAATCTCACACACTTGAGTAATAATATACCTGGATTTAAGTCCAAAGGTGCATAGAAACACTATGGAGTTGAACACATAATAGATAGACTAGAGAATTATAATAACATTAATTAGCCAATGATATGGGTGACTTACCAAAAAAAAACCACGTTATTCTTTACATCTTTGGTCTTCCTTCCAAGAACACAAACAAGTTTAACCATAAGAAAGTCACCAAACAAATTTTAATAGAAATACCCTCTACATAGTACCTAACTTGTATTTACCAAAACTCCAAAGGTAATCATAAACAAGAAAAATCAAAGTAACTGTCACAGCTAAAAATAGCACATGAAGACATGATTCTGTGAAGAAGGACGTCAGTAATTTGATAGGAATAATGTCAAATTCATCAATTGCTTTGGGCAGTTTGGCCATTTTTACAATATTGATTCTTCCAGTCCATGAGCATGGAATGTTTTTCCATTTATTTGTATTATCTCTGATTTTGTTTTGTAGTTTTCCTTGTAGAGATCTTTCATGTTTTTGGTTAGCTATATGCCTAAATATTCTAAATATTTCATTTTCTGTATGGCTATTGTAACTGGGATTGTGTTCTTAATTTCACTCTCAGCCTGGATGTTGGCATATAGAAATGCTACTGATTTTTGTACATTGATTCTATATCCTGAAACTTTACTAAAGAAATTTATCAGTTCTAGGAGCCTTCTGGCAGAGACTTTAGGAAATCTAGTTACAGAATCTTATCATCAGTGAAGAGAGGTAGTTTGACTTATTTTCCTATTTGAATGCCTTACTAAATGTAACACAGAATCCTGGAACCGGAAGAAGTTATTAAATTAAATTTTTTTTAAAAAGTATGTACTTTTGTTAATAATTATATATCAATATTGGTTTATTAATTGTAACATATTTGTGTAAGACGTTAATAAGAGGGAAAACATAGCGTGAAGTGTATGGAAACTCTTTAAGCCATTTGCTCCATTTTCTTGTAAACATAAAAGTGTTCTAAAATCAAAGTTTATTTTTAAATGGTGCTGCATTATGAGATGTTACGTTTGGTGTGAAATACTAACTGTTACACGCTAAATTCTGACTGGGCATGGTGGCTTACATAGATAATCCCAGCACTTTGGGAGGCTGAGACCAGAGGATTACTTAGAATTTAGGAGTTCAAGACCAGCCTAGGCAACATAGGGAGACCTCGTCTCTACAAAATATAAAAATAAATTAACTGGGTTTGGTGGTGTGCACCTGAGGTCCCAGCTACTTGGGAGGCTGAGGCTGGAAGTTGGCTTGAGCCCAAAAGGTAGAGACTGCAGTGAGCTGTGACTGTGGCATGGCACTCCAGCCTAGATGACAGAACAAGATATACTGTCTCAAAAAAGGAATAAAAAAAGCTAAATTCTGACTATAAACACAAGTTGCTCTTTGTTTTTACAAAGCACTTACTTTTGAAATATGAAGCAGTATGAAGTAGTTCTTTTTGCATCCATCATGGTCATTTTAAAGATATGCTACCACATATTAGTTATTCTGATGAAGCGATAAATTAAAAAACAAAGCTTAAGACATCCTATTACATAATTTTACTTTGTTTTAGCCTTTTTGGTATTCTCTTGTTTTGTAATATTATTATAAAGGACAAAAAGTCAAGAACAGATGAACTGCTAAAGAATCACAAAATGTTGTGTCATATGTCAATACACTAAGTTCAATAGTTGGTGACCTGCTATTCTCTCTGCATTATTTCTTCCACCCACAAATGAACTTTCATTTTACACTTGATTTACAACTCCTGAAGTGATTCAACCCTTAGGCATGCTGCTTTTATTAATAACACAAATAATCTGGTTGGAGAAGAGAAAAGCCATTCTTTATTTGAAAGGGAATGAAATATATTTCCAAACCTAAATGTGTGAAGTTGACATTAAAGGTTGAAGGAAACATATATGTGTATATTTTTAGGTTGAATGATTCTATAGTCTTAACTTGTTATTTATTCAGTAAAGAATATCAAATAACACAGGAATTATACTGTTGAATTTTTCTAAAATTTTCTTTTGTTTTCAGGACTTTGATATCAACACGTGTAAGATTACAATTTTCCCAGAAATTTTCACTGTTTTTGTTTTCTCTTTGGGGTAAGTTCCATTTCATTGCCTTAGGTGTTTGAAATGCTGAGCTGAAACTTCAGCATAATGAAAAGAAGGAAATCATACAGAGAAAAGTTTGTAGCTGCTGGCATTGTGAAGTGTTCCATTATAAGAAGCCTACAAATCTTTAATGCTAAATTTATGAATGTGTTCTTATAGAGGTATGCAATTATTAAAAACTATCCACCTATCAGCAAGTTGTAAAGGAAATACTAAAGATTAAGATTCAGAAAACCTAAATTTTATTACAAATTTTGCATCCTTAGCCACTTGACCTCTCTGGATACTAGTACCCTTGTATGTAAAATAAAAGGGCAGAGAAAAGTCATCTCTAAACAACAAATATATTTAACTTCAAAAACATTGCCTGAAAACATGCTAACATCAGAGACAAAAGACAAGCAATGATTTTTCAAAAGAAATATGGGCTTTTCACAATTTAAATCACATAAGAAATAAGGGAATTACAACAGGCATTAGTTCTGAAAGGCTTGCCTGAGGGTTTCAGGTGAACTTACCTAATGACAAACAAGATAGCATCTGTTATACAGATTTGAAAACGTGCTGAGTCTGATAACCAATCATTCCAAGTAAAACAGATTATAAATAAAAAAAGACTTCAAATAAATCATAAATAAAATAATTCTTGTTGCGTTAGACAGCTTCCAAGATGGTCTCCAATGATTTTCACCTCATGATATCCACCTTTTTATGTATTCCTCTCCCACATTAAATAGGGTCCACCTGTGTAGCCAATAATACATTGCAGAAGTAATGATGTGTGGCTCTGAGGCTTGGTTATAAAAGACTTGGCAGTCCTTCCTTGCTCTCTCCTGAATCACTCATCCTTAAGGAAGATAGTAGCCAAATCATGAGGACAGTCAGGCAGCCCTCTGGAGAAGTCTATGTGGAAAGGAACTCTGGCCTTGCAGTAAGAACTGCTGGGAAGCAGATCTTCCAGCCCCAGTCAAGCCTTCAGATGACTGAAACCTTAGTAGCCATCTCCACTTTAATTTCATGAGAGACAGAACTGCTCAGCCAAACTGTTTCTGAACTTATACCTATAGAAACTCTAAAATAGGCCAGGCATGGTGGCTCATGCCTGTAATCCCAGCACTTTGGGAGGCTGAGTCAGGCAGATCACGAGGTCAGGAGATTGAGATCATCCTGGCTAACACGGTGAAACCCCATCTCTACTAAAAATACAAAAAAAATTAGGTGGGCGTGGTGGTGGGCGCCCATAGTCCCAGCTGCTCAGGAGGCTGAGGCAGGAGAATGGCATGAACCCATGAGGTGGAACTTGCAGTGAACCATGATTGTAACACTGCACTCCAGCCTGGGCAACAGAGTGAGACTCTGTCTCAAAAAAAAAAAAAAAAAAAAAGAAAAGAAACTGTAAAATAATGAAAGCTTATTGTTGCTTTATGGTATTAAGTTTGTGATTAATTTGTTTCACAGCTGCTATGATCTGAATATTTATGTTCTACAAAAATTCATACATTGACCCCTTATCCCCAGTATGATGGTACAGTGAAGTAGGGCTTTTGAGAGTTTATTAGGTCATGAGAATGGAGCTCTTGTGAATGGGATTAGTGCCCTTATAAGGGACTGAGGAGACCAGAGTTTTTCCTTTTCACCATGTGAAGACACAGTCAAAAAGACAACCTACTGCAAACCAGGAAATGAGCCCTTACCAGACACTGAATCCTCAGGCACCATGATCTTGGACTTTCCAGTCTCCAGAACTGTGAGAGAGAAATTTGTATTGTTTTTAAATCACCTGGTTTATATTTTGTTACAGCACTTGAACCACCAATAATGCAACAATAAATGGTCCATGCTTTGGTTATAGGAGTGACTGAGATTGCATTTCTTCACAGAACTTAAAAAGCGTGAGAAGACTCTAGTAAAAAATGCAATTACTATTGCCTCCTTGATTATATCTGTGGGGTGGAAAAACTGAGACAATTGTCAGGGTAATGTAACTTTGAATTATTTGATTTTTTCATAAAAAAATTTATGGACATAAATATTTATCATTTTGTTTCAATTTTTCACACATTTCACACTCCCCACCAACAATTGAATAATTACTCTATTTTCTATAAATGCTACCTGATAGTAACAAACAGTGTCACTAACTTAGCCTTAATACTTCAGCTAATACAGTTCCTCACCAGAATTTAATCTCTGTGGGAGATGAAATGTATTCTCTCTGGTTAATTGTAACTTGAGAAACAAGTATGCTGTACTTGTTTTTCAAGTTTTATGTGTATGTGTATATATATATAATTATTTATTTATATATCATATATTATATCATTCATTTAGTGAATTTATTTAATGAATATCTCATTAAATATATAAATATATAAAATATATAAAAATTCATTAAAATTCATTTTAATGGATATATAGTCATATCTATTCATTAAATAAATGATTCAATATATAAATGAATGAAAGCATCCGTTTTTTATTAAGTAGAAGAAAAATGGTTTCAAAATGAAACTGTAGATTTTTTTAAAAATACTTCTTACCCTGGAGAGAGAGACAGAGAGAGAGAAAGAGAGAGAAGGAGAAACAAGAAAAATACACAGAAAAAGAGAAAGAGAGAAAGAAAGTGATTTTAGGAATAAATAGTTTTACATATAGAGATATTTTATTTGCAGAGAAATTATTAGCTGCTGAACTTTAACTTGCCTCTACTACAAATGAGAAAAAAGAATAATATTCTGGTTTGCTAACACTTGCATATAAATTATAGTTGTAATTGCTCTATAAATAAAGGTGGCCAGCTGAGCAAGAAAATTGGTAGTGATTTGGGATATATAAGAAAATATTCAGTTATATTTATAACTTAATTACTTACCTTAGTTCAAGGAAAGTCAAAAGCATATAGATTAGAAGAAAGTTGCTCTAGTTTCTTCTAGTTGTTTCTTTCTTTTAAACTGACCTCCTGTTGTATCCAGATTCTTTATTCTTTCTTTATTTGTAATTTATAACTGAATAATATTTTGGTAATTTTAATAATGTTTTAAATAAAATTGTTTAATCCAATTTTTAGACCCATTTTTCCTAAAGATCTTTATAACTTTGATACCACAAGGGTCTACGTAAACACAATTATGACAATTTCAGATAGCAGTGCTAAGGTATGGGACGAGCTATGGAAATTACAAAACTGTGGCTTTAATGTTGGTAAGAAAACCATAAAAAAAAACTCTTGGAAAAAATAAAATACATTAACATCTAATTTTCCCAGTAAAATCAAAAGATAAGATTTTTTTTGTATTCATGAACATATCCGGAAAAGTTATCTAAATAACTTTTCAATTAAAATATCTTAAAATTAGAGTCTAAATTTCTTGCTATGTTAGAACAACTCTTAAGTACATATAGTAGTAAATCTAAAAATAATATAATATTCAGTTAATGACAATACACTTGATTTTTGTAATTTATTTCTTTTATTTTAGTTAGTTTGGATTATCTTCTTGAATAGTCATCTTGTTTGATGTTGAGGCCTAATAACTATCAAGTTTTCCATTCTCTATCCTGTGAAACTCAGACTGCTGGGAATTTATTTGCTTTTTCCATTACGGGGTGGTTACCTCTCTTCTCCATCATCATTTATCCTGTAATGAGCCTATTTTCATTGCTCTCATTTTTCTTCTTTCTGAATGTGGTATAAAATTTCTACTATTAGTTCCTACAGTCTATAAATGTTACCGATTGGAACAAGATAAGTACTAAAAGCAAAGTGTACTTTGTGTCTGAAAGATCTTATAAGCACATTCGCTAGTTTCACTGGGCTTAATGATTTTCTTGTTTCAACCTAGAAATAAGCCTATAAGCCCAGAAAGTTATGACTATTTAAATCCTTGGAATTATATAAGTAAGAAACAGCAAATTTGAAATAGCCCAACAATATTTTATCAATCCATTCAGCAATGCATGTTGAGAATCTATTACGTGCCAAGCACCGGTCTAGCCCCTTGAAATACATCAGGAACCAACAAAGGGAAAGCATCTGCATTAATGGAGCTATATATTGTAAGGGACAATAGGAAATGAACAAATTATTTGGAGAAGTATAGATAATATAAACAGGATGAACAGTTTGGAAAGTGTGTATGTTCTGTATGGTGGTCAGGGGAGACCCAAATAAAGTGAAATTTGAATAGAGACTTGAAAGAATAATAGAACGGAATGTATATTACATGAGGGAAAATGGTTGAAGTAGAAAGAATAATAACTGTAAAAGGCATAAAACGGGAGCATGCTTGGCTTTTTCTAGAAACAGTAAGGCTGTCAGAGCATCTGGAGCAGAATGAGCAAAAAGAGTAGGGTGGCAGACACAGTCAGGGAGGAATGGAGGAGCCAGGCTAAGTCACAAGAAGCCTTAGTCTTGTATTATGAGCTGGAGAGAAAGCAATGGGAGGCTCTGAGAGATGAGGAATGGCATCTTGACATTGTATTAAATGATTCCTCTGACTATGGCTTTGATAATAAATTTTAAGGAGCAAAGCTAGAAGCAGATAAACCTGTTAGAAGCCAAATACAATAAATCAGCTAAGAAAAGATGGTGGTGCCACTGTACATGTTATCAGATAAAGTAGTAAAAATGGTTACATTCTGAATACTTTAAAATACACAATTATATTTTCTGAGCATCTAGAAGCAAAAAGATGGAGAAGGGTGCAAGAATTTACATTTCTAAAAAGGCAATAGGATTTAGGTTTTGAACATGTCAAGTTTAAAATGCACACTCATGTAGAAGACTAAGCTATTAAGTACATGCATTTTGAACTTTGGGGAGAGGTTCTAGGAAGAGATGTAAATTGTTAAGATGAGAAAAACTACAGCATGTTAGTAAGCTTGAGGGTACTATCCAATAAAGAGGTAAGAATTCATAATGTAGATGGAAAAAATTACTGAGACTTATGTCTTTGAGTGGGAAAGAAGGGATGGGATCTAGTGAGCAAGAGGAAAAGTTGACTTAAGATCTAAACAGATGTTAAATCCTTAGTAACAGGACAAATAAAAGCAGAACATATGGGCACAAAAGCCAGAAGCAGTGACAGGATGTATACGGTAGGGGGGAATTTATACAGGTTCCCTTTGATTGCCTCTAATATTTGCAGTGGTACAAGAAGCAAGGTCTTCATTCATGGTTAATGATGGGGAAAGAATTATCCCAGGTTTGAAGATAGAGAAAAAGAGGTGATGAATTCAGGAGAAAAAATTGGGAAATATATTAGACTTTTAAAGAAGCACTTAGAGGTAACTTGAAGTTAATGGTACAGAATTCTTAGATTAGGAGAGGAAAAAAATGCTTCTCTATTTTACTCTCCTAGTAGAGTAAAAACATACAACATGTCAGGTGAAGTATGCCAATGCAATTTTGGTGAGTGAATACATTGAGTAGTTTCAAGGATAAATTGTCATATATACACATATATATATCATATATATATACACACACACATACATATATATTCCACACAGACTATAATAAATAAATGTCTTCTCCCAAAGGATCACTAGGACTTTGTAAGTTTTGGGACCTTGATAGATAAAATCTAGGACACAGAAACAAAAGGCCTCTTCTAAGAGAGAAGGATGCTTTTGAAACTCAAAGAAACTAAATGTATATTATCTTTGGAAATACGGATAAATAAAGGTGTGGTTCAAAATTTTCTGGTAACCTACAGAAACTTTTGGTAGTATGATGTATGTTATATCTTTTATAAATAAACAATTTTTATGAGAAGGATTAGGCTACAGTTCCTTTAACTATAATCTATTTCATAGGAACTTTTGTGGTATGGCCAAAAGACAGAAGACAATACTTTCTTGCTTAAATTTGGCCCTTCTAAAGACCATGGTTCATTGACTTCCTGATGCCTCACATCCTTTAAAGGAATGAAAGTCCCTCGGTAGTTAACACGATACACCAAGTTATTGCAAATATTTGATTTTGTTTCAACTTTGCATATCTACTGTATAAAGTAAAATAGATTTACACAGAGTGAGCAGTTCTCCTGAAGTGCAAACTTGCAGTGAAATTCATACTGATAAATCAGTGTTTATTTATTAAAATACTGCAAAAGAAATCTTAGTAAGGAATGTAAAATTAATAATTGTATGATGTTTTAAGACTATCAGATTTGAATTTTCTCTGTCATCCATCATTGAATATCAAGATAGTTTTAATAGGTAAGATGAGATGATAAATAATTTCTTTTGTCTGGAATCTGAATTTTTCCTAAGTATATGTACAATAATCAGGTGGTCTCAACCTAATATTTAATTTTACAGTTCTGTGATATGGCCTGGTAGTAAGATAAATGTATTTTTCTTATTTAAATTTATTTCTGTGCTTAAACATACCCTTTGGACTAGTGAACATAACTACAATAATATGTAGGACAGATTATTTAAATTTGTATTAATTTGTTTCAAAAATTTTATTATGATTTATATGCATTATATCATAGCAGTTTCTTTCCATTGAAAGTCACGTATTCACAAGGTGACTGATGAAGTTTACCAGTTAAATATATTATGATAAGATAAAGAAAAACTAACAGTTTTGAAAGGTATATTAATCTTTTATGTTGACCTGTTAACAGATTATTACCCAACTTGGTCAAATAGTTTCAGAGTAGCTCATTCTCTAAGTATTGCTAAATTTATCAAATCAGCATACTTCAAAATCAATTTTACTGATGTTTCTTTTAACAGTAAACTCTTGATTGTAATTTCTTGAATTTTCTCCTCTTGATTATGGCATAGCTAATCTTTGGAGTCTTTTATTCATATTATCATTTTATTAGGTAGGACAACAAATTGAAATTTAGAAATTGAAACATAATATAGCTTTTATTAAGTTATCTATAATATTCACATTGTAAAAATTATATAATGCTTACTTTCTGCATTCTTTCTAACTTGTTTGAAATTACTTGTTTTATTTATTCATTTTATATACTTTATAGTATAACTGTCATAAAAAAACTTTGCCTAAGTAATGAGTCTTATAACAGATACTGTAACACAATATTATCTATCACAACAGGTTGTATATATGTAAAATATGTATTACAGTCATATATATATATAGAGAGAGAGATGTGGGCATGTGTATGTGTGAATAAAACACTGTTCAAAAAAATACTCGAATTCTGGAAAAAAATGAAAATAATTTAGAGTAAATAGAATTTGATGGAGCACTGTAGTTGTCTCAATTATATTCAGATTGAAAAATAGTATAGCCTGGTATAACACTATGGGCTTTGGAATCATAAGTATGACTGTGACATGTGCTACATGTGTGACCTTGGACATGAACTCAGATTTCTCAAGAATAATGCAAGGTTTTAAATATAATAATACAGTTACCATGATCCACTGGTACTAGGCAGTTGATTTTCTCACATAACTCCTCTAAACCTACAGCACTGAATCCAGATTATCTGGGTCCCAGAAGCCTACATACCCCTCCTCAGACAGTATGCTTTATCATGCTTATCCTACAGGAAGACAGAACAAGAGGAAGAGACAGGGTACGTCTAGGGAATGAATAAACACACCACATATCAATGAGGGGGCCTGAGCTCCAGCCCGCCTCTATCTGGGGACAAAGCCCAGACTGGGAATCTGAAAGCCCTCTTCTCTTGATCCTGTGAAGCCTATTGTTTCTTTTAAGAGGAATAAGTTCAAGAGATCTATTGTACAACAGAGACTATAGTTAATAACAATATATTATATTCTTGAAAAATGCTGAGAGCAGATTTTAAGAGTTCTTAGCACAAAAAAAAGTTTATGAAGCTCACTCTTTTAATCCACAGTATGTGATATTGTAGAATTTGTCTGGAGCACTGTTATATGAGATGTGGTGACCCTGAAAGGAACCACTTTGAATACTAATTACCTAACACAGTCGCTGGCACATAATAAATGCTTCATACATGCTAGCTTTCTCACTGTCATTTCCTTCTCTACCCTTTGAACAAATGAAGACAGCTCATGGGAGATAATTTACAGCTAAGTTTGTTTTCGTTCTTGTTTCTTTGAAGAAAATATGTAAAACAATTTTCTGCTAATTTGAGATGAGCAAGTCATTTTGCTATCTTCTAAAAATAGAAAGAGATTATGGCTAATAAAAGACAAATAGGTTATTATTATTTTTGCATAAGGAACATAAAATGTACATTAAGAAACTGACAGTGTAACTGTTCCATATAACTCTGCCATGGTCAGGACTACATACTTGGGCTCTGTTGCTAGAACATAGTCAAAGTCTTAGTGGAAGTATAGCACTATTTTTGGTAGCAAAAAAAAAAAAGGAAGTTTCGCATTTCTCACATTGAAATCGAAAAATTAATTGGGAACATTTTTTCATGTGTTTCATTTTGTTTTTAGTTCTTTCCACTTAAACTTTCATTTTAGGTTCAGGGGCACATGTGCAGGTTTGTTGTATTGGTAAACTTGTGCTAAACCTCATGCTAAAAATGAGCATCCATGTACCTAGCACCAAGCTTAAGATATGTAATAATACCAATGGATTTGTAAAACCATATGTATTCCAAATACAAAGCATCCCTTTTCCCAGTCTCCAAAGATCCTCTATTTTTCTATTAACTTTCCTCTTGCATGCCCTTGTCATTTTGCTGTATGAGGAGAAGACGGCTGCTTACCTCATATACTTCCCTTCACTCTTTACCCCTAGTAGAGAGCCCTGATTTTATTTGAGGTAGCAGTATACCCAGCTAAAATACTGATCTAGCTTCATCTGAAGACAGTGGTGGTTTCTTTGTGGGTTTTTTTTGTTTGTTTGTTTGTTTTCTTGGAGACAGAGTCTCACTCTGTCACCCAGGCTGGAGTGCAGTGGTGCGATTCTGGCTCACTGCAACCTCTGCCTCCCAGGTTCAAGCGATTATCCTGCCTCAGCCTCCCAAGTAGCTGAAATTACAGGCATGCACCACCATGCCCAGCTAATTTTGTATTTTTAGTAGAGACAGGGTTTCACCATGTTAGCCAGGCTGATCTCCAGCTTCCGACCACAGGTGATCCACCGGCTTTGGCCTCCCAAAGCGCTGGGATTACAGGCATGAGCCACTAGGCCCAGCTGACAATAGTGGTTTCTGAGATGAAAGATCTAAGAGAAAGCCACTGAGTAGGATTCTTAGGAGAACCCCTTTTCTATTTTTTTAACTTCTTCTCCTTATTACTGTCTGGAATGTGTTCTTGATTCCTGATCTTCAATATTCACTTTTTGAACTTGAATATAAATGACAATGCTAAGTATGAACCAGCATAAAAAATAATTTTAGTGAAACCTCTCTGCTATGCCTGGATTAACAATCTCCAGGCTACAGTTAAAAAGTAAGATTCTAAATTATTTGAGTTAATATAAAATTTCTATTAGTTTAACACAAATCCTAGCTGACGTTCTTCATTACATTTATCCACACATAGATACAGAGAATGGAATGACAGAAAATGGAGATTTCAAAACGGTAAGAAAGTGAGAGGGCATGAATCATAAAAAATTACTTTATGGGCACAAAGTACATTATTTGGGAGATGGAAACCCTAAAGGACCTGACTTGACCACTATCTGAGATATTTGCATGTAAGAAAATTGCACTTGTACCCTATACATTTATACAAAATAAAAAATAATTTTCATGAGTTTTCATGCATATGTAAACGAAATCATATTGTAAAGAGACTTTTTGTGATTCACTTAATTACTCCATATTAATATTTTGAGATGTATGTAGTTCCCTAATTTCCACTACTATGTGACATTATCTTTAGTTTTTGAACAATTTACTTACCTATTTTATTGTTGATGAAGATTTGGGTTTGTGTTAACATTTATTATTGTTACAATGTTGCTAGGAACAATCATGTAAATATCTCCTGGATCAGATAAGAAAGATTTTCTATATTAATATTCTATGACTGGAATTCCCAGATTACTGGATGTGTGCATTTTCAAATACATTTAGTAAGAAAAAAATTGTATTCCTACATATGCTTACCAATTGAAAGTGTGGCTACGTGTGAAAGAAAATCATATTTCACTAACACTTTGAATTATCTTTTTTTTCATTTTTTCCAGTTGAGTGGGGATAAAAATTTATCTCGTGTTATTTTATCTCAATTTCTAGTTAAATTATTTTTATCATATATTTTTATAACATTGTGCTTTTTGTATGAAATAACAGATCATGTTTTTGTCCATTATCCTATTGAATCTGTTATTTTTATTACTTTAAAATAATTACATTAAAATACCCATCTTAGGAGAGTTGGGAATTGTAAATATATCTTTGTAATGTTCATATTTATTATTTTCCATATTAATGTAGTTGAACAAAGAAATCTTCTACTTTATGGTTTTTGGGTTTATTTTATGTCTTGTTTAGAAATTACCTTCCAACCACAATTAAGTGGTTTAAGTCTTTAATCAATGTGGAATTGAATTTATGTAAGATGTCAGGAAGGGATCAAATTTCTTTTGTAAACATATAAGTAATCAATTTTCCCAGCGCTATATCTTTGTACTCTTCAGTTCTCCTCACTGGTCTGAAATGCTACTTATTTCCTTAATTAACTTTAAAATAAGTTGCATCTAATTTCCAGTGTGCTAGGTGCTTTCTTTTTTGTGCAAACACTTTGTATCAGAATTTTAAATCTATGCTCAATGCTGAGATTGACCTATGATTTTCTTTTCTTTCTTTTTTTTTTTTTTAAAGCAACTCTGCCATTTTCTGTTCAAGGTTTCACTACCCTGACAAAATGAATTGTGAAGTTGCTTTTCTTTTTTAATTCTAATGGAGAAAATGAAAACGTTTGCTTGATTGAACATGCCTGTTCTTTGAATACTTGCTAAATGTTATATTAAAATTTCTGTATTATTATTGATGATGCAAGTGGTATTTACATTTCTGAAATTCATTAGAATGACCCCATGAAGATCATTCCTAAACAAAATTGGAATATAAATATGGTTTATTATTATGCCCATTTCTCTTCTCAAGTTAGCTTAATCTTCACCTTTGGTATTACTCCCTGCTCTGAAATATGTGGCTCCAATCAGTTTCTTCCTGCTGTTTCTTCATCTGCCATGGAGCTGCCTACTGTGGTATTTATTCTGAGTCTGCCTTTCTTACAGGTGCTTCAGCTATTTTTACATGCCTTTCTTACATGCTTCCGATATATTCTGGCTTTATTGTAAGTGACTTACTCTATATAAGTTCTGCAAAAGCAACTATTTATTATTGTTTTGTGGGCATCTATATTGGTAGATGTGAAAGATAAAAGACACATCATGATAAAAGGAAGAGTAAGTTCTATCTATTATATTGTAAAGATCCTATTTCCTTTTATAAATAATATAATACCTGTATTAATAATTTAATCGATAAGTGGCTGAAAATAGGTTATAGTGTTATCATTTCCAGAAAGCATACATGAATTTTAACTGTCAACATTAAGGCATTAAACCTGTCATTTAGGCATTGAGTTAAGTCAATGAGAATGTATTTGGGGACTCAAAAGTCCTGTCAGTCCTCAAATGGCAACATGTAGTAAGTTGTCTGATACATGCATTAGGAATTTCCTACATAGTCAGCAAGTTAGCTAGTAAAGGAAAGTTTAGTTTCTAATTTAAAACTATTTTAAACGTGTATAGCATTTAAAATACTAAAGTTACTTTGTTTTTTGGTTAAGGATTTTAGATGGCATTTTTACCTATGATAGCTATTTTGATTAATAAAGGAATTGTGAATGTCATTTGGGGAAGCCTGTTGTTTCCCATTTTGGCTTAAAGATAAACAACCGATGTGTAAAACACAGGCAGATTTTTATCTACTGCACAAAATAGAATTCTCTTTCAAAAAGTTTTGTTTGCATAATTGTCATTTTAGTCACAATTGTGTTTCCTACTTGATGATGAGAAACACTGAATTAACCAGGGAAGAGAAAATATTGTAGAGACTATGGAGTCACACCAACTGGATTCCATAGTGACTAAGGAGTCACACCAACTGGATCTGCACTTATTGTGCCAACAAGTTACCACATCTCATCCTGCCTCCATTAATTGATCTGTAAATGTGTAATTATTTATAGTGGTACTGTGCTAATGTTAACCTTGAAAACACTTAAAAGCTGTGCATATGATATTCAAGTATTTTCTTATGTTAATTATGTGATTTTTTTACTACCATAGGCTATTACTAATTTTATTGATACTAGAAAAATTATGTGTATGGCTGTATCTATTTAGAAGACTGTAAGATGATCATATACACACTTGAATTATAAAAGAATGAAATGTTTAAAGCTAGTTTCATGTACGCATTTATGTCCCTTCTGGTTTTCCTAGTAATTAAGAGCTCATGCTTTCAAATCAGACTACCTGTGCTTGAGTCTCAGCCATTCCACTGACTAGAAATATAGTCTAATATTAGTATGGAAGTTCCTCATTTATAAAATGATGTTAAGAACAGCACCAACCTCACTGGATTGCTGATGGGATTATACAAATTAATGCATATAAAGTATATAGGACAACATCTAGCACATAACTAGTGCTCAACAGTCCAAAATAAATCTTGAATGTGTATGTGTATTTATGTAATATTTGACAACATTAATATCATTTTAAAGGTTCTAAAGAGGAATTGTAAACTTATTAGCCAGAAATACGGTCATATGCAGGCATTTCCTATATAATATATTATTATAAGTTGAAGTTAATAATATGTTAGAATTCTGTAGACAAGGTAATAGAAAATCTGCCTTGTCAATCTCAATGGCTTAACATAATACATTTTACTACTAATCATTACATAGTCTAATGAGATTGGAAGTTATGGTAGAGGGTCTTTATGAAATCACTAAGGGGTACAGTTTCTTTCAATCTAGAATTACGACCATCTTTTACATTCTACTCCAAGACTATACCAGAAGGAAAAGGCATAGGGCAGGATTCTTTATGGAATATATTTATAAATGAGACCTAGAGCTGGTTTACATTACTTTTTTCTTGCAATTTTTTGGCCAGAACTAGATGCAGCTGGACTTAGGAAATATGTTCTTTCTATGTATTCAGGAGGAAAACGAAGTAAATGCTATGTGTTCATCATATTTCACACTATTATAAAAATTAC
Organism: Homo sapiens; assembly: GCF_000001405.40. NCBI lineage: Eukaryota > Metazoa > Chordata > Mammalia > Primates > Hominidae > Homo > Homo sapiens. The sequence goes on along the minus strand of NC_000014.9, from coordinate 40,962,888 downwards.
AATTGTATTACCAACTTCATATAATTTTTCTACAAGTCATACTTACCATCTAATGTTGCTGAAGCATGTGAGGGCAGCTCTATAAAAACAATACAAAACCTGGAACAACAAAAAGTGATCATGAATATGTTGGTGCAAATGATGAATCATTAAATTATTTTAACAGTATGATGTTTCTTACAGCTGATTGTAAAATAAACCAGTAATAACTATTTCTGAAGCTTGGTTCCTGAAAATAACATTATATATTATAACCCTGTAAAAATGCTAACAGAGAATGTGCTAGCAGCCATCATTCATTCTCTATATTTTTAAGAGTTCTGGTAAGTGATCACTCCATAAAGTAATTATGTCAGCAAAAGTATTGCCAAATACAACATTTTTCTTCTTTTAGGCATATCATATTCAAAATATAATGACTGAAAAATTCATGGCTGAGTCTTTATAGTGTTTCTATTCACAGAAATGATCAGTACTTGCCCATATAAAGCTAAGTGTTGCAACATTTATTTCTCTATCTGATAATAATTTTATCAGATTACAATATTTGCTACAATATTATAATTTATTTGCATAGAGAGTGAGCCATATTGTAATTGCATTATATCATAAAGTGTTTTAGAAAAAACTTTGAGTCTTTTTCTTGCCCAATTTTCTTTAACATTTATTTTGAGGTATTTTAACAGCTTTATTGAGGTATGATTTAAACAAAACATTCATACATAGTTATTTACAATTCAATAAATTTTAGTTATTTACAATTTAATAAGTTTATAGAGTTGCACAACCAACATGGTCTAATTTAAATTTTCCATTGAACCTGCTGAAAGCCAATCCTCACATCCATCCCCATCCCCAGGTTACTATAGATATGATTTCTATTTACCTAAATTTGTTCTGAACATTTTATGTAAACGAGGACATATAATACATAGTATTTTGTGTCTTGCTTCCTTCATAAAGACTTTGAAGTCAATTCATCTTCCAGATGTATAATTTATTCCTTATTATTTATTTATAGTATTCCATTACGTGGATATATCACATTTGTTTATCCATTCACCAGTTGGGTTTCTACTTTTTAGCTATTATGAACAATGCTTCTATGAACATTGGCATATTAAGCTTTGAGTGGAGAGTGTATCTAGCATTTCAATTCTCTTGGATAGATTTTTAGGACAAAAATTGCTGGTCATATGATAAGCTTATGTTTAGCTTTTTAAGAAACAGATGGACTTTTGCAAAGAGGTTGTACTATTTTTATTTGCACCAGCAATTTAGGAGGGCTCCAGTTTCTTGAAAACCTTATAATACTTGGCATTGACTATCTTTTATATCATGGTCCTTCTGGTTATTTTATAATAAGATATCATTGTGATTTTAATTTTTAATTTCCTATTGCCTAATGATGTTGCAAACATTTTATAATGCTTAATAAAAATTTGTATGTCTTTCTTGATGAAAAGCTTATTTAAATGTCTTGTCTATTTTTTGAATTGGATTGTTTCCTCATTATTTTTGAGTTGCAAGATTTATTTATGTATTCTGGATAAAAATTGTCCATTAGATATATGATTTGCAAAAATATTCTATTTTAGCTTATTCTTTAATGTTTCTGAAGGCAATTTTAATATATGCATCTTTATACCTCTCTGAATAACATAGGTATTTTGCTTTTCAAGAAAGAGTTCAATGTCTATTTTGTCAGACATTTTCCTCTGTATATATGTACAAGGATAAAACCTGTGATCTAGTTAGATACATATATCTTTATTTTCCTTATGTGTATTTGAGTTTTACATTAAAACCTAGCTTTCTATGACTTTTCATGGTTTCTAAACTTCCTTAAGATTTTATTACATACAGAAGTGATGATGGTAGAGAGACAAGAAGTTGGAGTCCTATGGTCAGGCCCATCTCAGAGATCTTGTTTCTAATAAATCCAACTTATGACTCTTGTGCTATTCCATATGTACTATTTATATTTTTTGCCATATCAATCCAGAAAATAATTTCATACCTTTTATAATTTCCACAAAACAAATAGATTAAACACTAAATAATATGGCTTGGCTGTGTCCCCACCCAAATCTCATTTTGAATTGTAGCTCCCATAATTCCCATGTGTTATGGGAGGGACCTGGTGGGGAATCACTGAATCATGTGGATGATATTCCCCATACTGTTTTCATGATAGTGAATAAGTTTCACAAAATCTGATGGTTTTATAAGGGGTTTCTCCTTTCACTTGGTTCTCATTCTCTCTTGCCTGCAACCATGTAAGATGTGCCTTTCACCTTCAGCCATGATTGAGCCACATGGAAATGTGAGTCCATTAAACCTATTTTTCTTTACAAAGTACCCATTTTTGGGTATGTCTTTATCAGCAGCATGAAAACAGACTAATACAATAAATCGGAACCAGGAGTGGGGTGCTACTGTAAAGATACCTGAAAATGTGGAAGCAACTTTGGAACTGTGTAAAAGGCAGAGTTTGGAACAGTTTGGAGGGCTCAGGAGAAGACACGAAAATGTGGGAGAGTTTGGAACTTCCTAGAGACTTGTTGAATGGCTTTGACCTAAGTGCTGATAATGATATGGACAATGAAATCCAAACTGAGGTGGTCTCAGATGGAGATGAGGAATTTCAGTGGAACTGGAATAAAGGTGACTCTTGCTATGTTTTAGCAAAGAGACTGGCAGCATTTTGCTCCTGTCCTAGAGATTTGTGGAACTTTGAACTTGATGGAGATGATTTAGGGTATCTGGCAGAGGAAACTTCTAAGCAGCAAAGCATTCAAGATGTGACTTGGGTGCTGTTAAAAACCATTCTGTTTTAAAAGGAAAACAGTATAAAAGTTCAGAAAATTTACAGCTTGATGATGTGATAGATAAAAAACATTTTATGAGGAGAAATTCAAGTTGGCTGCAGTAATTTGCTTAAGTAATGAGAAGACAAATGTTAATTGCCAAGACAATGGGGAAAATGTTTCCAGGGCATGTCAGAGACTTTCAGGGCGGCCCCTCCCATCACAAGCCCAGGGGTCAAAGAGGACAAAATATTTTTGTGGGCTGGGCCCGGGGCCCTCCTGCTGTATGCAGCCTAGGGACTTGGTGCCCTATGTCCCAGCTGCTTCAGCTGTGGCTAAAGGGGCCAGTGTACAGCTCAGGTCATGGCTCCAGAGGGTGCAAGCCCCAAGCCTTGGCAGCTTCCACGTGGTGTTGAGCCTGCAAGTATACAGAAGTCAAGAACTAAGGTTTCAGAATCTCTGCCTGAATTTCAGAGGATGTATAAAAAACCTGGATGCCCAGGCAGAAGTTTGCTGTAGGTGCAGGGCCCTCATGGAGAGCCTCTGCTAGGGAAGTATAGAATGGAAATGTGGAGTTGATGCCCTTACACAGTGTCCCCACTGGGGCACTGATTAGTGGAGCTGTGAGAAGAGGGCCACCATTCTCCAGACCCCAGAATGAAAGATCCACTGTCAGCTTGCACCCTGTGCCTGGAAAAGCCACAGACACTCAACGTCAGCCCATGAGAGCAGCCTGGTGGGAGGCTGTACCTGCAGCCTGCAGCAAAGTCACAGGGCCAGAGCTGCCCAAGACCATGGGAACCCACCTCTTGCATCAGTGTGACCTGGATGTGAGACATGGACTCAAAGAAGATCATTTTGGAGCTTTATGATTTGACTGCCTTTCTGGATTTTGGAATTACATGGAGTCTGTAGCCCCTGTGTTTTGTCCAATTTCCCCTATTTGGAATGGGCATATTTAATCAATGCATGTAGCCCCATCGTATCTAGGAAGTAACAAACTTGCTTTTGATTTTACCGGCTCATTGGCAGAAGGAACTTGCCTTGTCTCAGATGAGACTTTGACCTATGGACTTTTGGGTTAATGCTGAAATGAGTTAAGACTTTGTGGGACTTCTGGGAAGGCATGACTGGTTTTGAAATGTGAGGACATGAGATTTGGGAGTGGCCAGGGGTGGAATGATAAGTTGTGACTGTGTACCAACCCAAATCTCATCTCAAATTGTACTCCCATAATTCTCACATGTTGTGGGAGGAAACTGGTGGGAGATAATTGAATCATGCGGGTGGTTTCCCCCATACTGTTCTCATGGTACTGAATAAGCCTCACAAGATCTGATGGTTTTATAAGTGGTTTGCCTTATTGCTTGGCTCTCATTCTCTTTGTCTGCCACCATGTAAGATGTGACTTTGCTCCTCCTTGCCTTCCTCCATGATTGTAAGGCCTCCCCAGCCATGTGGAACTGTGAGTTCATCGAATCTTTTTTTCTTGACAAATTAGCTAGTTTTGGGTACATCTTTATCAGCGGTGTGAAAATGCACTAATACACTGCATAAGACACCTTTGAATTTTAAAGTTATTAATTTGTTTTGCCCTCACATCCATGACATTAAATTTAAATTTAACATTGTCCATCTGTGTTCTTTAAAGTCCATAGAATATTCATCTGCTTGGGAATTTTCCTAGGATATCTGTACCACATACTCTTCCATTTATATTAATATCTTCTGTTATTTCTTATCTCCTTCAAAGAATACTTTTTTAACCTTTTAAGAAGAAGAGCATCGTAACTGTCCTTTATTTTTCAGATTTATACACAGTCATATTTTTGCTAAGGGCCTTTGTTTCTATTGTAACAATCTTAAAATATTTCCCAAGTAAACTCTCTAAGAAGAACTCTGCAGCTAACTATTAAAAGAACAAAGCTCAGACTTCCAATTCTGGACAAGATGGAGTATCCCATGCCTTCCAGGTTCTTCCTCTTACAAACAAGTACTCTAGACATAGCAAAACAAACAAGCTTATGAAGACTGTGTATAGTGAAATGAAGCAAATGGATGGGCTGGTAAATTTAGAACCTGAGGAACAATGTGGTAGTGAGTCTCCTGTATATCTTTATTATATGCCGTATTACTCAGTCAGAGTGCTGCAGAAACTTCCGACTGGGAACTGCCATCGGGTGCAGCTAAAGTAGATCCAAGAAAGCAGTGTTCTCCCTAGCTAAAAGTCCCAAAAGTGTGTCCTAACAACTCAAAAATCTTTCTTAGCAATGCTTACTCTAACTCCAGCCAAACACTAATGGAAAAAGAAAATGGATACACATTTATACACCTCATCTTCTCTCTCTCACCTTCAACCGCAACAGTTTCAGGCAGAAATACTCTGATTCCTCTACCTAGTGAGTGTTGATAAGGCCATGCAAAGACCTATATTTTAGCCAGTTCCTCTCCCACACACACAGAAGGTAATGACACTACAAATTATCCACTGTGTGTTGTTGGTATAGAGCTGATCTTCAGTTGTCTGCTAGAAAGAGGCAGTCAATTCTCTGATTCTCTAGCTAGTGGAGTCCAGGAGCAAACTGAGCCTCCTTCCTTAAACAGAAGCAACAAGACTTATGAAGGTGGCAGTAGGTAGGACAAATAAAAGCGCTATGAATCAGTAATTTAAAAACCTACCAACGGGAAAACAGCCCTGGACCAGACAGAGTCACAGCTGAATTCTACCAGAGGCAAAAAGAAAAGCCAGTCACAATCCTACTGATACTATTCCAAAAATTCAAGGAGGAGGAACTCCTCCCTAGCTCATTCTATAAGGCCAGCATCATCCTGATACCAAAATCTGGCAAAGACAAAATGAAAAGATAAAACTTCTAGTATCCCTGATGAACACAAATGCAAAAATCCTCAGTAAAACACTAGCAATCCAAATCTAGAAGCACATCAAAAAGCTAATCCAACCATGACCAAGTAGGTTTTATTCCTGCCATGCAAAGTTGGTTTAACCTGTGCAAATCTAACTGTGATACATCACATAAACAGAACTAAAAACAATAACCACATGATCATCTTAATAGGCACAGAAAAGGCTTTTGATAAAATTCAACATTCCTTCATGTTAAAAACCCTCAATAAATTCACGTTAAAAAACCCTCAACAACAACTTCATGTTAAAAAAACTTCAACATCAGGCATTAAAGAAACTTACTTCAAAATAATTAGGGCCATCTATGACAAACACGCAGCCAAAATTATACTGAACGAGCAAAAGCTAAAAGTATTCCTTTTGAGAACTGGAAGAAGAAAAGGAAAACGACTCTCACCACTCCTGTTCAACATACTACTGAAAGTCCTAGCCAGAGCAATCAGTCAAGAGAAAGAAATAAAAGGCACCCAAATAAGAAGACAGAAAATCAAACTATCTCTCTTCACAGAAGATATGATATAATAGTATATCTAAAAAGCCCTTAGTCTCTGCTCAAAGACTACTAGATGCAAAACAATTTTAGCAAAGTCTCAGGATACAAAATCAATATATAAAAATCAGTAGCATTTCTACATCCCAAAAACATCTAAGCTGAGAGTCAAATCAAGAATGCAAACCCATTAGCAATTGCCACAAAAAGAAAAAAAAAACTAAAAATACAGCTAACCAGGGAGGTAAAAGATCGCTATAATGAGAATTATAAAACACTGCTGAAAGAAATCAAATGATGCAAACAAATTGGAAAACATTCCATGCTCATGGATAGAAAGAATCAATATTGTTAAAATGGCCATACTGCCCAAAGCTACATACAGATTCAGTGCTGTTCCCATCAAACTATCAAGCACAGGAATTAGAGACCAACCTGGGTAACATGGCAAAACCCTATCTCTACAAAATTTACAGAAAATAGCCAGGCATCCTTGGGAGCCTGAGGCAAAAGGATCACTTGAGCCCATTAGTTCAAGCTGCAGTGAACCATGTTCATGCCACTCCACTCCAGCATGGGTGGCAGAGTGAGACCCTGTCTCAACAACAACAACAACAACAATCAATCAATCAATAACACTTTTCACAGAAATAGAAAAAAAAAATCTAAAATTCATTTGGAACCAAAAAGGAGCCTGAACAGCCAAAGCAATCCTAGATAAAGGCAACAAAGTTGAGACATCACACTACCTGACTTCACACTATACTACAAAGGTACAATATGTGTGCAAAAACAGACACATAGGCCAATAAAACAGGTTAAAAAACCCAGAAATAAAGCTGCATACCTACGACCATCTGGTCTTCGACAAAGCTGACAAAAACAAGTAATGAAGAAAGGACTCCTTATTCACTAAAGGCTGCTGTAATAACAGGCTAGCCATATATAGAAGATTAAAATTGAACTCTTACATTTCACCATATATAAAAATCCACTCTAGATGGATTAAAGACTTAAATGTAAAACCTATAACTGTAATGATCCTAGAAGGTAATCTGGAAAATATTTTTCTGGACATCAGCCTATACAAAGACTCCATAAAAAAGACTCCAAAAGCAATTGCAACAAAACTAAAAATTGACTATTAGGACCTAATTAAAATAAAGAATTTCTGCACAGCAAAATAAACTATCAACAAAGTAAATGAACAATCTAAAGAATAGGAGAAAACATTTGCAAATGTTTCTTTGTTGGCTTATCCATCTGACAAAGTCTTAATATCAAGAATCTGTAAGGAACTCACGTAAGTCAACAAACAAAACACAAACAACCCCGTTAAAATGGCAAATGGCCAAGGAACTGAACAGACCCTTCTTGGAAGAAGACATACAGGAGTCCAACAAGCATTTGAAAAAATACTCTATCACTAATCATTAGGGAATGCAAATCAAAATCACAATGAGAAACAATCTCATTCCAGTCAGAATGGCTATTAATAAAAAGTCAAAAAATAACAGAGGTTATTTTTTGGTGGTTTGCTTGTGAGTTTACAGAGAAAAGGGAATGCTTATACACTGCTGGTGGGATTGCAAGTTAGTTCAGGCATTGTGGAAAGCAGTCTGGAGATTTCTCAAAGAACTTAAAATAGAACTACCATTAGACCCAGCAATCCCATTACTGGGTGTATAACCAAGGGAATATGAATCTTACCACCATAAAAACAAATGCGGAGGAGCCAAGATGGCCGAATAGGAACAGCTCCAGTCTACAGCTCCCACCGTGAGCGACGCAGAAGACGGGTGATTTCTGCATTTCCATCTGAGGTACCGGGTTCATCTCACTAGGGAGTGCCAGACAGTGGGCGCAGGTCAGTGGGTGCGCGCACCGTGTGCGAGCCGAAGCAGGGCGAGGCACTGCCTCACTCAGAAAGCGCAAGGGGTCAGGGAGTTCCCTTTCCGAGTCAAAGAAAGGGGTGACGGACGGCACCTGGAAAATCGGGTCACTCCCACCCGAATACTGCGCTTTTCCGGCGGGCTTAAAAAAACGGCGCACCACGAGATTATATCCGGCACCTGGCTCGGAGGGTCCTACGCCCACGGAGTCTCGCTGATTGCTAGCACAGCAGTCTGAGATCAAACTGCAAGGCGGCAGCGAGGCTGGGGGAGGGGCGCCTGCCATTGCCCAGGCTTGATTAGGTAAACAAAGCAGCCAGGAAGCTCGGACTGGGTGGAGCCCACCACAGCTCAAGGAGGCCTGCCTGCCTCTGTAGGCTCCACCTCTGGGGGCAGGGCACAGACAAACAAAAAGACAGCAGTAACCTCTGCAGACTTAAATGTCCCTGTCTGACAGCTTTGAAGAGAGCAGTGGTTCTCCCAGCACGCAGCTGGAGATCTGAGAACGGGCAGACTACCTCCTCAAGTGGGTCCCTGACCCCTGACCCCCGAGCAGCCTAACTGGGAGGCACCCCCCAGCAGGGGCACACTGACACCTCACACGGCAGGGTATTCCAACAGACCTGCAGCTGAGGGTCCTGTCTGTTAGAAGGAAAACTAACAAACAGAAAGGACATCCACACCAAAAACCCATCTGTACATCACCATCATCAAAGACCAAAAGTAGATAAAACCACAAAGATGGGGAAAAAACAGAACAGAAAAACTGGAAACTCTAAAAAACAGAGCGCCTCTCCTCCTCCAAAGGAACGCAGTTCCTCACCAGCAACAGAACAAAGCTGGATGGAGAATGACTTTGACGAGCTGAGAGAAGAAGGCTTCAGACGATCAAATTACTCTGAGCTATGGGAGGACATTCAAACCAAAGGCAAATAAGTTGAAAACTTTGAAAAAAAATTAGAAGAATGTATAACAAGAATAGCCAATATAGAGAAGTGCTTAAAGGAGCTGATGGAGCTGAAAACCAAGGCTCGAGAACTACGTGAAGAATGCAGAAGCCTCAGGAGCCGATGCGATCAACTGGAAGAAAGGGTATCAGCGATGGAAGATGAAATGAATGAAATGAAGGGAGAAGGGAAGTTTAGAGAAAAAAGAATAAAAAGAAATGAGCAAAGCCTCCAAGAAATATGGGACTATGTGAAAAGACCAAATCTACGTCTGATTGGTGTACCTGAAAGTGATGGGGAGAATGGAACCAAGTTGGAAAACGCTCTGTAGGATATTATCCAGGAGAACTTCCCCAATCTAGCAAGGCAGGCCAACGTTCAGATTCAGGAAATACAGAGAACGCCACAAAGATACTCCTCGAGAAGAGCAACTCCAAGACACATAATTGTCAGATTCACCAAAGTTGAAATGAAGGAAAAAATGTTAAAGGCAGCCAGAGAGAAAGGTCGGGTTACCCTCAAAGGGAAGCCCATCAGACTAACAGCGGATCTCTCAGCAGAAACCTACAAGCCAGAAGAGAGCGGGGGCCAACATTCAACATTCTTAAAGAAAAGAATTTTCAACCCAGAATTTCATATCCAGCCAAACTAAGCTTCATAAGCGAAGGAGAAATAAAATACTTTACAGACAAGCAAATGCTGAGAGATTTTGTCACACCAGGCCTGCCCTAAAAGAGCTCCTGAAGGAAGTGCTAAATATGGAAAGGAAAAACCGGTACCAGCCCCTGCAAAATCATGCCAAAATGTAAAGACCATCAAGACTAGGAAGAAACTGCATCAACTAACGAGCAAAATAACCAGCTAACATCATAATGACAGGATCAAATTCACACATAACAATATTAACTTTAAATGTAAATGGACTAAATGCTCCAATTAAAAGACACAAACTGGCAAATTGGATAAAGAGTCAAGACCCATCAGTGTGCTGTATTCAGGAAACCCATCTCACATGCAGAGACACACATAGGCTCAAAATAAAAGGATGGAGGAAGATCTACCAAGCAAATGGAAAACAAAAAAAGGCAGGGGTTGCAATCCTAGTCTCTGATAAAACAGACTTTAAACCAACAAAGATCAAAAGAGACAAAGAAGGCCATTACATAATGGTAAAGGGATCAATTCAACAAGAAGAGCTAACTATACTAAATATATATGCACCCAATACAGGAGCACCAAGATTCATAAAGCAAGTCCTGAGTGACCTACAAAGAGACTTAGACTCCCACACATTAATAATGGGAGACTTTAACACCCCACTGTCAACATTAGACAGATCAACGAGACAGAAAGTCAACAAGGATACCCAGGAATTGAACTCAGCTCTGCACCAAGTGGACCTAATAGACATCTACAGAACTCTCCACCCCAAATCAACAGAATATACATTTTTTTCAGCACCACACCACACATATTCCAAAACTGACCACAAACTTGGAAGTAAAGCTCTCCTCAGCAAATGTAAAAGAACAGAAATTATAACAAACTATCTCTCAGACCACAGTGCAATCAAACTAGAACTCAGGATTAAGAATCTCACTCAAAACCACTCAACTACATGGAAACTGAACAACCTGCTCCTGAATGACTACTGGGTACATAACGAAATGAAGGCAGAAATAAAGATGTTCTTTGAAACCAACGAGAACAAAGACACAACATACCAGAATCTCTGGGACGCATTCAAAGCAGTGTGTAGAGGGAAATTTATAGCACTAAATGCCCACAGGAGAAAGCAGGAAAGATCCAAAATTGACACCCTAACATCACAATTAAAAGAACTAGAAAAGCAAGAGCAAACACATTCAAAAGCTAGCAGAAGGCAAGAAATAACTAAAATCAGAGCAGAACTCAAGGAAATAGAGACACAAAAAACCCTTCAAAAAATTAATGAATCCAGGAGCTGGTTTTTTGAAAGGATCAACAAAACTGATAGACCGCTAGCAAGACTAATAAAGAAAAAAAGAGAGAAGAATCAAATAGACGCAATAAAAAATTATGAAGGGGATATCACCACCGATTCCACAGAAATACAAGCTACCATCAGAGAATACTACAAACACCTCTACGCAAATAAACTAGAAAATCTAGAAGAAATGGATAGATTCCTCGACACATACACTCTCCCAAGAGTAAAGCAGGAAGAAGTTGAATCTCTGAATAGACCAATAACAGGATCTGAAATTGTGGCAATAATCAGTAGCTTACCAACCAAAAAGAGTCCAGGACCAGATGGATTCACAGCCGAATTCTACCAGAGGTACAAAGAGGAACTGGTACCATTCCTTCTGAAACTATTCCAATCAATAGAAAAAGAGGGAATCCTCCCTAACTCATTTTACGAGGCCAGCATCATTCTGACACCAAAGCCAGGCAGAGACACAACAAAAAAAGAGAATTTTAGACCAATATCCTTGATGAACATTGATGCAAAAATCCTCAATAAAATACTGTCAAACCGAATCCAGCAGCACATCAAAAAGCTTATCCACCATGATCAAGTGGGCTTCATCCCTGGGATGCAAGGCTGGTTCAATATACACAAATCAATAAATGTAATCCAGCATATAAACAGAGCCAAAGACAAAAACCACATGATTATCTCAATAGATGCAGAAAAAGCCTTTGACAAAATTCAACAACCCTTCATGCTAAAAACTCTCAATAAATTAGGTATTTATGGGACGTATTTCAAAATAATAAGAGCTATCTGTGACAAACCCACAGCCAATATCATATTGAATGGGCAAATGGAAGCATTCCCCTTGAAAACTGGCACAAGACAGGGATGCCCTCTCTCACCACTCCTATTCAACATAGTGTTGGAAGCTCTGGCCAGGGCAATTAGGCAGGAGAAGGAAATAAAGGGTATTCAATTAGGAAAAGAGGAAATCAAATTGTCCCTGTTTGCAGACGACATGACTGTATATCTAGAAAACCCCATTGTCTCAGCCCAAAATCTCCTTAAGCTGATAAGCAACTTCAGCAAAGTCTCAGGATACAAAATCAATGTGCAAAAATCACAAGCATTCTTATACACCAACAACAGACAAACAGAGAGCCAAATCATGAGTGAACTCCCATTCACAATTGTTTCAAAGAGAATAAAATACCTAGGAATCCAACTTACAAGGGATGTGAAGGACCTCTTCAAGGAGAACTACAAACCACTGCTCAAGGAAATAAAAGAGGATACAAAGAAATGGAAGAACATTCCATGCTCATGGGTAGGAAGAATCAATATCGTGAAAATGGCCATACTGCCCAAGGTAATTTACAGATTCAATGCCATCCCCATCAAGCTACCAATGCCTTTCTTCACAGAATTGGAAAAAACTACTTTAAAGTTCATATGGAGCCAAAAAAGAGCCCACATCGCCAAGTCAATCCTAAGCCAAAAGAACAAAGCTGGACGCATCACACTACCTGACTTCAAACTATACTACAAGGCTACAGTAACCAAAACAGCATGGTACTGGTACCAAAACAGAGATATAGATCGATGGAACAGAACAGAGCCCTCAGAAATAACGCTGCATATCTACAACTATCTGATCTTTGACAAACCTGACAAAAACAAGCAATGGGGAAAGGATTCCCTATTTAATAAATGGTGCTTGGAAAACTGGCTAGCCATATGTAGAAAGCTGAAACTGGATCCCTTCCTTACACCTTATACAAAAATCAATTCAAGATGGATTAAAGAGTTAAATGTTAGACCTAAAACCATAAAAACCCTAAAAGAAAACCTAGGCATTACCATTCAGGACATAGGCGTGGGCAAGGACTTCATGTCTAAAACACCAAAAGCAATGGCAACAAAAGACAAAATTGACAAATGGGATCTAATTAAACTAAAGAGCTTCTGCACAGCAAAAGAAACTACCATCAGAGTGAACAGGCAACCTACAAAATGGGAGAAAATTTTCGCAACCTACTCATCTGACAAAGGGCTAATATCCAGAGTCTACAATGAACTCCAACAAATTTACAAGAAAAAAACAACCCCATCAAAAAGTGGGCAAAGGACATGAACAGACACTTCTCAAAAGAAGACATTTTATGCAGCCAAAAAATACATGAAAAAATGCTCATCATCACTGGCCATCAGAGAAATGCAAATCAAAACCACAATGAGATACCATCTCACACCAGTTAGAATGGCAATCATTAAAAAGTCAGGAAACAACAGGTGCTGGAGAGGATGTGGAGAAATAGGAACACTTTTACACTGTTGGTGGGACTGTAAACAAGTTCAACCATTGTGGAAGTCAGTGTGGCGATTCCTCAAGGATCTAGAACTGGAAATACCATTTGACCCAGCCATCCCATTTCTGGGTATATACCCAAAGGACTATAAATCATGCTGCTATAAAGACACATGCACACGTATGTTTATTGCGGCATTATTCGCAATAGCAAAGACTTGGAACCAACCCAAATGTCCAACAATGATAGACTGGATTAGGAAAATGTGGCACATATACACCATAGAATACTATGCAGCCATAAAAAATGATGAGTTCATGTCTTTCGTAGGGACATGGATGAAATTGGAAATCATCATTCTCAGTAAACTATCGCAAGAACAAAAAACCAAACACTGCATATTCTCACTCATAGGTGGGAATTAAACAATGAGATCACATGGATACAAGAAGGGGAATATCACACTCTGGGGACTGTTGTGGGGTGGGGGGAGGGTGGAGGGATAGCACTGGGAGATATACCTAATGCTAGATGATGAGTTAGTGGGTGCAGCGCACCAGCATGGCACATGTATACATATGTAACTAACCTGCACAATGTGCACATGTACCCTAAAACTTAAAGTATAATAATAATAATAAAAAGAGAAATGCATATGTTTATTGCAGCACTATTCACAATAGCAATGACATGGAATCAACCTTAATGTCCATGAATGGTGGGCTGGATAAAAAAATGTGGTACCTACACCATGGAATACTACACAGCTATTTAAAAATAAAGTTGATCATGGCCTTTGTAGCAACATGGATGGAGCTAGAGGCCATAATCCTAAACAAACTGAAGCATGAACAGAAAATCAAATACTGCACGTTCTCACAGGTGAGAGCTAAATATTGAGGACATATGGACACAAAGAAGGGAATAAGACATTGGGGCCTAACTGAGAGTGGAGAATGAGACGAGAGTGAGGATTGAAAAACTACATATCAGGTATTACGATGATTATCTAGGTGTCAGTTTTATCTGTATACCAAAGCCACATGATATGCAATTTACCCATGTAACAAACCTACACATGTATCCCTTGAGTAAAAAATAAAAGTTGGAAAAAAAGAAGAAAAATTTAAAAATACAAAAATAAAGCTGCTATTATGAAAATGATCTAACAAGCAATTACAAATGCTTTGTAAACAAATTAAGAAATGAAAAATCTTAACAGTGAATTGGAAGTTTAAAAAAATTCACCTGAAAATTACAGAGCTGAAATATATGATAATAATAACAAAACTCACTTGATAAACTCAGTAGTGGAGTGAGAATGATAGAAGATAAATTAAGTGAACTCAAGTCCTGAACAAAAAAACTTACCTATTCTGAACAGCAAGGAGGAAATAAAAAATAAACAAAGGCCCTTGAACCAATGGGACAGTAACAAATGAATTAACATTAATATCATTGGAATCCCAATGAACAGTGAAGCAAGATCAAAATAGTCCTTAAAGAAATAATAGATGAAAACATGTCAAATTTGTCAAATGAGAATAGCCTTCAGAATCAAGAAGCAGAACACACCTAATATATAACAAACAGGACACATCATAATTAAAACTCTGAAAAATAAGCCCCTAAAAAACAAAAACAAAAATAAAAATAAAAATACCTTGAAAGCAGCCAAATAGAAATGGTACATTACTTATATGACATCCAATACCTCATCAAAAACAATGAGGCAAAAATATAAGTTCAATTACCCAAAGACTTTATTTATTTGTTAGTTTTCCTTTTAATGGTCAGGACCCTCAGCTGCAGGTCTGTTCTTTGTAGGGACGTGGATGAAGCTGGAAACCATCATTCTCAGCAAACTATCACAAGGACAAAAAACCAAACACCGCATGTTCTCACTCATAGGTTGGAATTGAACAATGAGAACACCTGGACACAGGCAGGGGAACATCACACACCGGGGCCTGTTGTGGGGTGGGGGGAGGGGGGAGGGATAGCATTAGGAGAAATACCTAATGTAAATGACGAGTCAATGGGTGCAGCACACCAACATGTCACATGTATACATATGTAACAAACCTGAACGTTGTGCACATGAACCCTAGAACATATATATATATACACACACACACACACACACACACATATATACACACACACACACACACACACATATATATATAAACAAAAACAGTTGGAAGCGCCAACAATAACAGCAACAAAAAGACTTTATTTATTTATTTATTTGTCTTTAATGCATCCAGTGTCCATTCAGTGCCTGGCAACATTTGATCCTTAGTAGAAAAAAACTCACTGAATCAACAATCTATTGAAAGTAGATTAACCCCAGAAGAGCTGAAGATATTTCATCAGAGTTTAAAGAAGATTACCTGTGTATTTTCGCTCAGGTGAAATCCAAATTCTTCCCTAAGATTTTCATATTTACCTCTAAATAGGGAACTTTCGTATACAATAATAAATTTGGTTTATGGATTATCACACTTTAAATGAAAAACCATTTTTATTCATTCTATATTAATCCAGATTTGTAAATATAATCTTGCTACAAAAAATAATAAAAAAAGAACACCAAGACCTGACTAAATATAATACTAATTAACAAAATTAACTAAAAATAACAGAGGATGTGTGAGTTTGGTTTATTTTACTGTAGATTTGACTGGTACAGGAGGAATTTTAACCACTGAAATGCAAAATAACGTCAACATAAACGCTAGACTTTTCCTAAATACCTTAATCAGCACAACCTATATTCAGTGATATAAATCAACATACCTGCCCATCTCATGCCAAGCTTAGAGTTCTCATTTTAGTCATGATTTTTCAAGTAAAAATTTTTTCCCTTTCTCAATGTGAACAACATAGCTACTACCACTTTCATTCTTTTGCCATGCCTCCAAGAGAAACATATTTTGAGATTTTTCACCTTCTACCCTCAATATTAATCAATTTATCCCTGAAAAATAATAGTGCCTTCTTAAGAAAATTTCTGTCCCAAGGTGCTAAGGTAATACACATTAATTCTATCTATCTATCTATCTATCTATCTATCTATCTATTATCTAGCTTTATTCCTGTGTTTATCAATCTAAACATATATATGCCATTCTGTTTGCCTGTTGTCCTTCTATTTCTCTCTCTGGCTGATTCTCTGCAGCTATGTTATCTGTATATCTCTGTCTGTCTGTCCATATGTCGGTCTATCCTTCTGTTAGTTTACTTTTTCTGTCTATCTTTGCCTGTTTATGCCTTCACATCTGTGTAAAGACAGAGTGCTATATATATAAACACACACTTGTCAGTTGTACGTGTATGTGTCTAAGTCTACCTTTCTATCATCTAATCTGTCTCTCTTTGTCTATTGTACATTTTCCTGTTTATTTGTCTGTGTGTCTCTGTCTGCCTATCCTTCTATCAGATTATTTAGCCATACATCTATCAGTGGAATCACTGAACCAAAATAGGTGTAAATATGTCATGTTTAAAACTAGCTATATAATATTCCTTTTCATTAACTTTACAAAATGTAGTTAACTGTCCTATTGTTTATGGACATTTAAGTAGTTTTTAAAATATCTGAAATAATCTGGCTTTAGAAATCATAGAATTCCACTCTGAGGACTTAATGCTATGAAAGTTTAGAAATTCACAAAAATAGTTTTTATACAATGGACTGTTCTTGATGTTAAAATATACAAAAGATTCCAATTTAAAGCATAGATCAACCTTTCAGTTATTTCATTCTTAACAAATAACATATTCAAAGGTTTTTTCACATTTTTAAACTGATTCAAAAAACTGATTCAAAAAAACATTATTTTTAGACAAGTTTCATTGAAGATTAAATGATATCAAGTTACTTGAGAGAAGCAAGTATATTTTACATACTGAAATATTATTAATGGATATATGTGAATTAATTATCTGCTAAAGATCTACAAGGATAACATTAAAACTTCAGTTTTCATGTAGAGGAGAATAGGCATAGGTCAAGTAAAATACTGCAGTGAACAAAATGTTATTTGCAAAATGTTAACTCTAATTATTTGCCAGCATTTTTAGTTCATTCAAAGCTACTGCTTAAACATCTAAATCATAGATCTGTGAAAAATCATCCAAAAAATGTAATTTGAAGCATCTCCTCAGATTTTCAGTGTTAAGATGAAGAAATATGAGTTTGATGGCAATTCAATTAGGCAAATTAGTAACACATCAAATGACCTTCATAGAAAGTGATAATTAAAGAATGAATGCCATCTTCTGGGAAGGATTTTAGTTATGTGCAAAGGGTTTCCTCTTTTCTCTGACCTATTCTACAATTTTAGATTAATGACCTAAATAAAGACATATCATTGTACTTTTAAAAGGTGCTAATGATAAAAATTTATGACAAAATTAGGATAAAATTTAGTTTTACACTATGGAATAAATTTTACAAAATTTTATTTAATGCCAATGCATGTAAAAAATCTGAATATTTATTTACAAATATAAATTCAAAATTGTCAAAGAAGATGACTGAAAAAAATCAGCTCTGAAAATCATATATTCAACACTTTATTAATTTATTCTCTATTTATTATGTATTTATGATGTACCAAATATTGATAGAACAATAAATTAATATATTTACTAGAATTATTAATGGGAATTGTGGATTAACTAGTAGTCTAATTACAAATAATTAATAGTATACCGATGAGATAACATACTCTAAGTAGATCTTCAAAATTCTATGATATGTTGATATCATCTCAAGTGTTATGTAAATTCAGGAATGCAAACAAAAAAGGTAACCTTCTTAAATTCCAGGAATGTATAAGGGGATTAGTTAAGAGGACCCAGGGCTTTTAACCTTGTTCCTTGGGGACCATTAAAAAAAAAAAACTGGAGGGTTTAGCTCAGAGAAATTGACGTCTCTAACATTGGAAAACTCTCTCCAGAAACGTAATTTATAAAAATTTGAAAAGTAGAAAAGGTGGATAGATTTGTTTTTAAGAAAATAATGGTCAATATGAAGGATTCATCAAATGGTGCTACTGTTTCCATAAAAAGAACTAAAAGTCATTTTTTCCTTTGAAACGAAATTGGCTTCCATTGCAAAATATAAAAAGAAATGATTTTTTTGTTTTTATACTACAAATGACATGTAACCTCAATTGGCTTCTTTGACAATTAAGGAATAAAATCTCAGATTCTAGTTTGTTCAAGCTACCAATCAGGACATAGTAAGTATGTTAAGTACTGATGGCGATTGAATTTTTAAAAACCAGCATGTTGTTTTTAAATAAAAAATTTTTAAAAATGAGTTAAAGCCAAAGTTGGTCTTTTTCCAGAAACATATGCTCAATTAGAATATCTTGAAAGACTATTTCCCTAAAAGCAACAAAACTATTTGAATTAATATATATTTAAAATTTTAATTTTATAAGATGTATAGATCAGACATATCCTCATGAAACTTTTGGTAATCCACCAATGGGTTTTTCCTTGCTAGTATCAAAAGCAATGTCTATCACAGTAATTGTCAAACTGAATTATACCCTGTGTTTACAATTGTCCCTCTAATGTGAACTTATTCAATGCAGAGACCAAAATCCATTATTAATTCCACAGTGTTTACAACAGCTGCGTATTGTAAATGCATAATAAATGATTTTGAATGCGCAAGAAACTTCTGTCCTTTTATTATTTTTATGGCATCTTGGAACATTGTTTCCAACATTAAAACAATGCAAATACTTTTAACTTTTGTCAATTTATGCATAAAGTTATATAAAATATAAATTATTTAGAGATCTTTCAATCTATCACATTGTTACACTTTTACATTTTTAGATTAATACTATGGATGATAAAAATAGGCATAAAGATGATTTAACAATTGCTGTGTAAGTTTTACCAGATATCAAATTTGATATTATTCCATAAGCTATTTTGATGCTGAGTCCAATTGGCTTTGCATTATACTTGCTTATTCTTTTCTATTAGAATACAGGGGTAATACAGATTCTGTTAGAGTGCACATGGTAAACTGATTATGTAAAGCAATGGGTCATTTACCATTCTAAGATGAAAAAAAGGTAGCTCAACTTAAATAGCTAACATTATTATTATATTGCATTTCATCAAAAAATAAATAAAGCACTAAAAGTTTTCTCATTACTCTTACTCATCAGAGTAAACATTTTGGTATCCACTATTACTATAGTGTCCTGCAATTACTATTAAATAAATGCTTTTATTTCAATCTATTTGATTAGCAGCCCTAGTGGAAAGGCTAGCTATTTAATGATGACAGAATCTTGGATAAAAGTAGATATTTAGGGAAGTGAAGTGAAGTGAAGGTCTATAATAACTAATTTATATTAAATATAATTACATGCACATAAAATAGGAAAAACTGGATTTTAAATTTAGCAAAACTAAATTCACATATATAAAAATATATAAATGAAATTAAATCATAAGCCATATTTTATAGATAGGTAGATAGATAAATAATAGTTCTTTTGAAACAACAAAAACATTATGGGGAAGAAATTGTTAACTTTATGATGTTATGATTTAAATTATAATATACTGCAATTAAAATTATTGCTATTTTTTTCAGAAATGTTAAATTGAGACAAATGAATTTCTTGAGGCCTGGCTCACTGTCATTCCATTGTAGTCGCATATTTTAACTTATTTGCCTATAAACAAGAAAATTAGAATAATTTATGATACATGAATTTAAAAATGATGTTTAAATTAATGACCATAAAAAATAACACAATATAGAAAGTTGATTAAGGGAAAAGAAATAAGTGTGTGCATATTTTAAAGGTAATTTCTACCATGATGTAATTTTCCTTTTCAATTGTCTCCCAGTGGTGCATATAAGAAATATCTACATATCATATTTTCATCCATTACAAAATATAGTCACAATATTATTATAAAAAGTACATATAGATATAGTTCATATCTGAGTAAGGTATTGTGTATCATGGGTCTCAACATTAATGTTTACTTCATTGTAAATAGGACTTCCAATATGCATGGAGAAAGTAAATCATAAAACAAAGCTGTACTTGCTATGAATCAGGTAGTTTTTGCAAGTTTTGAGTTCAATACTGTGAAAAGTTATCCATCTTTAAAGATTTATTATGTCTTAAAATCCCTATATAATTTTATAAACAAATTATTTTTATTGCTGAATAATGATTAAAACTAAAAAATATTTTGAACTAAACCTAGCAAAGAAAAAATGTGGTAAGTAAAATGAGAAAATAGGTAACATTTTGAAGGAAAGTATATGTAAATAGAGTCATGACACAGAGTGATGGTAAAATTAGTTTTGTGTCCTTATTTTAGAAATAGCCAAAGTTCATTTAAAATGCATAGAACAACGTGCAGCTATGTCCAGTTAGGATTCTCCTTGTAGAAAAAGAATCAGCGTTAGAATTTTCCTAGCAGAAGAAGAATCCAAGAATCAAAGGAGTTTTTAATTTGTAGAAAAATAATCAAAGTAATAGAATGGATAGAGATATATACAAGAAGATTGTGAGGAGAGCTGGTTCCCAAGATTATGGAGGGTGAGAAGGTTTATGATAGGTTGCTTGCAAATTGTAGATAAACCTAGCAGGCCAATAACATGGCTCAGTCCAAGGGTGAAGCCTTCAGACCCAAGTTGATGATGTAACATCTGGGTACAGTACAGTCTTTGAGCCTGACTGTAACATTCATTTAAGCAGAATAAAAATAGTGAGGAGCATGTTGTGTGTGTGTTTGTGTGTGTGCATATGTGCATAAACATTCAGATAGAAATTCCATGTTTTCATCAGGGTTGTACATATATCTAACCATCAGGAGTGACTTGTGCAAAGTATTCCATAGGTCCCATGCAGACCATTGTCAAAAGTCAGTCTTCACAGCAATCAGAGGGCATCAGACAGGATTACATGGAAACAAGCTGTGGATCAGCAGTTTGAAACCCATAGGGTTTGTTTCCACTATGAGCATTTTTTGTTTGTTTCCACTAGAGCTTTTTTCAAGACAAAGCTGAGAATTAAACACATGTTTCTTTCTGTATTTTGTTCTAATAATCATATTTCTCCTATAGACATTTTTTTTTTCTGTCACCCAGGCTGGAGTACAGTGGTGCAATCTTGGCTCACTGCAACCTCCCTTTCTGGACTGAAGTGATTCTCCTGCCTCAGCCTCTCAAGTAGCTGGAACTACAGGCATGTGCCATCACGTCTGGTTAATTTTTGTATTTTTTTTTATAGTAGAGGCGGGGTTTCACCACATTGGCCAGGCTGGTCTCAAACTCCTAACCTCAAGTGATCCACCCGCCTCAGCCTCTCAAAGTGCTGGGATTACAGGCGTAAGCCACCACACCTGGCCTTCTACAATTTAAGTGCCTCTGAGTAATTTACAGAAAGTGCCAATAAGTAAGCAAACAATTACTATTTCAAGATACTATATTGCTACCTATTTAGAGTTTGAGAGGTACGTACCAGAAGGAATAAATTTTGAAAAGTCATATTTTATTGTGCAAATCAACTGTAGACTACTTCTGATTCTCTGTGTTGATTTGATATTCAAAAGGATGATAAACAAATAATATAATGTCAATTGAGTAAGTCAGCCCTGGAGTCTTATGTATTTATGTGTTCATGAAATCTGTATCAGGGATGGGGAAGCTGCATGCATCTCATGGTATGGTGAAGAATCTCTAAGATCCTCTATTCAGTATAAAAATTCTATAACATGTTAAGAAGAAAATATTCAATTATTAGAATCCTTAAATGGACAAATATATGCTGTACATGATTAATCTTGATGAGACTATAATACACTCTTAAAATGCACATAAATTAAATGCAAAACTTATACTAAAGATATTTTTTAAAGAATTTAATTCTTGACTTTGGAGAGGAAGTGCTAAAGAAGCACAATGCTTTATCACAAAATATAGTTTCTTCCTTTAAGGCCAAATTTGATAGAACAGAATAATTTTATGAATTGCCTTGTGTTTTCATTATGATTTGAATGAGCTTCATTATAGTGTGGTCACTTGAAGTATTAACTTCTAAAAATAAAAAAATTATATACCAAAAATAGAATATAAATTATCCATGTTTGCTTTTATATTGCTTTTTACTTGCAGTAACAGACATAATCAAGAAGCTTCAGTTACACAAACTGAGCTAGTTCTAAAGATTTGCTGTAAAACTTTGTACCCGTAATTAACTATATGGTATTGTACACTTTTAAATATGTTAAAAGGATTGGTCTCACCTTGAGTGTTTTTACCACAAATACACATGCACACGCACACACAAGAAGATAACATTTTTGGAGGTAATGGATATGTTTAATACTTTGATTATGGTGTTAGTATCATGGGTGTATACATATGTCCAAGCTCATCAAAATACGTATTAAATACGTGCAATTTTATACATCAATTTACCTCAATAAAGCTTAAAAAGGCTAAATTAAAAAATGTTTTTGTATTAGGATTCTTCAGAGAAACAAAACCAATAGGATAGATGGATGGATAGATAGATCGATAGATAGATAGATGGAAACATATGAGACAAGATTTGTTAGAGGATGTGGTTCACACGATTATGGAGACTGAGTAGTCCTATGATAGATTGTTTGCAAATTGTAGAACCAGGAAGCCAATAACATGTCTCAGTCCAAGTGAAGGCCTCAAAACCCAAGTTGATGGTGTAACTCTCTGTCTAAGGCTGAATGTCTAAGCATCTGGCAAGCCACTGATGCAAGTTCTGGAGTTCAAACACTGGACAACCTGGAGTTCTGAGGTCCAAGGGCAGAAGAAGAAGAGTGTCTTAGATCCAGATGAGGGGAGGGGGAGGGATGGGCAGAAGTAAATCCCTCTGACTTTTTGTTTTATCTGGGCCCTCAGTGAATTAGATGGTGCTCACCCACAATGGGTGAGAGCAAGTCATCCTTATTCAATTCAGTGATTCAAATGCCAATCTCTTCCAGACACGCCCTCACAAACATGCCCAGAAATAATACTTTACCAGCTCTCTGGGATCCCTTAGTCCAGTCAAGTTGACACCTAAAATAACCATCACAGTTATAAAACAAGGATATTCTTGAAGTTAATTCGGATGTAACAAAACTCATACATTGCGTTTTCTAAAACTTTAAAAAAAGTGAAATTCTATTTAACTTTATTCTGTCAACTCTAACGGGTATATGAGTCGATTTTCAGATTTAACAGCTAAAATTCAGTTAACTACTAAGTTCCTGAATTACGAATGAAAGCTTAGGCTTGTAAAATGTGTTACTTTTCCCATGTCTAGATTTATTAATTTATACAATGGGTTTGAACTTTTTAATCAGATCTGCTAAATCTTCCATATACATTCATAAGATATTACCACATTAAAAACAATATATAATAAAACATCCACTCAGTCACATTTGAAAAACTGATACTTTTATTACTGCTTGTAGCCTAATTATAACAAATCAATATAGTCCTTTAGCTTAATTATTTTATTAGATTGTCTCTCCATTTTACACCTGCTGCATGAGTGACAGACTAGAACTTGGACTGACATAAGATGCTAGAGCTTGTGACTCCTAAATTAGTGTTGGACCTATTGCACCATGCTGTCTCTCATTAGCAATAAGTAGGTTATTTGTGGTATTACAATTATTCTACCATTTCAGGTTTCAAACTAATATTATTAGAAGCATATATAGTATTTATTTGTGAGATATACATGATTTAAAAATTCTGTGGCTTAAACATGCAGAACTGGGGAGAATATGCAAAGAATCAAAAATATCTGTGTTCCTCCTGAATCTTTCTTAGCTTGTGGCATTTTTTTTCATTGTCTCAAGATGGCTGTTTCAATTCTCTTCCTTGCAACCAAGTCTCAGTTTGGAAAAAGAGATAAACAGAGAAAGGTAAAGAGCAAAATGTATTAGACAATCTCTCATAGGATGAATAGATAGATAGGTAGATAGAAATATACATAAATGCATACGTGCATGTATGTATGCATAAAATATATGGATATATGTATGTATATACTCATATTGCACCAAGAACTTCTGTAAATATCTAATAGCCAGAAACATATCATGTGTTACACCAATAGCTGCTAGGAATAAAATACATCAATTTTATGTGGGAACAAAATCTTGTTTCTATTAGTAAGGGAAAAATGAGGAAATAAACATGGGTAAGAAATATGTAGTAACAACAAAATATGTATGTGCTTATACATATATTTTTTCAAGCAGCCTACTAATATATATATTTTTAAGCTTCCTACTAATATATATTTATATAAATTATATATATTATATATTAGGATTAATTATATAAATATATATTGTATAATGTATATAAAATATATAATATATAAGTATATTATTAATTATATATTTATATATAATATATAAATATATATTAATTATATATTTATATATTAGTAGCAGCTTGAAAAATAATAACCCAATGTATAGTTTATTTTGCAAGTAAACATAATTGGTCTTACTATATTTAAGAGTTATCTAATTTTCTGTTAAAATAGTCTAAGGAAATAGCTGTTCTGTGTTTTGCATCAGGAAGAAAACACAGAATATATTTCTTACCCTTACTTCTACAAAGACTGAGCAAGTTTCAAGGACTATAGAGCAAACTAAGAAAGTTGACAAGATACCAATAACTCTGAAAGAGGTGCTGTTAGGAAGGCTTCTGCTAGGGATATCAATTTGCCTCTGACTCCTTCTTTCCTTTATCTTCCACTTGAATCAATAGCTAAAACCTATCTATTTGGCTTTCACAATATCACCTGTTGTCATATCTTCTTTCTCTTCCTACTCCTAATGTCCTAGTTTCTTTCATTGTCTTGCACTGGACAGTTTTTCTAAACTGGTGATCTCAAGCACATCAATACATGTACCATAATAAAAGTCTTCCAGACATTTTACTTCAGAATTTCTTAGAGTTTTTAACACTACTCACAATTCTCTATTGTAGAATCTCTGAGAGAAGAATACAGTGTTTCTCAAGTATATGTTATCATATTTCACAGAACACAAAATATCCCTCATAACAGTGTCTGAGTAAAACAGAACAAAACAATTGAGTAAAACATGAATCCTGCACCTGAATTTTTACAATTTAGAAACAGAAAACCCTGACCTAAACTATAGGGAGAATCTTCAAATATTATTATTTTCTCTAGTTCCTTTTTCCTCTTCTTCTTTCCTATCTATCCTGCCCACCGATGATCAAATTATTTTTGTGTCATGTATTTGATTATGTTACCATATTCTTCTAAAATTTTCAGTGACCTGTTTTCATATCCAGAATAAGTTATTCAGGATAATGAAATGTAATTTCAATCTGTATTTCCAGCTGAGTTTTTAATCAGTCTTCATCTTCTGCTAATGGAATAGTGGAACATAACCAAACTGCCCACTGCCATGACCTTGGCATGCTGTTTCACACATCTGTGCTTTGTCAGTCCCTGCCTGAAATGTCTTTCTTTCAACTGCTAATCTCTGTGTGTCAAATGCATTTAAGACAAAATAAAAAATGTGTGTTTAATTCCCAAATTTACAAAGTATCTATTTTACTAATATAGCACATTGTTCATACCTGTATAACTATTATATTTAAACTTGACTATGGTTAGGTGTGAATATGCTATGTTACTAAAATTATGAAACATAACTGTAGAATCCGTGTTTTATTCAACTTGTGTTCCTATTTGCCACAAAACATAGTGTAGTACCTAATAGAAATATGCGTTTCGAAACTATTTATTGAATTTAATCCATGGTCACTACTATGACTCCTTCTGCCTTTATTCACTTCATAATTCGAAGGACTATAAAAGCATCAACAATTATCTTTTCCATTCCTCACTGACCCAAAGCAGACAGCTCCCTGACAACCAGGAGGGGCAATGAAATATGTCTCACTCTCTTGGAATCTGGGTTTCTATTTATTAAAAGTCTGTGTTGTATGAAATAAACACAATAACTGTATTTTCTTAAAAAGTAATTTCAGATATACAATTTTACCTGATCCGAAACACCCTAAGAGTTAAGCATTTGTATATATATTTATGTGTGTGTATGTATATATGTGAATATACATACATATGTCACCCATGAGCATACTCTAGAGAAGAATAATGCAGAATTATAACCGACTTGTTTTGACTGCAAATTCAAAGAGCTCTCTTTCCAAATTACCTGCACTTACAGGTGCAAGAATCATCGAAATGTGTTTTATTATACCTATATCTCAACATATTTTTAGAAGTTTGTAAAGAAAAAAAGGCAGGTCGCTATTCTTATCTTATTATGTTGAAAATACCTTTGTCATTTCTACCCAATTTGTGGCTCAGCTCCAACATCTTTAGGGAATACGGATTCAAGCATTTAAATTTGTATTGTGGTAGCTGAGTCACCTCTACAAATTACATCCTGAAAACAAATTAAAAAGTAATACATTTCAAAAATTCTCCACAGTATTCATATATATATATATCATCCAAAATTTAAAAAGACAAAATAAAGTTGTTTTATTTTTCTATTTTATTTTTCTGACCATTTACTTTAAAATATAATCTTGCATTTCGCATTATTTGTTAGCAGGTTTCTATGTATGAGACCCACATCAATACACGATGTATTTGTGTTGAGCAAAATAATTTATTTAAGAAATGTGTTTCATCATTGCTGTGGAAAAATATATTTTTTGGAGCATAACCAGGAGATTCTATCTTTACCTAAGTTCCAGTGGGACTTCATGGAGTGCTCAAAGAAATGTCTATATAGAAAGGCTTAACATGTTTAATCCAAGTTCAATATTTTAATTTAATCTGGTCAAAGAATATATATGGCTTTGTAGAATATGAAAATGAAGACTTTAAATTAACGTGAATGCATTTTACCTAAATCAAGGGACAGCTGTTTGGGAAAATAATACAGAACCCTTGTCTAAAAGTTCTGATAAGGGTTATGAGAAAAGTTCCCTAGGGATCTGTATTTTACTAAGTGTTGCTAGATGATATTTATTGATATCAAAGCTTGGAAAACATTTAATTTCTTTAATAAATGCTGGATATTAGACTTTTGTGTGATGCAGAGTTTGCAAAATTTTTTTCCCATTCTGTTGTAAAGTATGCATCCAACAAAGGTCTAATATCCTGCATCTATAAGAAACTTTAACAAATTTACAACAAAAAGAAACCAACCCCATTAAAAGTGGGCAATGGACATGAACAGACACTTCTCAAAAGGAGACATACATGCAGCCAACAATCTCATGAAAAAAGGCCCCAAGTCGCCGATCATTAGAGAAATGCAAATCAAAACCATAATGAGATACCAGCTCACACCAGTCAGAATGGTTATTTTAACAAGTTAAAAAATAAGAGATGCTGGCGAGGTTGTGGAGAAAAAGGAATACTTATACGCTGTTGGTGGGAATGTTAATTAGTTCAACCATTGTGGAAGACAGTGTGGCGATTCCTCAAGGACTTAAGACAGAAATACCCTCAACCCAGCAATCTCATTACTGGGTAGATACCCAGAGAAATATAAATCATTATATTATAAAGACACATGCACATGTAGTGTATGTTCACTGCACCACTATTCACAATAGCAAAGACATGGAATCAACTTAAATGCCCCTCAATGCTAAATTGGATAAAGAAAATGTGCTATATATACACCATGGAATACTATTAAAAAAAAACAAGATCATGTCCTTTGCAAGGAAATGGATGCAGCTGGAGGCCATTATTGTTAGCAAACTAAGGCAGGAACAGAAAACCAAATATCGCATGTTCTCATTTATAAGTGGGAGTTAAATGATGAGAACACATGGACACATTAGAGGGGGACAACACACACTGAGGCCTATTGGGGGATGGAGGGTGGCAGGAGGAAGAGTACCAGGAAAAATAACTAATGGGTACTAGGCTAACACCCCTATGACATAAGTTTTTCTATGTAACAAACCTGCAAATGTACTTTTGAACTTAAAAGTTTAAAAAATGTTTTCCAAAAGACTCTTAGCTATGTAAGAACTACCAGTTACACTTTTTGTTCTCCTCTTTAAAAATCAAGACAGCGAAATGTTTTTAGTAACCCAGTAGAACCTTAGTCAAAGTTTGCAAAGTGGAAAAAAAGAAGATAAAATGAGTAAATAGTTACGACTTTTTATAAATTGTGTCCTGAAATTAGATGAGGTATACTTGGTTTCCTGTCATTATGGGGCATTTAAAACATTGGACACAGTAATTCCTTCAAATTGACAGAAATATAAATTGGGGAAAAATGTAAAAGAAATTTTTACAGCTGCGAATAAATTAATTGTGTGTTCATGGTCTCCTTGTTGAATTTTATTTATTCCACTTGAAACTATCTGTATTCTGTGACTGATATTTTATGAATAACACTACACTACTTATAAAAAAGACAATGGATTTTATCCAGTACAAAAGTGTAATAAAGACAAAAATCCACCCAGAAATTTCAAAGGGTTACAATGAACACTAGTATAGCTGATCTTACAAATTTATATCCTTTGAAACTAATCTTTTTTATTTATTATTTTGACACAGGATCTTTCTTTGTCATCCAGGCTGGAGTGCAGTGCAGAGATTCTCCACTCAATGCAATTTCTGCCTCCCAGGTTCAAGCGATTCTCGTGCCTCAGCATCCCGAGTAGCTAGGACTACAGGCACCGCCACCATGCTCAGCTAATTTTTGTGTTTTTTTGATACAACAAGGTCTCACCATGTTGTCCAGGCTGGTCTCAAACTCCTGGGCTCAAGCGATCTGCCCACCTAGGCCTCCTAAAGTGCTAGGATTATCGGTGTGCACCACGGCACCTGGCCCTGAAAATAATCTTATATTAAGGTCTATTTGATAGTATAGAATGATGACCTGAAGTTTGCTTGCAGATAATATATTGAGTAATATTTTTAATGATTGAATTATGTCCTTTAAGATAATAGAAAGATTAGGCAACTTTCACATAAAATATATTTATTTTATTCATGCCAATTTGATATTGATTAATTATAATACAGGCAACACTGCTCCTACAATTTGCCTATTATAAAAGATTATTACACTTGTTAGTAGATTAGACTGGTAAGCAGGAAAAAATAATGTAATAGAACCAATGACCGTTGAGAGGAAGAAGGAGTTAACATTTAATATAGTCAAGATATTTCATATGCATTCAAGTTTTTTCTCAATAGGCTATTGTATATGTAAATCTTTTGCTTTTCTTTTACTTGTAACTGCCCTTTCTTTAAATGATTATGGAGCTAGATTTAAGTATGAATAAAGCAAGTTTTAAATTTTGTGCCTACATGTAATTTTTATTATATAGGTTGTAAAAAACTACTAATGCTTCGTATTGGTGGTACTAAAATGTAATGTATGGTAATTAATCACACATCACTTATACGATTTTAATAATTCGAATTCTAAAATGTGTATGTACTAATTAAGTTTTACTCTTAATTTAAGAAAATTAAGGCTGGGTGTGGTGGCTCACGCCTGTAATCCCAGCACTTTAGGAGGCCGAGGCAGGCGGATCACGAGGTCAGGAGATAGAGACCATCCAGGCTAACACGGTGAAACCCCGTCTCTACTAAAAATACGAAAAAATTAGCCAGGTGCGGTGGCTGTCGCCTGTAGTCCCAGCTACACGGGAGGCTGAGGCAGGAGAATGGCGTGAACCCAGGAGACAGAGCTTGCAGTGAGCAGAGGTCGTGCCACTGCACTCCAGTCTGGGCGACAGAGTGAGACTCTGTCTCAAAAAAAAAAAAAAAATTAAAATTACAAGTGTTTATCATGTTTTCTTTTTCTGTTTACAGTATTAAAAACAAACTGTTCTTAATCTAGATTAAAAAATGTAATATAGATCCACAGTATTTGGAATATCTGCCTCAACTATTCTCCATTGTATATTCAGCATTTCACATATTGTTTGGCATATAGCAGAGGTTCTTATTTGTAAATATTTTGGAATATATGGAATAAATATTTTAAAATTCGGTATGTACTTTGATCTCACAAGAATCAAATATGAATGGGTTAGATCTCCATTTATTCAATAATGGAATACAGCTACTTATTCCTTTAAGGAATAATGTGTCTTATAAATTTATATTTCCATAAGTCATTGTAAAAAAGTATTATTAATGCTAAGTTTCTAAACTTCTTGGGATATAAAATGCATTTCAACCGTTTGTAAGTAAGATATTTTAATATTCAGAAAAAAGTATTCTCCACACTAGCATTAAACCCCATAATTTGACAGCTTTAACAGTCAAAATATTCAAACTACTTAGCATTTATAGGTATTATTTTATGTCACTATTACTTTGGCACATTTTAAAACATCCATCATTTTCAGATTCCTTTATATTTTATTTCTTGTACTTTTTGCCTTAAGCTCGTCTTCTCTTACTAGAGATTTAATTCACAAATAAATCATAGAGTAATAATAAAAACTAAATCTCATTAATTTACCTAATCTGATCATTGGTGACCTAAAATAATTGAGTACATTTTAATTCCAATCTAGAAAATAAACAAATCCAGGCTAACTTAGAATGATCTATTTTAAATATTAAATATTATTCTCTTAGGAATTATAGTTTCATCTCTTGAGAAAGAATGGACAGGCATATAGTAAAAAAATTAATATCTAATATTACATATAATAGATCCATATCATATAATATATTGGTCCTTATTTAATACTTACCTGGAATATTAATATGTTATCATTCAATAGTAGTTATGAAAATAATGAAATTTTACATTGCCAAAAATGAGGAACAAACTGGATTATAATATATTATACATTTAGGACCTTTGTATTGTTAGACTGTGTGAGGTATAAATTTAAGACAACTTACCTCATATAATTTAATTACCATAAAATAATTTTAATATATTTATGTAAGTATGTGAATGTGGGCATGTAATTGTGTTTAAGATTAATAGGCTAGTTGACATCAAATTAGCTACTTATCCCTATTTATATTTCTCTTCTGAACTTCATATTTTAGAAGGTTATTAATTTCTATAAATGTCCTTATTTTTTGTAACTGCCAAAATATTACGGGCCCTGCATTTAGACACTCTTTATTGACATGTTGCATTACAGAACTACCTCTGTCTCCCTATAACAATTTTGCATGGATTATAATATTCTTATGTACTTCCTTTTCATTTCACTGATCTTCTGATCCAGGTTTAGTTATGCACCTGTATGTACTCTTTACCTTATCTCCTCTTATTTCTTCAGTGTGTTCTCTTGATCATTTTTCTTTTCTCTGCCCTGTATTGCAACTTTAATTTCTCCAAGTTGATTGGTTTTTTGACTTCATGTCTTGCCCATGCTAAAACAAAACTTTTTAAAAAATCACAATATCACTAACCTACGTTTTGTTTTCTCGTGTTTCTCGAAATATTACTACGTTTTTAAAGGTTTCAGTAACTCCCTCGCATTAACTACTCAAAGCAAAACAGGACATTTATGTTTTCTTTCTACTACTCACTGGATTTGTTCTCCCTAGTACACCAGTTATTCTTATATTTTCCTTAGTTACCTATTCTGATCTTACTTTGTTTTGCAGCATTTGCCACTGTGGACAACTTTCTTCTTTTTGAAATTCTCTTCCACTGGATTCCACAGGATACCACAGGGATTCTCATCTCAACTCCATGTTCTCCTATGCCCACCTCTCTGTCCAGTGATATATGTACTTGCAAGTACATCTGTATCTGCTCATTCTTAAAATTTTGGTGATTGGCAAGATTCCACATATGTTTTTTTCTTCCAATCTTCATGTTTTCCTTTCATCATCTTCTATAACTTTAACCACCCAATAAAATCCACTAATGTTTAGATCAAAATTCCCACACTGTTTATCTTCTGAACTTCAGACAAGTTTATGAAACAGCCTATCAGACATCTTTACTGGCATGCTATAAGGCATATTTACTTGAATATATCTAAAACAGAATCAATCATTTTCCATCCCACTTCTCATACACACTTCAACACATACTTTCTCTTATTTATCTTATCTTAATTCCTCCTTATTGAATGAAATACTATCCAGATATGTAAAATAACATTTCACCCTCTCTCTGAAATTTAGTGACTCTCATTTTTTTCAATTTATCATATAATTACATTTAACAAAATACTTGTAATGTATCATAACTGGGCGTTATAATTTCCTTTTTAGTAACTTTTCAATTCCTAGAGGATAGATCCTTCCATTCTGAGCTTTCTTACTCTCCTTCAATGTTCACAATAGTGCCCTGCTACTGGAGAGAAATTTCACTACCTCACAGGGATGTAGTGAAGATGGGGTACATAGTGTGTGAGAGAATTGTAATATAACTAAGTGTTATAGAATGTTATACAAGAGGTCATTAGTAAAAGATTCTTCTCTCTGGTGGCTGAATCAAGTACTTTATATAACTGAGAAAGAAGAAATTAAGTATCTTAATTTTGATCCATCCCTTTCCTGTTGCGGAGGGTGTGGAAATGCTTCAAGAAGATAGGTTATTTGTCCTAATCTCCTATACACAAGCTAAAAGACATCCTGAAAAATAGAAAACAAGTTTCTCAAAAGATTTGGTCTCAGAAATTCCCTTTATACAGTTACAATTTAGTAAGGGTGACAAATGGGTGATGTTTCTGTGAGTTGTTGATATTTTCCATACTTAAAATTGGAATGCTTTTACACTGTTGGTGGGAGTGTAAATTAGTTCAACAATTGTGGAAGACAGTGTGGTGATTCCTGAAGGATCTAGAACTAGATATAACATTTAACCCAGCAATTCCATTACTCGGTATATGCCCAAAGGATTATAAATTATTCTACTATAAAGACACATGCACACATATTTTTATTGCAGCACTGTTCACAATAGCACAATAGCAAAGACTTGGAACAAACCCAGATGCCCATCAATGCAGAAAAGGCCTTTGACAAAATTCAACAGCCCTCCATGCTAAAAACTGAATAAACTATGTATTGATGGGATGTATCTCAAAATAATAAGAGCTATTTATGACAAACCCACAGCCAATATCATACTGAATGGGCAAAAACTGGAAGCATTCCCCTGAATGGCACAAGACAGGGATGCCCTCTCTCACCACTCCTGTTCAACATAGTGTTGGAAGTTCTGGCCAGGGCAATCAGGCAGGAGAAAGAAATAAAGGGTATTCAAGTAGGAAAAGAGGAAGTCAAATTATCCCTCTTTGCAGATGACATGATTGTATATTGTATATAGAAAACCCCATCATCTCAGCCCAAAATCTCCTTAAGCTATTACGCAACTTCAGCAAAGTCTCAGGATACAAAATCAATATGCAAAAATCACAAGCATTCCTATACAGCAATAACAGACAAACAGAGAGCCAAATCATGAGTGAACTCCCATTCACAATTGCTTCAAAGAGAATAAAATACCTAGGAATCCAACTTACAAGGGATGTGAAGGACCTCTTCAAGAAGAACTACAAACCACTGCTCAATGAAATAAAAGAGGACACAAACAAATGGAAGAACATTCCATGCTCATGGATAGGAAGAATCAATATCGTGAAAATGGCCATATTACCCAAGGTAATTTATAGATTCAATGCCATCCCCATCAAGTTCCAATGACTTTCTTCACAGAATTGGAAAAAACTACTTTAAAGTTCATATGGAACCAAAAAAGAACCTGCATTGCCAAGACAATCCTAAGCCAAAAGAACAAAGCTGGAGGCATCATGTTACCTGACTTCAAACTATACTACAAGTCTACAGTAACCAAAACATCATGGTACTGGTACCAAAACAGAGATATAGACCAATGGAACAAAACAGAGCCCTCAGAAATAATACCACATAACTACAACCATCTGATCTTTGACAAACCTGACAAAAACAAGAAATGGAGAAAGGATTCCCTATTTAATAAATGGTGCTGGGAAAACTGGCTAGCCATATGTAGAAAGCTGAAACTGGATCCCTTCCTTATACCTTACACAAAAATTAATTCAAGATGGATTAAAGACTTACACGTTAAACCTAAAACCATAAAAACCCTAGAAGAAAACCTAGGCAATACCATTCAGGACACAGGCATGGGCAAGGACTTTATGATTAAAACACCAAAAGCAAAGGCAACAAAAGCCAAAAGTGACAAATGGGATCTAATTAAACTAAAGCACTTCTGCACAGCAAAAGAAACTATTGTCAGAGTGAACAGGCAACCTACAGAATGGGAGAAAATTTTTACAATCTACCCATCTGACAAAGGGCTAATATCCAGAATCTACAAATAACATAAACACATTTACAAGAAAAAATCAAACAACCCCATCAAAAAGTAGGCAAAGGCTATGAACAGACACTTCTCAAAAGAAGACATTTATGCAGCCAACAGACACATGAAAAAATGCTCATGGTCATTTGCCATCAGAGAAATGCAAATCAAAACCACAATGAGATGCCATCGCACACCAGTTACAATGGCGATCATTAAAAAGTCAGGAAACAACAGGTGCTGGAGAGGATGTGGAGAAATAGGAACGCTTTTACACTGTTGGTGGGACTGTAAACTAGTTCAACCATTGTGGAAGAGAGTGTGGCGATTCCTCAAGGATCTAGAACTAGAAATACCATTTGACCCAGCCATCCCATTACTGGGTATATACCCAAAGGATTATAAATCATGCTGCTATAAAGACACATGCACACATATGTTTATTGCGGCACTATTCACGATAGCAAAGACTTGGAACCAACCCAAATGTCCATCAATGATAGACTGGATTAAGAAAATGTGGCACATATACACCATGGAATACTATGCAGCCATAAAAAAGGATGAGTTCACGTCTTTTGTAGGGACATGGATGAAGCTGGAAGCCATCATTCTGAGCAAACTATTGCAAGGACAGAAAACCAAACACCGCATGTTCTCACTCATAGGTGGGAACTGAACAATGAGAACACTTGGACACAAGGTGGGGAACATTACACACTGGGGCCTGTCATGGGGTGAGGGGAGGGGGGAGGGATAGCATTAGGGGATATACCTAATGTAAATGATGAGTTAACGGGTGCAGCACACCAACATGGCACATGTACACATATGTAACAAACCTGCACGTTATGCACGTGTACCCTAGGACTTAAAGTATAATTAAAAAAAAAGAAAAAGAAAAGAAAAACTTGGGGAAATTTTAAATATTATTTTTATAGAGTCTCACAATATTTTTTCAGTTTAAAATTTGGTTTGATAATTCCAAAGACCTTATAACCTACTTATTTGTATTTATTATGCTATAAGAAATGAAATGCTTCTAATCAGAGAAAAAGTGATTTATTTGGCAGTTTGGAAACTTGGTGGTTTGTTAGTTTTTCGTTCTAGTTCTATCTTTGCTTCCTCATTTCTTATTTGGCCATGATAAAATATTCCCTCTTGTACTTATTTTGAATAGATTTGTTAAGCTGTAATTTAGGTATCATAAAATTTACTCATTTTACATTGGAATGTACAATTCATTGACTTTTAGTGATATAACTTGAATATTTGTCCCTGCCAAATCTCATGTTGAAATGTAATCCCCAATGTTGGAGGTGGGGCTTGTTGAGGAGGTGATTGGCTCATAGTATGGATCCCTCATGGCTTTATGCTGTCCTCCATATCATGAGGGATCCGTGTCATGTAAGACCTGATTGTTTAAAAGTGCAGGGTACCTCCCCAACCCTCATTCCTGCTCTCCTCCCATGAGACACATCTGCTCCCTCTTTGCCTTCTGCCATGATTGCAATCTTCATATGGCCTTCCCAGAGGCTGAGCAGAGGCCAATGCCATACTTCCTGCATAGCGGGAAGAACTGAGAGTCAATTAAACTTCTTTACATTATAAATTACCTAGCTTCAGGCTTTTCTTTATAGAAATGCAAGAACGGCCTAGTACATTTAATAAATTTACAGAGTTGTGAAACCACCACCAGAAATATATGTAATATTTGGAATCTGGTTTCTTTTACTTGGCATATTGCTTTTGAGATTCATCCATGGTGTGGCATCATCAACACTTCATTTCCTTCTTACTACTGAATAGTATTCCATTGTATGGATATGCCACTGTTTGATTATCCTTTCACCAGTTTTGAATATTTTAATTGGTTCTACTTTTTCAATGTCATAGTATTCAAATAATCCTAGTATAAACATTCACATCCAAGTCTTTTGTGAAGATATATTTCTATTTTCTTTGGGTAACCTAGAACCAAAACTGTGGGATTATATAGTACATTTCTGTTTAACTTATTTAAAAAAACAAGAAAACAAGAAACCTTCCTTTCAGGTTTTCAAAATGGATGCACCATTTTATATTCCTATAAAAAATGTAGAGGATTCCAGTTTCTCTATGTCCTCATCAACACTTGTTACTTTTAGTCTTTTTTGTTTATAGCCATTCTCCTGCATGTGTAGCGGTATATCATTGTTATTTAATCTGTATATCTAAACTAAGGATGCTAAGCTTCTTTTGTCTTTGTTCTATTCAATTGGATATTTGAAACTTCATTTAGATCATTCTTATCATAGTTATTTGTTGGTTCTCACTCTCTTTTCATACATACAAGTGCACACACACACATACCTACCTTAGCTGATTTCTAATTCATTACTGATAAACTGTTGTGAACTGTGGATGTTTTGCTTCTGTAATTCAATTATCTTCTTATGAAAACAATCTGCTATTTTCCTGCATTTTGATATGGAAAATTCTTCAGATCCATTAGACATCAGTGAGAATGTTTTGAAGTACCAACTACAAAGTTATAAAAGTTATTACTTTTAGAAGTTAGACTGTTATTACTTTTAGAATTTAGATTGTTAGATTGTTATACAAACTCTTCATTTTCTTTTAAAATGTGGCTATACATTATAATATTGTTTTACCCCTTAATACTTATAATGTACACATTCATTTAGTGCACAAGTGTCGATTTAATAGCTGTGAAGGAAAAATACAATTCTCAGGAAATTTTACTTTTGATTGGATTTCCTTTTACAGAGAATTATTACCTCCTGATCAGATTTAGTTGCTTAAAATCAAGTAAAGACTTCTAAAAATTTACACCAAGTGGTCAAGTGGTTATTTTATAAGTTTTAGATTTTTTTATTTCTTAAATTTTAATAAAAACCCTGGTACTGAATGTATTTGTCATTCCTAAATGGGAATTATGAGAACTGTTTCTCAACATATCTTGTATTGATCACTTGGGAACTCTAACAAGGGACTATAATCAATGGAGAGAAGAGGAGTGGGTCTGACAGCTAATTGTGTGTGCCTGTGTCTGGGGGCATGCTCTCCTCTACTGGTAGATGATGATAGTGTGCTCATTATTTTTCCAAATTACAAATGAACTTCCTACTTTTTTCTCATTGTCTGTAAAACACCATGCAAAAAGTCAATTAGAGCCATATTGAAAGTAATGAATTCCCTAGAGGAAGCCAAAGGAAGAAAACACGTAATTGAATGAAAGAATAAAGCAAAATGCTTTTATTAGCTACAGTCAGACAGAATATGTGTAAATCCCAAATGCCGGTCTTGGATTTAAAATGTCCTATGTCTAATATAAACAAAAGAACCTATTTTTGAGGACTCCCAAATGTACCACCATGTAGTTAAATCAAAACATTTTTTTCCAATGGCATTCCATTAACTTGCTTTGTTGGAGAAAAAGGTTCTCACCAAAGTTTCCTATGCCGAATAAATAATGTTTTCTCTCCAATTAAAAAGAAGTCTGATGGGATTTTATTTTAGCTCTCTGCTGGAGGTCGAATCTCTATATGAATCTCTAGATTATACAAAATAAAATTAGAGACATACTCCTTTTGATACAGCCTAAGGAACAGATACAATATGTAGTATTAATTTTGAGAACAGTAAATTAGAAATGAAATACATAAGAAATTGGAATGACCTGTTCATGGTCACACTCTACTAAATTATGCTAAGATTCTTGTTAAATGGGTTTTAAATCCAAATCCTACTTTGCTTCCATCCTGTTTCTGTTCCCGGTTTTATCAGAGACATTGTCTGTCTTGTACTCACGCATGGAAGCCAAGGAACCCTGCCCCCACCATAACTGGCTAAGTCTATGGCCTAATACATAGTTTCTGTGAATCCAAGCAGACATGTCACTCTTCAGAGGCATTGAAGAGAAACAGTCAAGACTATGTCATGAGATTTGGCATCTATTTTGGAATTCGTCTCTTTACCAATACAGTATCATCGGAGATCCTGAATTAATTAAATTTCTTAATGTTAACTTTTTAAAATTTTTCACTCTTAGATATACACAATGTTGGCAATAAACGCATGATTGATTTGGCAACATTATAGAGAAATGGTATTTTAATGCAAATTTTTTTAGAGAATATGAATTTACACATCAATATACTGGGTAGCTTAGAACCAACATTTAAAATTGAGGATGTTTCTTCTCTTGGCCCAGCAATTCTACCTCGAGCATGTAAATTTGAGAAACACTTCCAACTATATACAAGATATCCTAGATGTTAATTCCATCATTTAGTATCAAAAAAGTTACAATCGAAATGTCCATCAAAAATAAATGTGTAGGTCAGGCATGGTGGCTCACGCCTGTAATCCTAGCACTTTGGGAGGCTGAGGCAGGCAGATCACTTGAGGTCAGGAGTTCCAGCCTGGCCGACATGGTGAAACGCTGTCTCTACTAAAAATACAAAAATTTTCTGGGCATGGTAGTGCACGCCTGTAATCCCAGCTACTCGGTAGGCTGAGACAAGAGAATTGCTTGAACCCTGGAGGCTGAGGTTGCAGTGAGTCGAGATGGCGCCATTGCACTCCAGCCTGAGGGACAAGAGCAAAACTCTTTCTCAAAAAGTCAGTGTGGCGATTCCTCAGGGATCTAGAACTAGAAATACCATTTGACCCAGCCATCCCATTACTGGGTATATACCCAAAGGACTATAAATCATGCTGCTATAAAGACACATGCACACGTATGTTTATTGTGGCATTATTCACAATAGCAAAGACTTGGAACCAACCCAAATGTCCAACAATGATAGACTGGATTAAGAAAATGGGGCACATATATACCATGGAATACTATGCAGCCATAAAAAATGATGAGTTCATGTCCTTTGTAGGGACATGGATGAAATTGGAAATCATCATTCTCAGTAAACTATCGCAAGAACAGAAAACCAAACACCGCATATTCTCACTCATAGGTGGGAACTGAACAATGAGATCACATGGACACAGGAAGGGGAACATCACACTCTGGGGACTGTTGTGGGGTGGGGGGAGTGAGGAGGGATAGCATTGGGAGATATACCTAATGCTAGATGACGAGTTAGTGGGTGCAGTGCACCAGCATGGCACATGTATACATATGTAACTAACCTGCACAATGTGCACATGTACCCTAAAACTTAAAGTATAATAAAAAAAAAAGAAAAAAAAATTAAAAAAAAGTGTAGATTAAACATGGTAAATTATGCCATGTTAAACCATGCAGTCTAAAAAAAGCATATATAAAAGAATGTTGTTTCTACATGTTTTAATCTGGCTATTCTAAAAAAAAAAGTTGGTAAAGAAAAAGTAAGCTCCTGAGCAGTATTAAAGTAAGATACCATTTATTTGAAAACATATAGAAAGTTATACAAAATAAAGTCTATAATTTTAAAGATACATTTAATATGTGTAAAAGTTCAAAAATCTGTCATAATTGATACAAAAAGTAGTGATCTTTTTTTGAAGGGAAGTGACTAGGATGTGGGATGATTTTGGAGTGATTTTAATTTCATTAATAATATACAAATGTTATAAGGGAGAATATAGCTATCTATTACTTGTAAAATTAAAATTTAATAAATTGAATGATTATTAAAATTTAATACTCATTAAAATTTATGAATGACTTCAATAAAAATTGATTAGCAAATATTACGTCTGTCATATATTCACAGATTCATATTAAGAATTATGATATATTTCCTCCAGTGAAAATAGTTTTAACAAGGGAACTACTTTTGCCACATTTTAATACCACAGGTAAACAATATATTGTTAATCATTGACCTTGTGAGTTAATTTACTGCCACTGTAAAACGTCTATGAAATTGCAATTACTTTTAGCTGTCTATGAAGCAACTGCACCTCTAAAATTAAATGCAATCACTGAAATATTAGCATATTTTATCACTATCATTAAACAGTGATGTGGCATGTACAACATGCTTACTCTTTTACTAACCCATTTGTATTATAATTAACTTATCATTTTATATGGTTCACAGTTATGACCACAAAGAGTTACATGCTGCTGTATCAGTATAATTGAGAGCATCTCCAAGAAAGAATCACATGAATCTTCCCAGAATTTTGATCCCAGAAATTCTAACACAAAAATTATTTAACTATTATATAGATTATTTTACCAACATTTAATATTAAAAGCCATTTGTAAGTTAGTAAGGGATGGTTTTAGTGTGTTCGGGTCCCTGACAAAATCCTGAAGAGAGTTCAGAAGTTTGAGAGTGGAAGGCGAACCACAGTAGGGACTCCAAAGGCAAAGATGAAAAAGAAATGAAGTGTGTGTGGTACTGGGGCCGGGGATGGGAGGAGAGGGAGGAGGAGGGTAAAAGAATGTGGGTGGGTGGATCACGAGGCCAGGAGATCGAGACCATCCTGGCTAACACGGTGAAACCCTGTCTCTACTAAAGATACAAAAAATTAGCCGGGCATGGTGGCAGGCGTCTGTAGTCCCAGCTACTCGAGAGGTTGAGGCAGGAGAATGGCGTGAACCCAGGAGGCGGAGCTTGCAGTGAGCCGAGATCGCGCCACTGCACTCCAATCTGGGCAACACAGTAAGACTCCATCTCAAAAAAAAAAAAAAAAAAAAGAATGTGGGTGGGCTTTGAGGGGAGGATGATCAGCTTAATACGTATGCTGTTGCAGAGCCATTCTCTTAGTCTAGAGCCATAAATAATAATTTAGTATATACATATTTAAAATAGTTTATTTTTCTAAGGTAAATGAATTTCCTGAGAAGCACTTAGAATATTAATGCTTCTGTTTGATTCGTTTTGAATTGAATATATTTTTGCATGCCTTTAGAAGTATACAATATTTCACAGTACAGCCAAGTAAAAATGTATCAACAAAAAGCCACTTTAATCAATCTTGTCACTGCATGTAATATTTTGACATGTATATAAATATCATTGAAATATTAGAGTAACAGAGTAACTCATAGTCCTAAAAACATAAATCTGGAGAGTAGTATGTAGAAGTTTTAACTTTCTAGTCTGTACAATTAGATGGTTTATTTTTAATTTTATTCATATTATGATAAAATAAAATACGGGCTTGTGATTCTAGGAGATATCTGATCCATTGGAAACCTGAGGAGCCTAAGGAGGGAGAGGGTTAGATGTTACAGGCCACAATGATAAGCTAGAGTGACACAGAACTTCTAATTGTCCACTCACTTTTTTCCTACTTTACTTGCATGGATCAGTGTTTGCGTCTTCGCCTTTCAAAAGCAGCGGATGCCAGCTAAGGCAGCGCAGGGTAGTGTGGTAATATCATGACTATAATGACCTGCTTGGCAGGGGGAGCAGAAAACAACCAGTAATGACAGGTTATCTGTCCTGGTGTTGTCAACTCTCCTCCACTTCACCTTTTAAGCATCATAATTTGGTGTGAGACAATCTTTTGTAAAAAGCAGTTCTTAGAGTATGTATAAAGTAAAGTAGGTGCTCTGATGGAAAACTGGGTGTTGGCTTTATAGGGCTGAGTCTCTGTTTGACATACCACAAACTCACTAACCTCAGGGATGGCTCCTTTCAGTGAGTTATGCTCTGAAAAACATGAGTATTTACTTTCACTAAAATGACTATTGACAAAATCTTAGGATTCTTAGATATAACAAAATCCAGAACCACACTGCTATAAGACCTAGTAGCTGATAGCACAATAGGGTGACTATGGCCAATGAAAACTTAACTGTACATTTTAAGATAACTTGAAGAGTGTAATTGACTTGTTTGTAACTCAAAGAATAAATGTTTGAGGAGATGGATACCCCCTTCTCCACGATGTGCTTATTTCACATTGCATGCCTGTGTCAAAACATCTCATGTACCCCATACATACACCTATTATGTACCAGCAAAAATTAAAAATAAAAATTTAAAAAAGAAATAACATTGCTTATGAGAGAAACATTTAAGATAACAACAAATAGAATATTCATTATTTTTGTCCATTTCTGGTTTGTTTTTCATTTCTTTGACGTTGTAAGAAGCAGAAAATGATACCATGGACCAACATCAAGATATCTAAAATAGCAATATTTATATCTGACAAATCCAGACTTGATATGAAAAACAATAGGCACAAAGAGGAGGCTATAATTGGTATAAATAACACATTTATACCTAAATTCATGTCTTAAAATAAATTGGTAGGCATGAATTTATGTATTTTTTACATAAATACAGAGGTATGAAATAAAGTTTGACTACAAATAATATAGAATACGCCATTTTATTAGCATATGAAATGGTGGTTTTGATATACTAACTTAGGCTACAAGTCTCCAGTTATTCAATTAAGTATTAATAAGGGTGTTGCTGTAGAGATATTGTGTATATGTGATTAAAATTCATAATAAATTGGGATTATGCTAGATAAGCTGGGTGGGCCTGATACAATTAGTTGAAAATAGAGATGAGGCCTTCCTGAAGGAGAAATGCTCCTTGTAGACAGCAGCTTCAGCTCTTGCCCATGGTTCCAGGCTGCCCTTCCTAGTGGCCTGCCCTAGAGATTGCAAACTTGCCCAACCAGACTCTATGACTGCATAAGTCAAATTCTTACACTAATTCTATTAATAACTATCTTCCACCAGCACCACTTCTTTGGTTGAAACTTAATATGCCATACATGTATTAATAATTAGTGAGCATTAATGAAAATGAAACTAGGCCACAATCCAAAGAATCTGTATCTAAAAAAACATTATCCTCTAACACTAACACACTCTAATCAGAAATAAATAACGTCAGATGGTTAAAACTCACATATAATTGTGAATTAAAATCTATACCATGAAAAAATAACTAATAACATTGTTAAACATAAAGAAAAATGAATGAAAAAATGAAAGCTAATAAAAATAAAAGGAAAGAGAAGGACAACTACAGATTATATATATTAGAAATTTGAACAACAATTTTGAACAGCTATACTTACAAACAAAACCTTGTTGGCTTGATTAGTATCTGGAGATACTACTATTTCCTAATCATAATGCAGTCAAATTGTTTTAAAAACCATTTCTATCAGAAAGTTGAACACTTTATTTGTCCTGAGAAATCTTTTGTGTGCCTCCCATAGCATACAATATTGACATAATCTGTGCCCACTCTGAAAGATTCATCTTATTCTTTTTATCCACCCTTTATAACACCAGTCCTCCAAACTTGTTCCAACCTACTCCTTCCTTATCCTGCCAAATTATTTGACAGTATATATGAATCAGTGAATAGCAGTCCCTTTGACTCTGTCTCCATCTAGGCAAACTGGAAAACAAATGCATGGTTAAGTGTTCCTCTGGGAGGGTAAAGAAGAGGGCGTGGGAGGGGATGTAGATGGAAAAGGACAAGTGTTCTCTTTTTCCTCTATCTTTCAAGGCCAAGGCCACCTGAAAGCATACTCTAATGCTGAAAAGGACCCCTTCTTCTTGGTGCCAGTATATAGTACAAAATGATCTGCAAACAAAAGCAAGGTTTTTCTTCCTCCACTAATTGGACACAGGGTATTTCTAAGTTATATTCTTAAGATGTAGGTGTGAGCGAAAGGAGAATACAAGCAGTAGAAATAGATGCTTTGAGAATTTGACCTGTTCATGATTCTTATGTCGTTCAGCACCATTTGATAATGTAGAACGGCTGTATACTAAACATTTTGTTAAGAGAATCAGAAAATGCCTAATTCACAATGGGCAGTTTAGCCTACATTGTCAGTTGGTATTCCAAATTCAAGCCATTCACTTCTCTATCAGGGCCCATTGGCAAAGGAGAGTGTTTACTTGCAGAAGATTACATGATTTCTCTCCAAATCCCGAAATGTCATAAACCAAGGGTTAGCAAAGATTTTGTATAAAGAGCCAGAGAGTAAATTTTTTGGACTTTGAAGACTATATGGTTTCTGTCACAACTACTCAACTCTACCATTGTAATAAAAAAGTAGATATAGACAATATAGAATCAAATGAGTGTGTTCAAATAAAAATTTGTGTGCCAAAACAGATAATGAGCTGGATTTTGCCAGCAGGTTGGAATTTTTCAACCACTGCCATAGACACTTAAAACACATTTGTAACAACTGTGTCACGATTTCCATATAGAAGACAGCTGT
Organism: Homo sapiens; assembly: GCF_000001405.40. NCBI lineage: Eukaryota > Metazoa > Chordata > Mammalia > Primates > Hominidae > Homo > Homo sapiens. Next base: position 40,917,973 of record NC_000014.9, on the reverse strand, counting down.
GCTGAACTCTAGACTTGCTGTAGAGTGTTCCCCTTCACTTGACCTTTCAAAACTGCAAGTTTTATAGGCTACTTGGCAGCTAACTTTTAAAAGCATACGTAAATATGTACATATTTACTTAAAAAAATCCAAATTCGCACAAGACATTGGGATTTGGATTGGCTATAGATGGCACAAAGTTTTGCTTACAGACTACTGAATCCCTGGTAACTTCACCAAGGAGGCTGATCTTTTAATTTTTGTTAAGGTTTTTCACCCAGCATTTATTCCTATGACTTACTAAGTTCTTCTAGGATAGCTGGTACTTCCAGCTCATCAATTCTAATAAATATTATGTTTTCTGAGGAACAGCATAGTGTTCTGTGCTACAGTGGCAATGCCCTTTTTGGCTAACATCTGGCAAAAACCAAAATAGTTTAATTATCTTCAAGAAAAGACTAAGAAGATACATCATTATAAACGCATACCTTTCACTCTTATGTGAAATAAAAGTGATTCTAGTTTTACTGGTCAACAGATATGATAGTTAATTTTATATGTCAATTTGACTGAGGAACTGGGTACCCAGATATTTGGTTAAATATTATTTCTTAGTGTGTCTGTAAGGACATTTCTGGATAAGATTAGCATTTGACTTTATAGGTGGAGTAAAGAAGTTGCCCTCCCCAGTGTGTGTGGGAATGACCCAATCCACTGAAGGCCGGCCTGAAATGAATAAAAAGGAAGGGAGAATTTGCTCTATCTCTTATGACTGGCTGAGCTGGATTATCCACTTTTTCATGCCCTGAGACTGGGTCTTACACTATTGATTTTCCTGGTTTTTGGGCCTTTCAATTCAAAATTGATCTGCACCACCAGCTTCCCTAGGTCTCCAACTTGCCAACTGAAGACTATGGGGCTGTTCACCCTCCGTTATCATGTGCACCAATTCTGTGCATGTGTGCGTGTGTGTGTATGTGTCTAATAACCTATTGATTCTGTTTCTCTGCACGATTCTAATACAACACATATAGAATAAAATTATTTTCTAGAAAAAAAATGGTTGCATATCAAATTCCATGGGTGATTTTTTTCCAGGTGAGAGATAATGTCCTGAATAGCAGTTGTGAGGTTAAAGGATGATAATCGGTGCCCATTCAAAACTTAATCAAGTGAGATAAATAAGAAAGTGATAGGACTCCTCATTTCTTTATCTTTGAAGTTAATGGATGATGGCAGTTTTTTGAAATTTCTCTAAAATGAGATTTTGCATTTGGTTTACAATTTTGAAAGGAGGGTGAAGTTCCACAGGTTAATAATTTGCCTTTCTCACCAAAGAATCATCCCTCTATCAGTTGCAGAGCCAATGTGTGGATGATGCAAATTTTACACATGAAAATAAAAGCATAGTTCCAAAATAACATATTTTTTAAATGAAATTAACAATTTACAAAATAAAATATTGTTTTAAAGTATGTTATATCATTGGGATGCAAGAGTGATTTAATATCAGGAATTTGTCAGTGAAATCACTCCACTAGCAGACTTAAGAGGAAAATTTCAAGTGACGTATAAAAAGCATTAAATAAATTGTTTTACTAGACTAAAAATAAAAAGAAACTTACTTAATTTGAAAAAAAACTATAACAAAATATTTTATAAAGGAGAAACACATTTCCCTGCCTAATGTAGAGCAGTATGACGAGCTACGAAAGATCTTAAAATTTGCAAAATTCAAGATCTTTGCAAAGCAACATTTAGCCTGGCACAGTTTCACGGAAACTGATTAAAAAAAATAAGGCTCTTAGATCAGATACAGGGAACTGTACTAATCGCAGTACAGCAAACACTATGAGCATTAGCATATTGTGTCATTTCTCCTTTTTCCCAAGTTCTACAGGGGTAACTAACTGGGCCTTGATGGAGGTTTCCACATGCAATGGGCTATGTTATAGGGAAAGAAACCTGAAATTAGGAAGCCAAGGTTTTTATAATATTCAGTAACTATGTTTGTACCTTACTGCAGCATGAGATGATATCTGTAGTATCCAGGACAATAAGAATGTCTGCCCTTTACTTTGGAGAAACATACTATCTCTATATTCCATGGCTGTATGCAAGGAAACTCAACTTTTGCTCCCCAGAGAATCACTACCTCTAATTTCCAAGGCTGTTTGCATTATAAACATTCTTTAAAAATAGCTATAAATAAAACAGTCACAGTCCCTTCATAAGGCATTCAGAAATGAGAGACCTATAGAGAATGGTCTTTCATCAATATCCACTCCTCAGTCCTACAGTGCCTCGGCTTCTGGCTAATTTTCCTATAAGCACTTCATTCTGCTGGCTACTCTGATTAATCTCACTAACAGAAACTGAAAAAAATCTATTCAATTTGTCTCATATGGCATCTAATTAAGGCTACTATTAGACTCCAAACAGCAGGAAGAGGCCAATGTGCAGTATTGAACTCAACCGTATCCCCAGGGTTCTGGACACAAGCAGCTCAGGGGAACCCTTAGGGCATTCCTCCTTAATTTTTTAATTGATCTTTCCACTTATTCTGGTGCATTAATTTCATTAGCTATTGCACAGACGCTGTCTTGACCCCAAAGTTGTAAGCCTGGACAATTTTATCATCCGTAATAATCTTGGCCAGCGAGCAGAGGCTGACCTGAATGCCTTCTGGGGCTGAGGTGGTTTTATTGATCACTTCAGCTAATGTCAGGGATAAATTTCATACCACCTTTTCTAATGGGACCATTCCCATTTAGGTCATTTATTAACTCCCCTGCATAAACAAAGGTAATCTCATTTTGGAGACATTTTTGCCTACATCTGAGAACTGCATAATCTATAATGAAGTTTCCTTCTATAGTTGAAAGTCTTTTGTGATTATTCACATGGCGTAAGACACCAAGTTTTTTGAAAGAAAGGCACATTGCAAGTTAATGCTTGGCTTTCACACAAAAAGCAAAGTTCCTGAGGGTACATAGGTGACCCTGGAAAGAAAATACAATTTACAATTGTATTCTCCCTGAATGACTTCTAGCAATCACGGTTAATGGTCCCCCGAGAATGGCCTCCTGGCCACTGGTTGGCCAGGTCTAGTTCTTGTTTTTAAAGTAACTACCCACATTCAGTCCAACCTGCCTTGTTTATTCACACTGCCAATCTAGGTGGCATTCATCTACCTCATGAAATTATTGAGCAATGGCTATGGGATTGGGTCAAGGAGAAACATCCAGAGGTGTTGAAATGTAATTTTTCTCAGTGATTTGGAGCTTCCTTGTCTCAGCAGACACTACTAAATTGCCTCTTCAGTGGTGACGGAGGGCATATTCACCATTGTAAGGACGATGACTTCTCCTTTGCTTGTATAAGGGAGAAAGAGAAATAACCGAAGTATCATTGGTCACTTTGTTTTAATGCTTCTCTGTCTGTCCAGCCTCAGTAGCCTACAGTATGGTGAAGAATCTTTATACTCCCACCACCAGTACCACTAGTTGGGTGATGACATACACTATTGGATTCATGTCCTCCATCTGGTTCCATTGTGTTGCCCATACAACTTCAGAGCAGGGAAATCAGCACATTTACACTAGTGCTTCTGCTGTTGTGTTATGAGTAATAGTGTCTTGCTCTTATTTGTTGTGTCTCAGCTCATCTACTACTTGCTATATAGAGTTTTAAGTTCCTCCCATGTACAATGAGAAAGAGAGAAAGGGAAAGATTAAGAGCAAGAAGGAAAGGGTAAAAAATGGAAAAAAAAAACAATAGAAATTATACAGTTCTTATGATGAAATACAAGTTTATGTGATAAAGCACATAACATTTTCAGTCTCTTAGAGTTAGTAGAAGACTATCCTACTAAGTGTCATAGTGAACATTTGGAAGCTTTCATTTCAACATACGAATTTCTTCTGTATTGATCAATATGCATATAAATCATTTATTTGTCCCACCTACTTAATTCAGGGAAGCCTATTATTTTTATTTCTAGTTGCTTCCAAATCTTTAAATCTTGGATTTGTGAAAACAACACTAGATTTCCAAAAATTTAACAGATCTATGTTTAAGGAACTTGCCCAGCTGAGAAATTAAAATAAAAAATTAATACTTAACTAATAATTTACCCTTCAGACCATATTTTTTGTCCCTTCCAGACCACATGAATTCATTTGGTCCCTTATGTGTGTCAGAATCAAGGCTTTATCAGTGGATTGTCTCAATTCCCAAACTATCTAGGCAAGAAAGGAGGTTTAGAGTCAGTTGCTCTAATGGTGACATGACATGCAACAATGGCACGCATACAACCTGAACCTAACAATTTCACCATTTCTTTTGTTTCAGGAAAAATTTTGTCCATATTTAAGCTATATATGTTTTGTAAATTGCTTCAGAGTAGGTAAATTGTCTATTGTGGGAACAGAATTTGGTGTTGTCTTTTGCAATATTGGGGAAAATCTCAAGCTGACATGGAAGGCAACAGCACTTTTATGTTTAACCAAAATATAAACATAACTCTGTACTGAAAAACATAAATGTTTTCCCTGATACTAAATATAGAGTAGACATATAAAGAATTCTCACACAGTACAGGATTGGAAGTTTGATAAAAATGAATACCCTAAAATAAGAAACTTGAAGAAACTTCAATTTACTTTCCAACATTTGAAAGAAACACTCTCAGTTAAGAATATATATTGTAACTGGCTAGAAGCTTGCCTCATTGATTGCAGTAGGTTCTCGTGAGAAAAACACTTGGGTTGGTGACAGTGGTGTCAGGCTCCAAGTGGGGGCTTATGAAAAATTTCCTCCTTCCCCAAACATCATCTGAATACCAACATAAGTATGACCTTTACGGTTACAAAGTTTGCTTTTGCACGTGTATAGTGATGAATGGCATGTAGGTTTGCAGAGCCAGTCATCTATGAAGTGTGCCAATACATATCATCATAGTCATTTAAAGACCTGATGTCAAGAACCTAAGTTACCCTGAAGCTAGACAAGAATAAAAGTGTTTAATATGATGAGAGGAATGTTCAACCTAAGTTACCCTGAAACTAGACAAGAATAAAAGTGTTTAATATGATGAGAGGAATGTTCAAGTGTTTGTTATTCCTTTTTGTAACTTAGGTAAATTGAAAATAATTAAAATTCTCTTCATCAAGGATTTTGGGAGTTCGTTTTCATTGTCTATGAAAGAAGAGAATGGATAATCTTTAAGATCTAATCCTGGATAAAATCTAAACATATGTATGACTCAGATGACTTAATGCTATTATTATGGAATTATTTTACTGTATTACAATACGGTTATTTTTTAGAGGTTCTTAAAATGAATAAAATAATTTTACCAATTTTTGCTAACACTTACTGGGTACTTATTGCATACTGTCTTCTACCTAGACACATTATTATTTATTACATTAATAAATATCCTGTAGAATATTCCCATTCTCATTTTATAGATTAGGGACCTAAAACTGAGAGACATAAAAAAAATTTGCTACTACATTGCTATTATGTGCTGAATCGGAGCCATTGTTTAATTCCAAAATCCCTGGATATTAACTAGTACACATACAATTTTCTTGCTAAATGAACTCTGTTGTTGTGCTTTTAAAATAATCTATTTTTGAATTTTCTATTTTTAACCTACTATATTGAAGATTAATGCATATAAGTATACATACACATGTGTAGATAAACACATATACATACATACACACATAGTCACACATATGCATACATATATACACACATAGTCACACATATGCATAATACATATGTGTATGTCCATATATGTTGTTTACTTACATATGTACACACATACGTACATGTACAAATGTATATAAATTCATTCATTCTATTTAGTTTAGGAAAAGTAGGTAACTGCTTGCTTATGAGACTCTTAGGCTAAATAAACTTTATTTTTAAGCTCTAAAATGTATAATCAGAGTATTCAGTTAAAACAAGCAGAACAAATGGCAACTGAGAAGACATTTGCATTTATATCTCCACAACGGTACTCCAGTGTGTTAAGTTTTAGAATTCTTCCATTTAAATAGATGTCATATTATTATAGACAACAGACTTCATGGGAAATCATCTTCTAAAATAAACCTTGGAAAAGCATTTGGTCATGGCACAAAGAGAAACGATTTTGGAAATTATGTTCACCTTCAATAGTTTAACCTCAAGATATTATGAAGATATTATGGATTACGCTGTAGCAGGATAAATGGAGTATCAGACACTTTTATATTAGTGATTTTCTACATATAGGTATGAATCATTTCTGAAATCTAGGAGCTTTAACAATAATGAGGTTTTTCCTGAATGTACTTCAAAATTGTATATGAAGAATAAATGTAAAAATTTGAAAATCTTTTAATAAATCTAATGGCATTGCAAAAAGAATATAGCCTACCTTATAGAAGTTTCTTTGAAGAGACAAATTTCACTTTCTTACCTAGTTAAAAAGGGCATTCATCACTATTTGACACACAGATGCTGTTGAAATAAATGTACTTCTAAAGAACTTGATACCTAGTTCAATTTCCTCCTGACAGTAGCTTACAAGTTATTTTCCTGGTAACTTTTGTGAGTCAACAGATAGCATTGTAGAAGTGCTAATTGACAGACACATTCCTCAAGTGACAGATGGTAACACAGACCCAACTGGCAGAGTGCAGTAATGTTAACAGTAGAAATGAGAAACAAGCACGTCAGGGTTCCCTGTTTTACACCCAGATACCCTTGCGTGGGTGTGCTGCGCTTGCGTGCACACTCACACTACATTGAATTCCATATAAAAAGTCACATAATTGAAACCAAATATCACCCTAAGACATAAAGGGCATTAGCACATAATATTCCAGAATGTTCCCTAAAAGAGATAACATCTCATAATGGCCTCCAAGATATGATTTTAGGGTAATAGAAATGATTCTGACAACAATTTCACAAAACTTACACAAACCTTATAAACACTGTTAATGTATAATTTATTATTATTATTATTATTATCATCATTATTATTTTTAACAGAGTCTTGCTCTGTCACCCAGGCTGGAGTGCAATGGAGCAATCTCGGCTCACTGCAATCTCCGCCTCCCGGGTTCAAGTGATTCTCCCGCCTCAGCCACCTGAGTAGCTGAGATTACAGGCGCGCGCCACCAAGCCCGGCTATTTTTGTATTTTTAGTAGAGACAGGGTTTCACCATGTTGGTCAGGCTGGTCTCAAACTCCTGACTTCGTGATCCGCCCGCCTCGGCCTCCCAAAGTGTTGGGATTACAGGTGTGAGCCACCGCGCCTGGCCAAAGTATATACAACTTTTCTCAGTCATCATAATTCACTAAAACAGTCCCAGGATAGAGAATAAAAAATTCTGTGCACTATATCATTTTTAAATAAATGCATTATGACTAATTTAAAACCCAATTTCAAATTGTATGAGTCTTAGTGGTGTAGAAAATCAAGAGATTATGGTTTTATATATGAAATCAGGTTATTTACTTAAATATAGCTATTAGTATGCATAAAATGGAACCCAATTGGTGTGTTGTACATTATACTATTTTTAAGACTTCATTTTAAAATGTACATGCTTTAATAAGTCAGCAGAAAAGTTGGAACCTGTGAAGAAGAGTCATATAGAAAGTCGGAAGACAGGAAAAATTGTAATAGGGATCTGTTTTAAAAATCACCCACTTTCTCTCTCTTTCCTCCCCTCTCAGCTCTTTACTCCTTCCCTCTCTAGACACTAGCCTCCAGCAATCCATGCTTACCTAATTGTGCTCTTGCTTCAGAAATTCCAGAGGCTAATCTTGAAACACACCAAGCAAGGAGCCCCTGTGGAATCTTCCCAGTTAGGGAGAGTAGCAGTCTGTCTGCCATCGTCAGGCTGAAGTCAAGAGAATGCCAATCAGATCCTCAGACAGGCGATTACCCAAGATAGCCATCAGAACAACACACACAGCCCTGCATCCTGCACCACAGCTGCATGCTTTCCATACTGTTTCCTTTAAAAAATTCTACAATAAATTTTAAAATTTAAGATGGTACTTTAGGATGCTAGTTCACCATTTTCTCGGTTTGCTGGCTCTGATTAAAGCCTGCTTTTCTTCCTAACAACCCGTACCTTTTGTGTTTGGAATCTGAGTGACCAGCAGCCAAACCTGGTTCCCGTTACAAAATGAGCTTCAAGACTTCCTCCAGTTCTCACATTCAGTTCCAGAAAAATTTTAAACCCTTCTATGTCATTTTATGAACTGGACTACAGATTCAAGATGGCATGAATTTTATGTAATGAATCCAAGGATAATTTGCATACTATGCTCAACTTATGATTCACTCTGGTAAAAATGTCAAGCAGATGAATGCATTAATAACTCCTGAGGACCTTTATATTTTTGTCTTTCTTGTTTTATGAAATTATTCAGTTAAGTGATGGTAGTAAACAAAAACACATATTACAAATTTCATTTCCAAAATTCACATTCATAGTTAATAAAATATTTCTATGGGACTTTAAGGCAATGTAATCCCAGTGATAATATCCAATTTAAAAGCAAATTAATATATATTTTGGGTGGTTAATGATTTCTAAGCATGGACAAATCAAAAGAATTCAGCTACTCTTTTAGTACCTAAGAAATAATTCTGGGAATTGCCTTAAAAATAATTGTTTTTACTCTCATTTCTCTTCAGATCACATTTTAAAAAATATTTTCAATTACATAGTGGACAGAACAAAAGAACCTTAGCTTCCTTTCCAACTTGCACTAAAGTGACAGAAAAAGAATTTTTAAAGCACAAATACATAAGTACAAAAAAATCCAAGAGATACGATGGTTGTCACAAATTTTGAAATGTATAAACTAAAGGGTAAGTAGAAGCTTACTGATCAGAACCAGAAAATGATTTCTAAAAAGGATTGTAATATTTACCAAATGCCAGTACAAGATGGCCAGTTAAATTTAATCTCAGATAAAGAATACTTCTTTTATAATAAGTACATTCAAATTTACCTGGGAGTCCTGTATCTTATTTGGCAGCTGGAATTCTAATTACTCAATGGAGGAAACTGGAAAGCAATATGAGAAAACATAAAACATAAAAATATTCAGGAATATTTGACAATGGGTACCTCTAGATGTAGAATTTAGGCGGGACACAAAAAGAAATCATAGGCTGAAAGATCTTATGAGCAATTACACACTTAGTACTCTTAGTACAATCAGTGGAAGACTGCAGAATTGGCTTCTGGTGGGAGTAAAACAAAAGGCACACAGTATTTAGAAAATTAAGACCCATTTGAAGAGAAATACCACAGTAAAAACTAGGCATACATTAAATGAGTTCTGAAACCACCAGCGCTCTTCCCAACTTTACTCCCAGAATACTGGCAGCAAAGTTTATCCTCTCTATCTGGAGATTGAACGTGGCTTCATTACGAACTATAAACACAGGAAAAATGACCTGTAGATAATGATAGGGAATTCTAAAATGAAATAGCCCATCCATATCATCCTACATTGATGGCCAGAGGAGATAGCCATACACAAATGGACAAAGACTACCAGCAGAGTCTAGTATTGCCTTTATTTCTAAGTGGACAATCAAGCACAGCCAGACATCTAAAGGAATTGTCTAAGAAGAAATACTGAGATTAAAACATACAAATTATAGCAACTTGGAGGAATAAGAAACTGTGTAAGGGGAGGACAATTCCAAAATTTCTCCATAAGTAAGGAATATATTATGTCCATGAAAAAAGAACAAAAGTGTTCTGGTAACAATACTGGCAACAAAAGTCAATGGAACAGTACTTCAAAAGGCTTAGGAAGAAAATATTTTTTCACTTAGAATTCTATATCTAATCTAATTACGATGTTAGTATGAAAGAAAATTAAGGTTTTTCAGACATGCAAGATTTTAACAGGCTGGGCGTGGTGGCTCACACATGTAATCCCAGCACTTTGGGAGGCTGAGGTGGGTGGATCACTTGAGGTCAGGAGTTAGAGACCAGGCTGGCCAACATGGTGAAACCCCGTCTCTACTGAAATACAACAAGTAGCTGGGCGTGGTGGCAGGCACCTGTAATCCCAGCTACTAGAGAGGCTGAGGCAGGAGAATAGCTTGGACTCCAGAGGCAGAGGTTCGAGTGAGTGGAGATCACGCCACTGCACTCCAACCTGAGCTACAGAGCAAGACTCCGTCTCAAAAAAAAAAAAAAAAAAAAAAGAAAAAAGAAAAAAAAAAGAGAGAGAGAGAGATTTTAAATGGATGTTGCCTTCAATCTCCACCTCTCTCCTTTTTCAGGAAATTACTAGAGTTGATATTCCTCTAAGATGACGTAATAAAACAAGAAGGAAGACTTGGAATCCAAAAGCAGTCAATTCAATCACAAGAGAAGAAAAGGAAATACTCTGTAAAATGGTTATGGAAAGTTTCTAAATGACAGCTATGCAGCAAACCTTTAGAGCAACCTCTCCATAGTAGGTATGACTTTAGACTTTAGAAAGATATGACCTTAGAAAGATAAGATCAATTGATCATCATCAATACTTGATTAGTTTGAATGTATTGAGAAGAAATATACAGACAATTAGGGCATTGTTTGGAGATAAATTAGTTATAAGAATAGAGAAAATAAAACTAATAATAAGACACCAAATAATTGTATTAACCCAAAGGAAAATTAAAAGTTAAAAAAAGAAATCACAAATAATGTATTGACTATCTGTGAGCCACATTTACCTAGTTATAAAAATGAAGATAATGAATACTGATTTACCCAAAGATGTGTAGGGGTGCGTGTGTGTGTGTGTGTGTATTACACATAAATATGCATGAATATATATATATATATATATATATATATAGATTATGGGAAACAGAAAACTTACATGTATACGATGGTAAATGGACAGAGGCAGTAAAAGTTTACTAAATACTAATTTCCCAAGGTAGGTAGTCAATAATCAATGCCAGAAGCTGAAAATATAAGAAATGTCATATATATTTCTTAGATATATGAACACAAATATGGAAGTAAGCAGCTTAAATAATTGAATTTGATCATTTTTGGTAATAGAGAAATGGTACCTAGTGCTGGGAGGAGGATGAGCTACAGAATATAGTAGACTATATACAATGCAATTTTATCTTCTAGATGTTCTGAGCTATTTTCCAACTAAGACGTCTCTTTAACCTGTAACAGTTAACTACTTTAAGGTGGAGCTTTTAAGAGTATGTTTTCAGAATCTAAGTGAAAATGTCAGGTTAATTTTTTGCTAACTATATGGTCCTTAAAAATCTACTTCATGATTCTACAACCATTGTTATTATTGTGATTGTTATTTAACCTGCAAAACAGGGATAGTCCATCTTGCATCACTACTGTAAGCAGCGAGTGAGATTATTCACTTAAAAACACTGTGTAAAGTGGTTGCATAATAGACGCTCAATTGATTCTGGTAAGTATTACATTTATTATCATGGATCTGTTTGCTGGTGGGTTTTTTCCCTCAGACGAATAATTAATACCTGCTACACTGCTTTTTATTAGAATATCACTTGGGGGAAATTTGTAATTCTTATGATAGTTTCCAAACCTAGTTTAACATATACCCTTCTAAATGAGAATCATTTTTTTAAAAATCACTTAATTTCAGCTGATTATGGTTAAATAAAAGCCATTTACAAATGTCTATTTAAACATCTTCAGAAAGGATTAAATCAGCCAATGTTGCTAAAATCTAGGACAACAGATTTGCAACAATCTAGGATGAGTTACCCTTAATTTTGGGTCTGGATTGAAATTGTCAATGGCTGTGCATGTTCTTCCACCAAAAACAGAAAGAGGCTGCTCTCAGGAGATTAAACAAAGTACCTTTTTTTCTCTTCACTACTTTCTGATCAGTTTGTTTATAAATGCAAGTATTGTACCAATGAGAAACTTAAGCGATTCCTCTTCTGTGTGGGTAGTCTTTTCAAAGGAATTCACTTTCTTTCTTTTTTACATGTGATATCACAAACTGCACATTTCTGAAAACAATTGGAGAGAAAATGGAAGTGGAGTTTGCCTGGGAATAGACAATTGCATTACAAAATGGAAAATATTACTGAAACTTTAAGAACAGATTATGTAAATATATTTTAACATATCAATACATGTCATAATTTGAAACAATGCATTAATAGATAATATTAATTTCAGCATATATTGACACCTCAAGTAATTTATTACTGATATGAAACTTATGTCAATAGCCAAAAGACTGAAATTTCAATCTGACTGCTTGTATTACTATCAAAACTTTTGTTAGTCTTGCTTTGTTCTGTAATAATTAATTGCACAGGATGGAACCATAAACATGGCAATAATAAATTATTTTTTCAGGAAACAAAAAAATAATGAAAATGTGTGCCAACATCTTCACACTCTAAAATGTGTCATTAATGGTTAGATAATACACATAATCATTTTTATTGATAAATGACAAAATTCCCTTTTTATCATGTGATCAATGTGATAAGCACAGTTTGATGCAAAGCCAATTTTAATTAAAACTGAAAAAATAATAAATTATTTCATTAATACAAAATTAGAATGGCACAGCATTCATTAGTACTTTCTCAGCATATTTTGGCATACAAAAGAAATTCAGATTGTCACACATTTCTATAGTTATGCTTTGGAATAAACAAGGATATTTTATGATTACTATTCCGAGGGTGTTTCTTGCTGCCAGTTACATGTGCAATCCAGGAAACAGCATAAACATGTATTACTTTTTTCATGTAGGAAATGGAAGCTATTTATTAGTTCTTGTTTAAGCAGTCCAATCCTTTCTGTCAAAGTGCCAAAATAAAGTCCCTTGGATTCATGGTAACGAATCCTGTAACAAAAAATATCTAAAAGGGCATTAAAAACTAAAGAGAAATTGCATCTTATCTAAGAAATTCAAAAAGTGACAGGGCACATAATGCTAAGGAAATGGCAGAACCAATCTATTTGTCAGTGTTTCCCTTCTGTCTTGTGCTGCCTTTTATGTTAGAAATGCAAGAACAGCTGTGGGTGGAGGGCATTGTGTGCCCATCATTATGCCATTTGATAATTTTTGTAAAATTGATTTACTTCTTCCTGGGGCATTCATTTTCAGCCTCAGCCACCTGTATTTATATAAGCAGCTAAGTATGTAGAACTTATCTAATCAAACTTTTGCTAGTATAAGGATTAAGTTTTGTCTTTTGAAATTTGCCCTTTGCAGAATGTAGTTCCTGCCTTTAAGAAACCAGAATGTAAATTTCAACTTTGTAGCCATCATGAAATGCAAACTCTTTCAATGCTGAATATTTTCAGTTACATGAAGAATAAACAGTCAAATACTTTACCAAAAACATGTCAGTTGTTTTTAATAGTCCCTTATGTGTATGCCATGAAAATCATTCATATTCTAAAGTGCCTTACATACAGAAACTCCTCATGGTAAAATAAAAGGCTATAAGGAAAATAATAAAACATTGATCAGTTTATAGTTTATTTCTTGATTTACTTTTCTGATTATGGATGCCAAGAGGCAAGTGTGGAATGATTCTAGAACAGTAAAACAGAACAATCTAAATCAGTAGTTGCTCTAACGTATGGCAAAAGTATAAGCTTAAAAATAATTTCTATTTTGAGCCAAAAGGTGTTATTATGCATGATGCCCTCTATAAAAAGGTAACTTTCTGGAAATTATGTGTATTCCTATGAAAAAATTTCCCATTAGTAAGGTGTTAAGATGATTTCTACTCTTCTTTAACCTTCAACTATCAAGTGTATCAAAATTTTACTGAGAGAATGTCATACACATTATACTCCGAAAAGTAGTAGAGGACAATGCTGAGGAGGAAACTAATTTCCCACATTCAAAGGGTTCCAAAGTAATATCTGTACTTAGTTTTAAGCAAAGAAAGGAATATATTAGCAGAAAGACCTGTATTATATGTCTATGTTGTCTTTTCTGCTGAGCAGTCTGTAACTCATTAAACTGTAGTGCTTTCTGTTTTCTGTTTTTTCCATCAACCCTTCTTGAGGCAAAGCTTTGCTTATTTTGGCTTGAATGTATGTTCTTGTTCCTTTTCTCTATTTAATTGAACTTTCCAGGACAAAGCTAGTATTTCTGAGTAAAATGTGTGACTTAGAATAAATGATAAACCCTTTAAACAAACCCACTTATAAGACATAATTATTGTCCTATAGTAATTTTCTGTAAACACAATTTTTACTGAATGCTTTTTGCATGTGAGGCTCTAGTCTAGGTTCTAGTAGTTCAGCAAAGAATAAAACATACTCTCAGTGGGTTAGTCAGTGTATGTCACCTCTGGGCTATCTCAGAAATAAGTTGGTTTTCTAGAAACTTGTGTGACCATAATTTTATTTTATTTTTTTATTTTTTATTTTTATTTATTTATTTTTTCTGAGACTGAGTCTTGCTCTGTCACCCAGGCTGGAGTGCAATGGCACGATCTCAGCTTACTGCAGCCTCCAGGTTCCAGCAGTTCTCATGCTTCAGCCTCCTGAGTAACTGGGATTACAGGCATGAGCCACCAAACCTGGCTAATTTTTGTATTCTTAGTAGAGATGGGGTCTGGCCATGTTGGCCAGGTTGGTCTCGAACTCCTAATGTCAGGCGATCCACCCGCCTTGGTCTCCCAAAGAGCTGGGATTACAGACATGAGCCACCACACTCAGCCTCAGAATTCTTTATTATAGATTCACATATTAAATCACATATTATCTTGATAAAATCATTTGGACTTCTGTAACGTTAAGTAAAGTTTGGTTTTTATCAATATGAGTTTTTATACCTGATATTTATTTGCTGGCTTAGCTATGGTAAAGGACTGTGATGTTTTATATTTCATTGTTTTCTGATGGAATTTATGGAGCTCTTTTCAAAGTTCACTTTGGGAATGATTCACATGCAAAACTTGATGAAGCAGCATATTATTTGCCATGTTTATCTTCTCAATTATAGAGAGAAATGTTCCACATAACAATTCTGAACAGTTTGTATTAATGTGAGTATAGCTTTTCAAAGCAGTGTCTTCTATCAGGTTATCATTCATGTGGCTTGATTTGCATTATCAACAGCTAAGAGGAATTGGAAGACAAACAATCTATGGCCAATATATCATAAGCTTGATTTACAAAATTTCCACAGGCAAGTCTGTTTGCTGGACAGCAAATTAGCAACATGGGCAAGATGTAATTTACAACTCCTTTCAAGCAATGTAGAGACAAAATGTTTAATCATCTATTAATGAATGCCTAATTAATTGTCTGAAATGCTCTAGAGTGAATAAAGAGTAACAGCTTTCTTAAAAAGACACAGTATCAAGTAATTAGCAATATACAAATGGTACTCTTGCAGATTCACATTTGTACCTAATGTCTTCCAATCTCTATGTAATAATGCTGACACTTAATGCATCATCAATTGACTTTCCTTTTTTACTAACTGAAATATATATATATATTTCAATTAAGGTTAGACACAAATTTTAATTAGATATCATTAAAATGGATAAATTTTTCCTGTCATTTCTGTCTCAGATAATGATGTTTATTATAGAAAAATGTCAGGACAGATTAATATGTGACTGTGGAGAAAAATATTATCATACATAAGGTAGCACATATTTATGCAAAATATGCATAACTTCCTTGATTCAATAAATAATAAAACATCAATATTAAATTAGAAAATGCTCCTTTAAGATATACGTTTTCAAAACATTCATTTTACAAGATTTGGTTAAGTTTATCAGAAAAAATAGATGAGGAAATAATTGAGAAACTTGTTCAAGTTGACAAGCTAAAAAAATGTATAGTAGATTAAGATCAGCAAACATGTTACCAAATTTTCTTCATTCAAGCAGATAACATGGTGTCTATCTGAGAACCTTATATAGGTTCTTTAGGTTTTCCCAGGCTTCACCTTCTTCATCTGTAAAACTGAGTAGCTTGATCAGATATTTTTTCAGGCCCATCTCGTAGTCTAAAAGTCTATCTTTATTCTTATCTTTAGAGAAATTGTTGCTCCTTAGTGTCCACATTATCACGATGCTTGATGCTTGTTATTTGAAACAGGGAAGGTATGATTCCTGAAATAAGGAAAAAGTATAGTAAGCTATTATGTTATAATTTCAAACAAATTTTAAACGAAATATTGAAGTTGTCTACAATACCCAGAGGGAAACTTTTTGAGCTGATTGAGTTTATCCATGGTCTTGAAAAAACAATAGGGTCTAGGTAGACAAAAGAGTGGTCAATGTGAATATTACCAGATAAATTAACAGATGTAGTCAAACTAAAGATCTCAGAGAAGGAAATTATCTAGGATTATCCAAGCGTGTCCTAAGTGCCATTTCTAAGTGTCCTTAGAAAAGAGATGTGAAAGGAGATGAGACACACAGGTCCTGCAAAGATGGAGGCAGAAATTGAAGTGATGTGGCCACAAACCAAGGAACAACTAGGAATGCCTGGAGACATCAAAATCTAGAAGAAGTAAAAAATGGATTCTCATCCAGGGCCTTCTGAGGGAGTGTGGACCCCCTGAAACCTTGATTTCAGGTTTCTGAACCCAACGGTGGAAGAATAGATTTTCCTTGTTTCACTTCATCAAATTCATAAATATTTATTATGGAAGCCACAGAAAACTAATATAATGAGTAAGAGCATAATGTTATTGGGATTTTAATTGAGATAATCCATGTAGGCTGCTTAAAATAACAATCATTTCTGGATGTCATTGATCATTCACTTGATACTTATGATTAAGTTTATGTTTTTTTGGGTTTTTTTTCTGAGTAAAGGAGGAGTTTTTCTCTTGTCGCCCAGGCTGAAGTGCAATGGCGCAATCTCAGCTCACCGCAAACTCCGCCTCCCAGGTTCAACCGATTCTCCTGCCTCACCTCCCAAGTAGCTGAGTTTACAGGCATGCACCACCTCACCCAGCTAATCTTGTATTTTTATTAGAGATGAAAGTTCTCCATGTTGGTCAGGCTGGTCTCAAACTCCCAACCTCAGGTGATCCACCTTCCTTAGCCTCCCAGAGTGCTGGGATTACAGGCATGAGTCACTGCGCCTGACCAATTAAGTACATTTTTGGGGCAGAGAGACCCTGCATTTTAAAGATACAGCACAATATCACTTGCTCGGCGGACACATAGAGCCTCATGCTTGACCAATGCTCATGATCAAATTTGTATAGAACTGTAAATCTAAGCCATCAAGGCATTTTCCTATATTAGGCTGTGCCATAACCAGATATTTAAATTGCCCTGGAAGTGACTGTTCTCAGCTCAACAAGGGATGGATGAGATTTGACACAGGAAGGTAATTGACACAGGCAGACACATAGCCAGGCAAAGACCTTCAGCCAAGGGTCATTGCCTCTAAAGACATGTCGGGATTCCTGCACTTTTTATAAGGTGGCAAATCATGAGGGTTAGGGTTGGGAAGGCAATATTTAAGATCTTAATCAACCCACCTACCACACAGTTCAGTCCTATTCTAGTTATTTGTATTTTTCCATTGCAGTATCATTACTCCAGTCATTCTCTACTGGGGTCAATATTATCCCCCAGCTTAAACCTCAGGAACATTTAGAAATATTTGGAGATATTTTTGATTCCCATGACCATTAGGTCAGGTGTCCCAGCATCTAGTGGGAAGAAGCCAGGGATGCTGTTAAACATAAAATAAACAAGACAATGGCCCATAACAACAATAATTAATGGTTCAAAATGTCAATTTTATTAAGGTTGATAAACCCTAATCTAACATAATAAATTTGTTATTTATTCTTTAATTTTTAACCTCTACCATTAAAATATAAGATGCATGAAAGCGGGGACATTTTATGATTTGTCCCCTACTCTATCCTTAGAAACGGTAAGTATAAAATTAGGAGCTCAATCATATTTCACCTTAATGACTGAGGAAAAGTATATTACCCAGGAAAATAATACTTAAAATATTTCCAGGAAAGGATCATCAGAGATAATTATGAACAACTATATACTAAAATATTTTTTAAAAAACTTCAGGAAATTAATAAATTCCTGGACATATACAACCTACAAACATTGAATAAGAAAGAAATAGAAAACCTGAACAGATCAATAATGAGTAATCATATTGAATTAGTAATAAAGCCTCTCAACAAAGAGCCCAGTACCTGCTGGCTCTACTGCTAAATTCTACCAAACTTATCAGAAGATTGAACACCAATTCTTCTCAACTACTCTAAAAAGCTGAAGAAGAGAGAGAGTTCTTTCTAACTGATTCTACAAGGTCAGCATTACTTTGACACCAAAATCAGACAAGGACACAACAAAGAATGAAAACTACAAGTCGATACCCCCAAAGAACACAGATGCAAAAATCCTCAAGAAAATACTAGCAAACCAAATCCAACAACACATCAGAACGATAATATACCATGAACAAGTGAGATTTATCAAAGGGATGCAAGGATAGTTCAACATACCCAAGTCAATATGCAAATCTACAAATCAATAACTATGATCATATTAACAGGGTAAAGGACAAAAACCATAGAAGCATCCCAATAGATACTAAAAATATTAACAAAACTTAACATCCCTTTATTATAAATACTCTAAATAGATTATATATAGAAAGGACATTTCTCAACACAATAAAGACTATATATGACAAACCCACAGCTAACATAATACTGAATGGGAAAAAGCTGAAAATCTTTCCTCTAAGTGCTGAAACAAGATAAGGATGCCTACTTTTGACACTTATTCAACAAAGTACTAGAAGTTCTAGCTAGAGCAATCAAGCAAGAGAAAGAAATAAAAAGCATCCAACTTGGAAAAGAGAAAGGCAACTTGTCTCTCTTTGCAGATGACCTGATTTTATATATAGAAAAGCCACTGAAAAACTCTTGGAATTGATCAATTCAGTAATGTTGCAAAATACAAAATCAACATACAAAAATAAGAAGTGTTTCTATGCACCAATAATGAGCTGTTTGAAAACAAAATATCAAGAAAGCAATCCCATTTACAAGAGCTAAAAAATTACCAGGAAATTAATTTGCCCAAGGAAATGAAAGACCTCAACAAGGTAAACTACAAAACACTGAAGAAAGAAATTAAAAAGAACACAAACAAATGGAAAGACATCTCATGCTCATGAATGGAAAGAATTAGTTTTGTTAAAATGACCATGCCACGCAAAGCAATTTCCAGAATCGATACAGTCTCTGTCAAAATTCCCATGGCATAGTTCACAATAACAGAAAAAAGAAATCCTAAAATTCATACAGAACCCCACAGACCCAAACAGCTAAAACAATCATGAGCAAAATAAATAAATACATAAAGCTGGAGGCATCACATAGCTGATTTCAAAATACTCCACAAAGATATAGTAATCAAACAGCATGATATTGGTATAAAAATAGACACTTCGACCAATGGAACAGAGTAGAGAACAGAAACAAATTCACATATTTACAGCCAACTGGTTTTCAACAATGCCTCCAAGAACATTCATTAGGGAAAGGACACCCTCTTCAACAAAAGATGCTGGGAAAAGGTGCCGTATACTCATACACAAAACAATGAAATTAGACCACTAAATCTAGCACTATAAAAAGTCCACTCCAAGTAAATTAAAAACTTAAATGTAAGATCTGACACTATAAAACTATTAGTAAAAAACCCAAATGTCCAACAATGATAGAGTGGATTAAGAAAATGTGGCACATATATCCCATGGAATACTATGCAGCCATAAAAAATGATGAGTTCATGTCCTTTGTAGGGACATGAATGAAATTGGAAATCATCACTCTCTGTAAGCTATCGCAAGAACAAAAAACCAAACACCGCATATTCTCACTCATAGGTGGGAATTGAACAATGAGAACACATGGACACAGGAAGGGGAACATCACACTCTGGGGACTGTTGTGGGGTGGGGGGAGGGGGGGAGGGATAGCATTGGGAGATATACCTAATGCTAGATGACGAGTTAGTGGGTGCAGCACACCAGCATGGCACATGTATACATATGTAACTAACCTGCACATTGTGCACATGTACCCTAAAACTTAAAGTATAATAATAATATAAAATAAAAAAATAAAGTAAAATAAAACTATTCTTAGAAGTAATGTCACAAAATAAAAATATATATATATAGGAGAAGTTTTTCAAGGCATTTGTCCTGGCAAAGATTTTATGGCCAAGACCTCAAATGCCCACCACCACCACAACAAAAATAGACAAATGGGACTATATTAAACTATAAAGCTTTTGCACAGCAAAGAAAACAATCAACGGAGTGAAAAGACAATTTGTAGAATGAGAGAATATATTTGTCAAACTATTCATCTGACAAAAAACTAATATACAGACTACATGGAACTCAGACAACAGCAAAAAAATAGAATTATGTTAAAAACTGGGCAAAAAATCTGAATATACGTTTATCAAAAGAAGACATTCAAATGGCCTACAGGTATATGAAAAACTACTCAATGTTGCTAATCATCAGATAACTGTAAATTAAAACCAAAATGAGATATTATCTTACACCATTTAGAATGGATATTATTAAAAAGTCAAAATGATAGATGTTGGCAAGGATGTGGAGAAAAGGGAACGCACACACCGTTGGTGGGGATGTATATTAGTACAGCCATTATTTAAAGCATTTTGGGGATTTCTTAAAAACTAAAAACAGAGCTACTGTGCAATTCAGCAATCCTACTACGTGGTATTTATCCAAAGGAAAGGAAATTAGTATATCAAAGGGATACTTAAATACCTGGATACCCAGGGTATTCTAAATACCTGAAAACCTGGATAACCAGGTTAATTGCAGCACTATTCACAATAGCTAAGATATGGAATCAACCTAAGTGTTTATCAAAGGCTCAATGGATAAAGAAAATGTATACACAATTGAATACTATTCAGCCATAAAAAAAGAAAAAAGAATACTTTGCAGGAACATGCCTGGAACTAAGAGTCATTACGTTAAGTGAAATAAACCAGGAAAAAAAGACAAATATTACATGTTCTCATTCATGTGAGTGCTAAAAAACAGGTTGATATCATGGAGGTAGAGAGTGGAATGACAGTTACCTGAGGTTGGGAAGGGTGGGGTTTGGAAACGAAGAAAAGTTAGTTAATGGGTACAAACATAGAGTTATAAGGAATAAGTTCTAGCGCTTAACAGCATCATAGGGTGATTATAGGTAACAATATATTGTGTGTATATATATATATATGTGTGTGTGTGTGTGTGTGTGTGTGTGTATACATGTATTTTAGATGGAGTCTCACCCTGTCACCCAGGATGGAGTTCAGTGACGTGATTTTGGCTCACTGCAACCTCTACCTCCCAGGTTCAAGCCTCAGCCTCCCAAGTAACTAGGATTACAGGCACACGCCACCACGCCCGGTCCTAATTTTTGTATTTTTGGTAGAAAGAGCGTTTCACCTGACCTCAAGAGAGCTACCCTCCTCGGCCTCCCAAAGCGCTGTGATTACAGGTGTGAGCCACCGTGCCCAGCCTGTATATTTTTAATAGCTAAAAGAGAAGATTTCAAATGATCCCAATACATAGAGATAGTAATAATGTAGGGGATTAGCATCCTAAACAAACTGATTTGATCATGACGCATTCTATGCATGTATCATAATATCACATGTACCCCATGAATATGTGCAATTATTATGTATCAAAACTAAATTTTAATACATATTTAGAGAGGTTTACTAGAGAAATAGAACATTTTTACCAATCATGCTTATTGCCTTTTATGTAACATAAGATCCACCAATATTTAAATATATGTGTGTATGTATATAAGCTTTTCAGTGGATTCTAACTATCCAATATTTCATGCTGCTTTGGGGGAAAAGGGTAAAATACTAATAAAGAAGCTTATATGGAAACCCAACTATATATATATATATATATATATATATATATATATATATATATATATATATATATATATATATATATCTCTTTATGTGTAATATATAAATCATTAATTTTATAATACTGAAGCACAGTTCAGTTTATTTATACCAGATCCATGAAACATTTTAACTGATGTGTAATATTCTGAAGCTGTGAATATATTTCTCTGCATTAACCCACTGAAAATATATATTTTATCTAAAGTACTTATACATATTTTACCACATTGAAACTTCTTTTTCAAAGACTATGCAAAATATAAATTCATGTGATTTATCTTCAATGATTGGATAAATTGTCATTTTTGAAGTTGTACAGCATGATGGCTCTGATTATTCCCACTGGGAACGTATTTTTGTTCTTGCTTGCAATAAATCAAAATTTTAACATATATCAGGCGTTTCTCATTATTGTGAGGACTTGTGCACACTTCCTAATCTCACTGAACTTTAGACTTTCACTTGTTAAGTGAGAATAGTAACACTTTCATGTGCAGGGTTGTTTTGAGGATGAATGAGTTAATATAATACATAAAAAAGGTTAGAAAAGGGTTTTTCATATAGCATAAGCTGCACATATTTTACCTAAGACATCTGTGGTGGCTCTTTATTTTGAAACCCCTAATGCATAGCACTGTTTACATTGAGGAATGTAAGCTTTCTTCTTTATTGGAATGTATGTGATAGTGAATAAATTTATCAGAAAGAATATTTTAACCATGTGTCAGAATTATATTTGAAGCTTGCAGTAAGAGAGAATTAAATAGGCCTTGAAGGATGAGCAGTGTGGAAAGGAGATAGTATTAAAAGAAATAATACAATGCAGGACTATCTGCCTGAAGATCATTAAACTAGTCAATCAGTTGAGTACGCAACCCTAACTTCCCAGGAGTTTTTAATCTCATTAAAGTCTGTAAGAATATCACTCATGTATTTAATTTGGAATAGCAATTATATCCACAAAGGGCTGAATTACATCATGCAAAAATGTTCTGTACCACTGAGGTTTGGGACAATTTTCTTTCTCTAATCCCAATGACAAAAGATCCGTTTAATTGTGTTTTTGTGTGTGTGTGTGTGGGGGGGGGGAAATTATTAATTGAATTTGCTGTTTATTTGATTGTCTTTTAAATTTCATATACATGTTGAAAATCAGCCAAAGTCTAATTTATACAATAAGCATGCTGTTATGACTAACAGTAATAGCCATATACACATTGATATGATTCTATTACATAAATTTACCACATTCAGGGAGAATTTCTAAACAAAATCTCCTTGTGACTCAGCTTCCATGGTATATATTTCATGTAGTCTTTACACCAAGAATTTTATATTTTGTATGCTTAAATTTATTTTTTATTTCCCTTTCTGCATACACACAAACTGTGTGTGTGTGTGCGCAATGATATTTAACACACATAATCCTCCTAGCTTGGTTCTAAGTGATGCATACAAGTATAGGCAAGAGAATTAACTTCTGCCAAGAAAGTTCCTTAAATAAAATAAAACAGTGCTATATTTTTATTACTCCTATTTTCCCAGATATAATAATAATATTTTACTTCCTTATCAACCATCATGCTTAGAGGACAGAAATTAAGAATACAGTGCTTCTTCCTCAGGGATTTTCCATGTTTGTTAGTGTGAGTTATCATCACATGAACTGAAATCTAACTAAAGCATTAGTAATCTAAAGCATATTACTATGTTTTAGAAATCTAACTAAAGGAAAGTATTAGACCAGTATTCTGGGAGAAGATCTTAGGCATATATATCATATATATGTATATATATATATCTTATATATATATATAGGCATATATATCATATATATGTATATATATATCTTATATATATATAGGCATATATATCATATATATATATCTTATATATATAGGCATATATATCATATATATCTTATATATATAGGCATATATATATACACATATATATCTTATATATATAGGCATATATATATACACATATATATCTTATATATATATAGGCATATATATATATACATATATATATATATCTCCACATATGAAGGGTAAATCTTGCTCTGTAGTAGTGGCTTTTCTCATATATAAAAAAATAAAATATATCTAGAAGTAACTTTTCCCACAAACTTGGTTAATTTATATCAAGGATAAAGGAGGATTGAATCCTACAAAAATTAAAAACATAACTTTATTTCCATGCAGCATAAAATGAATCATAAAGGTACTTCAAATAATATTTGTAGCATTTATTTTTGTTATAAACCTATATTTTTACACAATTATTTTAGACTCAGACAGAGCAATTACCTAGAAATATGCTTAATATTTTTCAAAGGTGATGTGGTTTAAAAGAGTAAAATTTGACACAATGTCTTTTTATAAAAATGGTTATGATTTTTCTAAGCTTGGTATATTGTAAAACACTCCTCTGAATTCCAATTATTACAAGCATCATACTTCAGTTCTCTCGAGACACATTTGCTTGTGTTAGTGATTTTTCACTTTAAGCTTATTACTTAATAATTTCCTTTCTTATATTCCACCCAGGAAAATCTATGTATTTTCTTGATTCAGATGGGCTGCTGCAACAATGTGAAAATTATTCTGAGAAATTTAGTTCCTAAATACCTTTTTATTCCTAATTTTATTCCTCAATGTAGATCACCTGAAATCTGGATTTTATTTTTTAATGGATTCTGAGGTACCTGCTACCACAATAAACCACAAATCAAAAAAGAAATTTTAAAAAGCCAGTAGCTGAAGTTACTGTCTTTTAGGCTTGGGTTTTCAACAGAGTGTTAATTCTAGATTGCATAAGTAAACCTTGAAAAATGATGTTGAAAGATAATGTAAATTACGGAAAAAAGGAAGGTGGGCTTTTTACCACTAGAAAATAGACCATTGAAAGTAATGACAACAGTGGTCTCAGATAAATAAACAAATCAATTTCCATTTCAAGTTTCACTCAATCCCATGTAATTACTCTTAAAGGCATAGGTTCCTAACTAAAATATTTTTAGATATTCTGTATCTTTCAGTTGTCTGTGTCATCATGGTGTCAACCAACTGCAGAAGCATTTTCCCTAAAGTCATCCTCTGCAGTATCAATAGTTGAATGTACATTGATATGGTTTTGCTGTGTCCCCACCCAAATCTCATCTTGAATTGTAACTCCCACAATTCCCACCTGTTGTGGGAGGAACTTGGAGGGAGGTGATTGAATTATGAGGGTGGATCTTTCCTGCACTGTTCTCGTGATAGTGAATGAGTCTCATTAGATCTGATGGTTTTACAAATGGTAGTTTCCCTGCACCAGCTCTCTCTTTGCCTGCTGCCATCCATGTAAGATGCGACTTGTACCTCCTTGGCTTCCACCATGATTGTGAGGCTTGACCAGCAACGTGGAACTGTGAGTTCTCCATTAAACCTCTTTCTTTTGTAAATTGCCCAGACTTGGGTATGTTTTTATTAGCAGCATGAAAATGGACAAATACAGTAAATACCCAGTAATACCCAGGAGTAGGGTGTTGCTGAAAAGATAACAAAAATGTGGAAGTGACTTTGGAACTGGGTAACAGGCAGAGGTTGAAACAGTTTGAAGGGCTCAGTAAAACAGGTAAATGTGGGAAAGTTTGGAGCTTCCTAGAGACTTGTTAAGTTGCTTTGACAAAAATGCAGATAGTTATATGAACAATAAGGTCCAGGCTGAGGTGGTCTCAGATGGAGATGAGGAATTTATTGGGAATTGAAGCAAAGGTAACTCATGTTATGTTTTAGCAAAGAGACTGGCAGCATTTTGCCCCTGCTGTAGAGGTTTAAGGAACTTTGAACTCGAGAGAGATAATTTAGAGTATCTGGAGCAAGAAATTTTTAAGCAGCAAAACATTAAAGGGGTGACTTGGGTGAGGTTAAAACCACTCAGTTTTAAAAGGGAAACAGCGCATAAACGTTTGGAAAATTTGCAGCCTGACAATGTGGTAGAAAAGAAAATCTCATTTTCTGAGGAGAAACTCAAGCCAGCTGCAGAAATTTTCATAAGTAACAAGGAGCCGAAAGTTAACCACCAAGACAATTAGAAAAATGTCTTCAGAGTATGTAAGAGATATTTGTGGCAGCCCCTCCCATCAAAGGCCCAGTGGCAGAGGAATAAATGATTTCATGGGCTGGGCCCAGGGTCCCTCTGCTGTGTGTAGTGTAGGGACATGGTTCCCTGTGTCTCAGCTGCTCCAGCTGTAACTAAAAGGGGCCAAGGTAACAGCTTGGGCTGTTGCTTCTGAGGAGGGAAGCCACAAGCCTTGGCAGCTTTCATGTGGTGTTCACCCTGTGGATTCAGAGAGATCGAGAATTGAGGCCAGCACCGTGGCTCATGCCTGTAATCCCAGCACTTTGAGAGTCCAAGGCAAGTGGATCACAAGGTCAAGACCATCCTGGCTGTCATGGTGAAAACCCATCTCTACTAACAATACAAAAATTAGTTGGGCGTGGTGGTGAGGGCCTGTAGTCCCTGCTACTTGGGAGGCTGAGGCAGGAGAATTGCTGGAACCTGGGAGGCAGAGGTTGCAGTGAGCAGAGATCACACCACTTCATTCCAGCCTGGTGACAGAGCGAGACTCCGTCTCAAAGAGAAAAAAAAAGAAAAAGAAAAAGAAAAGAATCGTGGTTTGGAAACCTCTGCCTAGATTTCAGAGGTTGTGTGGAAACACCTAGATGCCCAGGCAGAAGTTTGCTTTAGAGACAGGGCCCTCATGGAAAACCTCTGCTAGGACAGTGCAGAAGGGAAATGTGTGGTTGGATCCCCCACACAGTGTCCCTACTAGGGCATCACCTAGTGGAGCTGTGAGAAGAGGGCCACCATCATCCAGACACCAGAATGATAGAATCCACCAACAGCTTGTACTGTGTGCCTGTAAAACCCACAGACTCTTGACAGCAGCCAGTGAAAGCAGCCAGGAGGGCGGCTATACCCTGCAAAGCCACAGGGACAGAGCTGCCCAAGGCTATGGAAGCACACCTCTTGCATCAGTGTGACCTTATGTGAGACATGGAGTCAAAGGAGATCATTTTGATGTTTTAAGATTTGACTGCTCTGATGGATTTTGGCTTTTCATGGGGCCTGTGGCCCCTTTGTTCTGGCCAATTTCTCCCATTTGGAACAGCTATATTTACCTAATGTCTGTACCCCCTTTGTATCTAGGAAGTAACTAACTTGCTTTGGATTTTACAGGCTTATAGGTGGAAGGAATTTGCTTTGTCTCAGATGAGATGTTGGACTGTGGACTTTTGAGTTAATGCTGAAATGAGTTAAGACTTTGGGGGACTGTTGGGAAGGCATATTGGTTTGGTTTTGAAATGTAAGGACATGAGATTTAGGAGGAGCCGAGGTGGAATAATATGATTTGGCTGTATCTCCACACAAATCTCATCTTGAATTGTAACTCCACAATTCCCAGGTGTTGTGGGAGAAACCCAGTGGGAGGTGATTGAATTATGGGGGCAGGTCTTTCCTGCACTGTTCTCGTGATAGTGAATGAATCTCATGAGATCTGATGGTTTTAAAAATGAGAGTTGTACCTCCTTGGCTTCCACCATGATTGTGAGACTTCCCCAGCAACATGGAACTGTGAGTGCTCCATTAAACCTCTTTATTTTCTAAATTGCCCAGTCTCAGGTATGTCTTTATCAGCAGCATGAAAATGGACTAATACACAACTCATACAGTTTTTTTTTTTTTCCCCCCAGAAACCCAATCTCTGGCCTATAGCTCAGAGAAGTAGCTTTCACGTTGGTGGTAAAACCGTGTAACTCAGGTTAATTTATTTCAGCATCTAAACAATTAAAACTGACATAAAGTGGATCCCCCATTGGAGTTGTATTATATAAGTGCATTTTCTTATATGTACAAAGTTTATGAGAGTTAGGTAATGATCATGATTAGCAGAATACATAAAAACAAGTGATAGAGATTTTTCTGTAATTTTCAGGCTTTATCAAGAAATGATGCCTCGGATATTTTAGGATATGATGTGATATTTTGAAGCACAAAATTATTTTGATTTCACAAACCAACGCCCATAAGACTTGTTCATGTTTGCATCACATAAACACAGGTAATGTGATAAATAATGTTTTTCCACATTACCCATAAACATGTATTAAATGCTACATTATTGGAGCTATTTTTTTCATTGGTAGAAAATAGCTAAATCCTCAAATTTCATGTCAGATGATTAAAAGAATATATCGTACACTGAACACTGGTTCCATATACACATACCTTTTTTTGTCAGGCACAGTAGAGCACATACATTTCATGATAAAATTCACTAGCCCTGCTATACTTTCAGATGGTGGGACCCAGTCACTATACTTGGCTCTAATCTCCACTAGTTAGTAAGACTGTTTGAATTTTTGAAGTAACATAAAGAAAATAAAGCTGTATCTTACAGGTAAAAACTCCCATTAGAAGAAATAGTAGACAATTTTAATAGTTATCTCCCATTGAGCTCCCATAAGATCAACTTCAGGAAGAGAAAAACAAAAACATATTCCTCCATAGGAATATCCCAACATGACCATATTGTTTCATTCCCCTCAGCAGTATACAACCAACATCAATTTACTCTGGGCAGTGTTTGCTTTGACAAAAATATTTCATTCCTTCCTTCCTTCCTTCCCTCCCTCCCTCCTTCTTCCCTCCCTTCTTTCCTTCCTTCCTTCCTTCCCTTCCTCCCTCCCTCCTTCCCTCCTTCTTCCCCTCCTTCCTTCCTTCCTACCTTCCTTCCTTCCTTCTTCTTTTTTCTGTGTTTGTTTTCCACAAATAAGAGTACTGTGAATGAGAAATTAAATTACTTGCTGAACTCCACACAATTAGTAAGTGAAAAAGCACAGTTACAAAGCCAACTGTCTGACTTCAAAATGCATAGCCTATCTATTACATAATACAACTGTACTCTAAAAGAATGTTTGTAGAATGTTCTAGTTGCTCTCAATATTTTAAATATTTAAGGTAGTCTGTATTTTTAAAAATTACTTGTGGAATTTATCTAAATAAGATCCAATTGTACCAAAGTATTTCTCAGAAACTCATCATTAAAAAAATAAGTTCAATTCTCACATTTTCTGGTCACTATGAAGTATTTAAGGTTATCATATAAAACATATGAAAAATAACATAAAACAATGTATTTTAATTCCATTGTTTTATATATATACATATATATGCAAATACATATATATCAGAAGTCATGAAAAGACAAAAAATGAAATTCATGCCTATATTTGTATGCATATAGTTTAATTAAACTCTGCAAAATTACAGTACAAAAATGACTTCTGGTATGCATAAGAACATTTGCAAGCCTGGGGAACACTGCCATGAGGCATATCAACTTTTTGCCTGAAGGAAAGAAAAATGTTATACTTATTTCCTAGACATATAAATGTAAGTCAATGATGTAAATTTATTCATCTCATTTATATTCAAATTCAGTGTGAAAAAAATTTTCTGAAATACAAATGTCATATTTAAACATTACCATGTTTTTATAAATATTGCAAAACTGACACTACAGATACCCCACAGCTTTCATTTTGTTTTAGTAAGCAGTGATAGAAAAGTTAAATATTGATTTAAAGTTAAAATAATCATAAGGCAAAATTTAATCATCAGACTATTAAGTAATCATTTTATATTAATATTATTAAGATCTCAATATATTTACTGAATATAATTATTTCATAAATATTTTTACCCTATTGATACCAACATATAACTTGATCAATATCTTTTGTTTTATCTATTTCTGTTAATAGTCTTAATTGCTGACGTATACTTTTTAATGTCAGAACAAATTTTTTTTCCTTGTATGAATCCAAGGAAATCTAAACTACAGATATTTTGTTTACATTTGCTAGCTATTTCTTAAAAGCGGTATGAGGCACCTTCCACTTCTAAGAAAGTTTTTATTGGTCACTACATACTAGTTTTAACTATATATGTAACTCAATGAACATTGCCATATAAACTTACTCTTATCTTTTATAGTGAATTATCCACTTAGGAGTCAGAGAGTCTTCCTAAAAATATGTCAGATCATATCATTTTTACTCAAATTCCTTCAGAGACTAAAAAAAGTGGTTTCCCAGGACATAGACTCTGGGTCTCTATTCTATCTCAACATTACTGTTCCTACCATTCCTTCCTCCCTCCACTGAGTCTTATACTGTTTGCTCTTCTCTCACAGGGCTTATGCCACCTCAGTATCGATGATATGTTAGACTTTTTGTAGTTTTTTATTGGCTATTCATCTTTTTAAGCATTAGCTACCTGGGATGTGAGTCTTTGTGACAAGAAACTACATATTTGTTTAATATATAAATTGATATATGAATTGAGTGTTTATGTGCCAGACACTATCAGATTCTGAGGATACTGATATGAGTAATGTATATTCCTACTTTCAAGGCATATAAGCAAATAAGTAACAGAAAGGAAAAGAGCCTTAAAATGCTTTAGTGCTGATCTCATGTGTAATAAATTGAAGTGTTGCAGCTCCATTATATACTATCTGTGTGAATTGGAGGCACATGATATTCCTGTTAATGTCTTAGTGACACATTTATAAGATAAGGGTAATAATAATGCCTACCACATAACTTATTTTGAAGAGTTATAGTATCTAAAACACATTCTATAAATGTATGTTACTAGTAGTAGTATTACTTTTATATTTCTCTTTACTTCTCCAAATTAAATCTCAACTTAAGGCATCAGTCAAGGTAATGAAAACATAATATTCTCTGTCACACATCCAACTCCAGTTCCTCTTTCTATGCAATGACCACCCCCAATTATTCCTAAAAGACTTACGGAGAGAACACTTGAAACAAAGTTTAATTGTAGTAGAACGGAGACTGAAAAGCAAGAAAAATCTTATTATCTCCATAAGCAAATTAATTAGTGTCACAGGGCTTATAGTGCATTGGCACTCTACCTCAACCATTAGATTTCATTGTATTCACATACAATAAAATGTAAACAATGCTTGATTTACACAACACGAAGTCCTGTGAAATGAACAAACTATTCTAATAACACTGTTGAGAATACCTAAAGTGAACATTATCTAATATTATGAATAGAGACTAAAGAAATAATATGAGAAATATCACTAATACAGATATACCTGAGACTGGATAATTTATAAAGTAAAGAGGTCTAATTGTCTCAGAGTTCTGTAGGCTGTACAGGAAACATTGGGCCAGCATCTGCTTGGCTTCGTCAGGGAGCTTTGAATCATGATGACATGTGAAGTGAGAGCAGCACATCACATGATGAGAGAAGGAGCAAGAGAGAGAGAGCAAGGGGGAAAGTTCCAAACTTTTAAACAACTAGATCTCAAATGAACTCAGAGTAAGAATTCACTCACTAAGGTGAGGACAGCCACAATCCATTCACGAGGAATCTGCCCACATGACGAAATCACCGCCCACTAGGCTCAGTTCCAACATTGGAGGTTACTTTTCAACATAAAATTTGAAGGGGAGAATTCATCTAAAGCATATGACATGGTAATTTATATTTATATATTTTCCAGTATTTAGCAATTCTTCCATCAAACTACTTTGGTTACAGTGTAGTACATTATTTAGCAACTGCTGTGTTTGAGTCAACAATAATGTGTTTAAAATGTTTGCATTTAAATGTATGAGCAAAATGAAATGTACTTCTAGTTGTTTTTTTCATTATGTTTTTGTCTGTTTTGGTATCAATGCCTTTTTTGGTAGCTGGAATGATAGAATAATTTGGCAAATATTTGCTGTTTCTATTCCATGGAAGAGTTTGAAAAATATTACAATAAAACATTATTTGAAAAGCATTTTAATTTATTTCATAGACAAAAGGAATATTTCTTATTCAAAACTTCTATTTCTTTTTTTTAAAAGGTAGTGCAATATACACCATTTAAAAGTGTGGTTTAAAATATTTGTTTCATGTCAAATAATATAGCATCCCAATGTCATGTAAGATTAAATTTTCTCAGTTTCTGCTGGATAAAACCTATCAAAATAATTGTTTGAATATTTATTCATTATTATAAATTAATTTACAACTACTTTATTTAGATTGTCCTTCAGAGAGAACACTAAATTTGGTTTAAAATGGTAAATACAGAGAAAATACATCACTGAGTCATGATGCTTACAGCTTCCTTTGATGATAACTTGCAATTTCAATACTCCGCAGTACATTCTTGATAATTTTCAAGTGTTCTTCAATCTCAGCTAGTAAAATAAAAAATTGTTCATTAATTATCTCAAATTTACTCAAATATAGGGTAGGCAATAAAAAGGGAGAGGGTTCAATTAAAAATATAACATAAATATGTTTTTCAAAATATAAATATACCACTTTTAAATTAGACTCTCATTAGTGATCTGCTGTTTGTTATAATTTCCATATGTATTAGTAAGTAATCAATAGAGATGGTTGTTTTGTTGACTGATTTCTGGGTCTTAAGAATACATTTTATGTGAATATTTCATTTATAAGGAATAGAGACAGGATTGCAACAAAGTTATTGAAAATATGTTGAGATCACAAACTACAATTAATATAGTCTGTTTTTATTTTTGCATATAAGAAAGTGTTAAAAATTATTTGTTTAAAAATCTTCCTGTGGACAATATCTAAGTTGAAATAAGAAGAGGTAATGTATTTGAAATAACTTATAGGGAATCTTACCATGTAGAGCATTCATTTCTCTCAGCACCTCTCTCAAGCTAAGACACAGCCATTTGAAATTGTACATTAGGAATAATTTATGGGTACTAGCAATACTTATTGATTGATATTTACAGAAAGGCACATAGAAGCATTAGTTATCACTCTTTTAATAGTAAGTTTTATCAAACTGTTAGTAGGAAAATCAGTCTGACTTATTTTCCTCATCTCCTCTCAAAAGTATACTATATATATTGCCTGGAATTATTACATGCCAAACTTAGAGCTTGTTTTTGTTTCTTAAAATGGTAGTTAATAAATAACCTTAATGAGCAAACTAAATAGGAAAAAAGTAAATACTTTCAATACCTTCTCAAAACCAAAGCAAATATTACTTCAATATTGCAAATTACCCCAATAACGCAAACGTTAAAGATAAATTAAAAAAGAAAATAAAAACAAGAAAACAAATCTTCATCCTATTGGCTATTTTATGTATCAGAAGGAAACAAACACCAACATACCCTAAATTAAGTAAAAGAGATATAAATTAGTATTAATTCAATTATTTATTCATTAATATATCCAACAATTTAACTGTATATATTGAATGACTTTTTGATAATTAGCAGTGAAATTACCCTTGTTGGTACAACAGTAACCAGTGAATATGGTACATGGACTCTGCATTCAAATGTTAATGGTGCCAATACCTATGGTCTTTTGTCTTCACATAAGGAAAAGATGTGCAATTATGAAAATAGTTAAAAACATAAGTTCTGCCTTCAGCTTTCCTGAATCCGAAGTTACTGCTTATTTTTGTCTAACTAAAACACAAAAGCCTCAATCTAAATCTCAATATACTTGTCAGTAAAATTCACTAATAATAACTGCTGCTTAAAGATATTTTAATAAATGAGCTAACTTAAATAAAGATATTGATTTTCATTATTATGAATTAAATATAACTCAAACTATCATCTTTGAACACAATGCTTTAAGGGCTCGATAAAGTCATGTTCTAGCAATCTTATTTTGAAACATTTTTAACTGTTTCACATATAAACTTGCCATATGCAGCCAGAAGTAAGACACTTTCAGCCCTTAAGTAGGTCATAAAATGATCAAAATAAGTGGTGTGAATGTTTAGGTCAGTTATGAATTATAATATAAAGACTAAGATATGGAAAAACATAGGTTTTCATGTGGTCAGGAAGACCAGAAGGATGTTGAAACAAATTGATTTTCATCCAATTATTTTCCTAGTTCTTACGGCAATTTTAGCCGTTGTCATCTAGCCTTTATTTTTAAAGCAGCTTTCAAAATAATAGCCACAAGTTTGTGTGGCAGTTTCTCCTGCTCTCTTATTACAGTGAATATCTTCCCTCTATGGGTTTAATTATGGCTCTATCATTAACTACTTGGGTTATTTTTGATAAACTAACTTTACATTTCAGATTCATCATCATCAACAGGGATAATAAATGTCTAAGAGTTTAGTGAAGCTGGAAAAATGATGCATGTGATGTGCTTTACACATGCTGGACCTTCATTGTAAGATAATAGCTATTATCAGTATCATCAAAACCTAAATATCATTTCATAATCTTTCATTTCTAACTCATAGCTGTTGAAATGACATTGACTAAATGTGAACATTTCCACTCTCTTCTCTCATTTAATGCCTTCTCAAGTCTCAATTACTCCCAAACATATTTAAAATTTACCTTTGTTATTAAAATTTTGCCAACTGGTAGACAACAACATAGTAAGACAATGCTGATACAGTTTCTGCATGTGTGTGCGCTTTCATGAAGGTATGGTAGATTTCTGGCCGGGCGCAGGGGCTCATGCCTCTAATCCCAGCACTTTGGGAGGCCAAGGTGGGTGGATCACTTGAGGTCAGGAGTTCGAGACCAGCCTGGCCAACATGGTGAAACCCCATTTCTACTAAAAATACAAAAATTAGCCTGACGTGGTGGTGCATACCTGTAATCCCAGCAACTCGGGAGGCTGAGGCAGGAGAATTGCTGGAACCCAGGAGGTGGAGGTTGCAGTGAGCCAAGATCATGCCACTGCATTCCAGCCTGAGCGACACAGCAAGGCTCCCTCTCAAGAAAAAAAAAAAAAAATAGTATGATTGATTTCAAAATTTGGGTATAGGTACAGACAATAGTAAAATGTCAGATAACCTGAACTCAGATGATGTCTGTGTGGCCTCGACCTAATTAGATGGCTTCATTTTCAAAAATGGAAAACAGAAGAGTTATCTCAGATGGTTAAATGAAGAATAAATGAAATTATAAATTAAATTATATTTGTAAATCACTGTGTACTTTCCTTAAGTAAAGGCTTAACAAATGTTTGTCAGTACTATTATCGCTTGTGAGTTTCTATAGCTACATTGGGTCCTAATTAGAATAATTAATTTTTAATGGCTCTCACAAGTTCTGCTAATAGCAATAATAATGATAACAGTTAACCCTTATGTAGCCAGCAACAAGAACTATAAATCTAAAATATAAATTTTAAATAAATAAATGATGTAGGTACTCTGAAAACCAGGCTGTTTGAGGTATACAATGTGTAGTGAGTGATAATATATATTTTTTTCTGTTGAGATACTAAAAAGTTTAAGTTGTAGACTATTAAAAAATAGTTGCAAGAAGTTAATATAATCATTCTGGGCCTTGAGAGTGTGTTGAAACCAATTATATTTCAAGGCAATTTTCTCACTGCCTTTGATTCTCCTTTGGTAATTCTAATGGAATCCAAATTGAGGAAATTGCAACTTATACTGCAATTTGTAAATGTCTTTGTAATTTCAAAGGTAGAATATGTTATAGGATGACATTTTATGTAGAAGTTATGCTAAATTACTCAGCTTTCAATATAAATACTGGCTTTGAAATGATGGTTGAGAGCTTCTGCCAGAATTATCAGTGGAACCTGGGAAATAGACATTTCATAAAGCATGAAGTGCTTGCTACATATCTTATGTAAATCAATGACAATATAACTAGATTTCATAAAAGTTAAGGGAATTTTTGTACATATGTTATTTAAAATTAATTAAATCCTGGATCAGATCCTAATATAGCATGTAATATGAAACTGAATAGTCTTAATATGTACTATTTTATATTCAAAGAAACTTGCATAATCTAAGGATAAAGTCACAATTTGTTATTATAATTTATTGACCATAGAAGATGTAAGTCAGTAGTTGTTAATCAAAAAGAATTTTCCACAGTTTTACTTCAAAATTCCCACTGATCATGTAGTTGATGTCATCCAAACTTCAAAGTTGACACATTTAATGTAGCTGAAATCTTTTTATAAAAATAAGAGTATGACATTATCAAATATTGGCTGACATTAATCACATGTACCTAAAAACCTCATGAAAAGAAAATGGTTTACAGAGCTAGAATCAAATAAAAAATCTTATGAAATTAAAACTAATTATGTAACATTGTAAGTAGGACCCCAAAGTTAGCATTTAAGGAACTTGTGAATTTTAAATGAAGCCAATTTTATTCCATTGGACGCAGTTATTGAATAACTTCATTTAAGAACACTGAATATTCTTTTGCTAAAAGGGATAAACTTTGTGAACATTTAAAAATGTGGCTTCATATCTCAGTATTATATAACAAAAAGAGTATAAAACTACAATGAAGAAATTTGGTTCTCTGAAATGTGTGTTCTAATGTTGCATCTATCATATTCCTGCACCACAATTTTTGTGACATATAATGAACATATTGTGTTTAGTGATACCCTAAGTTCCCTTCCTATTCTAACATTTTGTACTTCTAAACAAGGGCATGTAGAAAATATGATCTATCTATTATTACAAAACAAAACTCTAAGGCTAATATTGTAGCTAACAGAGGTAAGCACTATAAAATAACAGAGGAAGTACACTGTAAAATATAACAAAGGATTCTTGACCAAACATTGCTCAGGCTCCACCAAGCCATGACCTAGACAAGGCCTTGGCCTTTGGACTTTCTTGTCTGTCTTTGCATTACCCAAGAACTTGGCTAAGTCATTTTACTCAGAACCCTTTCCTTTGGTATCTAATTATCTTTGATATTTGATCAAATATCTAATTCCTTACCATCCCACAGGTGACATCTGATTTCACCCTGGCCTGATTTCAGCAAGAATACTAAATACCCCTTGCCCCTCATGTTTCCTCTTAGAAATTTTCCCCACTTCCTTGACTATAAATCCCTATTTTTCCTTTTTCTCAAAGTTGAGCCTAATCTCTCCTTCCTACTACAAATCCCCACTGCAGTAGTAATTCCTTCTTGAGCAAAGTATTTCTTGTCATCATTAACAATTTTCACAATAATTTTTCCTTAATAAGTATTGGACTCCTAGTCAAAACTTATATTTAACTTATATTTAAATGTCAAGCAAATGTTGTTTTATAAATGTTAGTCACTTAAATGACCAGTTTGTTACCACTTAACATTTTAAATGCAGAAGCTGTGCTTAGATACAATTTATAAAATTGCACCTAATTAATCATGAGGTCACTTTTCATTAGGATTAGAGTGACCTCACATTTCTTAGAGTTTCCAGAAAATCTGATTTTATTCCTCTTGAAGTTCTTCCTTAAAAGGTTTTGTTTAAAAAAAAAAACAACAACAAGAAACTAAAAGCTAAAAAACTTCATTTTTAGTTCTTGTTTTTTTTAATATCAATTTGTTAATAATCTGGCAGATCATTTTCTTTCTTAAGGTTCATTTCTGTTTCTCTTTTCAATTTTTTAACAAAATTATTTTACACATGTTATCATAATTGTATCTTCATTATACTGTGCTCCTAAGAGACTGAGCTGGTGAGAAGTAGAGAATCAGCCCATTACAAGGAACATCTCATGTTTAGAAGAAGTGGGTAGTGTATGCACTAAACAGCTTTAAGGAGCAGAATCCTGAAGATTTTCCATAGCAAGAGACATGGTATTTAATTTGTTAACACTGACCAGCACACAGCTATGGAGAATCTTGGAGAAGAGTGTATGTTCACAAACAGAGTTACTGCTTATAGAAGAAAGAATAGCACCTAAATTAAATAAATGAAGGAAAATTCTTGGGGCTTGCAGAATTTTTTAATTCTGGAAAAGACTTAGACTATTAGAAATGGAAGCAAAAGCTGAAATACAGAAATAGATGTTGATTTAGTAAGGCCATGCATAGCTGAAAGATTATGGATTCTGAGACAGAATAGTGACAAATGAATTGATGTGCCACTTTCCAAGAAAACTACTTAATGCTTTTGAAGCTATTTCATCTATAAAATGATAATAATATCTACATGGAAGTGTTGTAGTGAAGGTTAGGAGAAAAAGAGTGTCTGTACAATATTCTGTGCAGTAGCTTATTGATGTCAAATTAAACACAGGCT
Source organism: Homo sapiens (assembly GCF_000001405.40). NCBI lineage: Eukaryota > Metazoa > Chordata > Mammalia > Primates > Hominidae > Homo > Homo sapiens. Next base: position 40,879,803 of record NC_000014.9, on the reverse strand, counting down.
TTTTACTTTTTGCATTATCAGGGTTAGTTAGACACTTTACTAATAATCTTGGCATTCTAATTTTAATGATTTATAAATCATATTGTGTTGTCCATATACATGCAGCCACTATATTACTTTTGGTACATGTATTTAATTACATTCAGGTTTGTTATTTAGTCAGAATAATTTTCCCTACAGGAAGTGAGATAACTTCATATGTAGTTCAATTTCAAAGAATGTTGTTACATAAAAGCTCAGTGTCAGGTATTTTCCACTTGTGTCCACAGAGGCTCTATGTTGAACTAGAACTTCCTACATCTGAGCATCTGCTGTATAATTTGATGTACTTCTTCAAGAAAGAAACGATCTCCAGGTTCTAGTATTATCTTCAATTTCTACTCATATATTTGTAGTTTATTTAACGATGCAGGAGAGGAGAAAAAGACAACTTGTGTGTGCATTACTAAGATTACTGCTCTGGGCAAAGGTAGTCGATTCTGCTGGGAACTCCTGAGAAACACCCAAATGCCTGCCATTATTCTCTACCTAAAGGATGGTGTACAGAGCCAGGAACATTTAATACATTTGTTTAGTCCCCTAACTTCCAAAAGCTTGAGAGGTTTCCTCATGGTATTAAATCTGCACACTTTTGAATTTCACTTGTGTGCAGCCTGTATAACTCTGATATATGTGCTGACGGAGAAGTCCCAGGGGAAAAACAAAGAGTAGTTGAAGTGAGATGTTGTCAACTGAAACTCAGTCTAATTCCACATGGGATTTCCCACCATAGCCAAGGCTAAAATCAGAAGTGAGCTCAAGAGGATGAGTGGTAGCAACAGATGCATCAGATGCAAGTATGAAGTGCACAAACAGTAAGCCTTTCGACTGGACTGACATCACAGCACACCTGGGCAAGGAGGTGAACAGAAAAATTGGAATCTGGATTAAAAACAATGTCAAAGTTCATCAGCCAAAGTTACAAAAATATTTTTACATTTCTTCTAATTTTGTTCATTTTGTGTAAAACTTCAAATTACTTGTGGTAAAGTTGTTCAAAATGTCTTCATACTATATTTTTAATATCTGAAAACTCTATAGTGATGTCACTATTTTAATACCTAATATCATATGTATTAAAATTACTCATTGTATTTGTACTTTTTGTTTTATATTAGTTGCATGAACATTTTGTTTATTAATGTTTTTTCCAAAGAACAAGTGTTGACTTTGCTAATTTACTCATGTACATATTGTTTTTGAATTGCTACTTCTTTACATTTATTGTTCTTTTTCTGTCTTCTGAAGATAATGGTCATTACTTGATCTTTTATGATATATGCATTCATTCTTATACCTTGTCCCTTATAGAGAGATACTGGTAGCTACATTCTCTATGTTTTGCTGTATAGTCACTGTCTTTATGTACACTGTGATTTCTTCAACTACAATTTATAGAAGTACATTTATTAATTTCAAGGTATGACTTTTTCAGCTATCTTTTTGTTATTCATGTACACATTAATTTCAATCTATTCAGATAACATAATTTCTATGATTTCAATCTTTTGAAATGTGTTGAGGTTTCCTTTTGGTCAAGCATGCATCCTGCAGTTAGGGATACAATATCCATTTGGTCAAACTTTCTGATTTTCTTTCAGTTTGTTATATATTTACTTAAGCTTTCCAGAATTTTTCATCATTTTCTACAAGTTGTCACAAAATTGTAGTAAATTTTATACTTGCCTACTTCTTCCTGTAAATATGTATTTTTGTGGATTATATTTCATTATTTCGCCATGCATATTCACATTAAGAATTTTCATCATCTTGGGTAGTTGAAGTTCCCTTTATCCCTATAAGGTCATTCAGCATACTGCTGGTCATGGTTTCAGTCTTAGAGACAACCTGTCTGATATTAATATAGTAGCACCAGCTTTTATTTAGTTAAGGTTGGCATGACATCTTTGTCCATCTTTTTCTTTCAAACATTTTGCATACTTTTTGCTTCAATGAACAACATAGAGGTTGTTTGTTTTCTCCCCATAAATCTAACCTAACTATATTTTTCTATTAAATGTCAACTTTAGCAAAATTGTATTTGAGGAAATTTTTCTATTAAATGTCAACTTTAGTAAGTCTATATTTGAGGAAATTTTTCTATTAAGTGTCAACTTCAGCAAGTTTATATTTGAGGAAATCTGATATATTTATGTTTCAATTCCTCATCTTATAATTTTCCTACTCTTTGTTCCATTTTCTATTTGTGACTTCTTTAATTAATTGTTTTAATAGTTGATCTTTTTTCTCATGATTTCCGTGGTTGTTAAACATTATTTTACTACATTTTTATTGATTAATATGCAGACTACAACATGAAACTTTGATTACTACCATACAAAATTGTTTCTTATTGCTGTTTACTTTTTGGACAGTAAAAGGCCCTTAATACATGTTAACTCACTCTAGTGTTTTCAAATCTATATACGTATATATGTGTGTATCTATATATATGTCATATATATACCATATGTATATATATGTCATATATATAGTATATATATATACAAGGTATATATATATGGGGTGTGTGTGTGTGTATATATATATATATATATGGGGTGTGTGTGTGTGTGTATATATATATGATGTGTATATATATATATATGGTACAACAAACCTGTAGTAACAAAATACCAGAAACTGGCTTCATTAAAGAATAAGAGTTTATTGCCCTAAAGTTCTAGAGGTTAAAAGTCTGAGATCAAGCTATTGGGAAGGTTAGTTTCCTCTGAGGGCTGTGAGGAAGAATATGCTCTGTGCTCTCTCTTAGCTTCTGATGGTTTTCTGGCACTCTTTGATGCAACTTGGTTGCAACTATATTACCCAGATTTCTGCTTTGATCTCACAGTATTCTATTTATAAGGGCACCTGTCACATTGGATTAGGGGGGTCCCCCTATTCCAGTATGACCTAATCTACACCAATTTCACCTGTAATGACCTTATTTTCACATAAGGTCACATTCTGAGCCTTCTGGGGTACTGGAGATGAGCATTTCAATGTATGAATTTTTGGGGGACACAATTCAACCTCATATATGTGTGTGTATATCAATATAATAATTATATAACAATAAATATTACTATATTACTATATAAAATTATGTTACACATTTAAGTTAATTTAGAATTTACTCACATACTTAAAATTGTTCTTGCTTTTGGACACTTCTTGTGTCTCTGATCCTCCAGCTTGTATTATTTTTATTCTGCCTGGCAAATAGTCATTAGAATTTCTTTAGTGCATATGTTCTGGTAATAATTCCCTCAGTTTTTAGGTCCGAAAATAACTTTTTAAATGTTATTATTAATATGAATACATTTGCCAAATTTTGATAGTTTTTGTGTCTTCATGGCTATATTAATTGTATTGTTGTTGAAGAGCAACATATTTAGTGGTTTAATTGTTGCTAATTTGAATATAAGCTTTCTTTTTTCTTTGGTTGTTTTTTCAAAATTTTATCTGTCTTTTCTTGCACTGTAATCGCCTATAATGTAGATGATTTTCATTGTTCCATCTTTTAATTCACAGAGCTTTTATTCTACAACTTGATATGTTTTATCAGATTTGGAAATTACTCATTCATGGAAATTTCCATTATTCCTTACATCTTCTTCTAAAATTCAATTTAAATATATGAAGATTTCTCACTTTACCTTCTTTCCCTCCTATTTGCTCTTCTGAATTTTCTATCCTGTCATTTCTCTATGTTTCACTTTGACTATTTTACCCAACATTTTCTTAATTCTCTCTTCATCTCTCTCTAATATGTTCTTAAATAGGTCACCTTACTTGTTAATATTATATATTATATTTTTCAGTTTCATGGGTTCTATTTTTCCATATGTTACTTTTACTTTCCACTTCTCTACTAAAATTCTAAATCTTAGACTTTTATCTCATTGAATAAAGTAATCAAAATTATTTTTAATTGTACTTTTTATTTAATTGACGATTCACATGAAATTGTAAGAAGTAATATAGAAACATCCCTTGTACGTTTTACCCAATACCCCAGTGGTAATACCTTGCAGAAATATAGTACAATATCACAACCAGAATATTGGCACTAATTCAGACAAGATACAGGACAAGTCTATCACCACAAGAATTTCTTATGTTGCCCTTTTGTAACTACCCATCTCCTGACCAATCTGTGCCCTTATTCTTAACACCTGACAACCACTAACTTTTCTCCATCTCTATAATTTTGCCATTGTGATAGTATTACGTAAAAGGTATCATAAAGCATTAATCTGTGGATTGGGGTGTTTTTATTTTTTACTCAGTATAATTCTCGGAGATCTATCGAAGTTGTTGCTTGAATCAATAGTTATTCATTTTTATTGCTGAGTAGTATTCCATGATATGTATATAACACAGTTTGTTTAATGATTTACCCATAAATAACGTATTGGTTGCTTACTGCTTTGGGTTATTACATATAAAGCTGCTATGAACAAATAACCATTACCAAATTTGAGGGTGAACATAAGTTTTCATTTCTCTGAAAGTAGGATTATTACACTTGCTCAGTGTTTAGTAATTCCTTTTAGATTTTTAACAAACTGCCAATTTGTTTCACAAAGTATAAAGTGACTGAAGCATTTTACATTCCCTTCAGAGATGTTTGAGTACTCCAACTTCTCCACATTTCTGCCAAACTTTGGTGCTGCCACTACTTTTAATTTTAGGTATTATAATGTATATTTAGATGTGTACTTATAATTCTTTATGGTTTAATTTGCATTTCCCTAATGGACTAAGATAATAAACAGCATTCTATGTGCTTATTTTCTACCTCTTAGCACTCTACTCAGTAAAATATCTGTTCATGTATTTTGTCTATACATGAACAGTTTTATTGAGAGTTATTATGTAATTTGGGCATGAATATTTTGTCAGATAAGTGATTTGCAAATTTTTTTTCCAAGCCCGTAACTTGTCTTTTCATCTACTTAACTGAATAAGTTTTTAATTTTTATTGTGTCCAAATTATAGATTGTATTTATTTTAGGGATCACAGTTCAGTGTTAAGTCTAAGAACTCTTAGCTTACCCTAGGTTCTGACAATTTTCTCAATTTTTTTTCATAAAGTGTTTATAGTATTTATATTAGTCCATTCTCACACTTGCTATAAAGATACTACTCAAGGCTGGGTAATTTATGAAGGAAAGAGGTTTAATTGACTCACAGTTCCACATGGCTAGAGAGGCCTCTGGAAACTAATAATCATGGAACAAGGCGAAGGTGAAGCAAGGACTTTCTTTACATGGTGGCAGGAGAGAGAAGAGCAAGCAGGGGAAATGTCAGACACTTATAAAACCATCAGGTCTCATGAAAATTCATTCACTATCACGAGAACAGCATAGGGGAAACTGCAGCTGTAATCCAATCACCTCTCACCAGTTTTTTTCCCTTGACACATGGGGATTACAATTCAAGATGAGATTTGGGCAGGGACAAAGAGCCAAGCCATATCAATATTGTTTTGTATATTTGTAACATATTATTTGTAACATTATATGTATAGTAATGTGTTGTGAGCTAATTTTTGTATAGGATGTAATGTTTAGCTTAGTTTTTCTTTTTATTTTTTACCTTTGTTTTGCCTACGGGAGTCCTATTACTCTAGTAAAAGTCTATCCTTCCTTCTGTTAAAAGTAAAACCTTAGATAAATTAAATTTAGCAAAATGTGTTTGAGCAAAAATAATTCATGAATTGGGCAGCCCTCAAAATAATGAGAGGTTCAGAAAGCTTCACTCAGCAATGTGGACAGTAAGTATTTATAGAGAAAAAGGAAGGATTGTACAGAAACAGCTTGATCAGTTATAGCTGACTTATTTATACATGGTATGATTAGTCATTTGCCTTATATGGACATGGTCTTGTCAGTTGGCAGCCTGTGATTGGCTGAAGCTCAGTTACTGTGATTGACTGGGACTCAACTATTTGTTACAAGAATATACTTCTAAGTAACATTTCAGTTTACATAATAAGTTAGGTTGCAGTTTTCTAGGTAGAGATTCAAAGTATGGAGGTAGCTTTATGCCAAATTTAATTTAACATTTCATTAATTTTGTTCCTTTGTCAAATTCAGTTGACAGTTCATCTCTGAGTCCTCTATTTTATTAATCAAGGTGTTTATTCTTCCACAAATTCCAACTGATAACTGTAATTATGTGATGAACTTTAATTTCAGGTACCATGATCCTATTTTTTTATTATTATTATTATTATTATTATTTTTTGAGATGGAGTCTCGCTCTGTTGCCAGGCTGGAGTGCAGTGGTGTGATCTCAGCTCACTGCAACCTTCACTTCCCGTTTCAAGTAATTCTCCTGCCTCAGCCTCCCAAGTAGCTGGGACTACAGGTATGCACCACCCAACTCAGCTAACTTTTGTATTTTTAGTAGAGATGGCGTTTCAACATGTTGGCCAGGGTGGACTTGATCTGTTGACCTCATTATCTGCCCATCTCGGCCTCCCAAAGTGCTGGGATTAAAGGCATGAGCCACCACGCCCAGCCCCTATTTTATTATTTTTTTTAAGAATAATTTGGTTTTCTATTTCCTTTGCTGTTCCACATAAATTTTAGAATAATCACGTATCTCTCTATACATAATCTTTCAAGAGTTCTTATAAGAATTGGATTAAATCTGTTTAATTTGGTTAGAATTTAAATCTTTCTTTTCTGTCTTCCAATCTATGAACACTGTATGTTTTATTTAAACATGGTATTATTTGTTTATATCTTTTATTTTTTTCATTAGAATTTTTTAGCCTTAAGATACAAATCTATTACATGTTTTGTTACAATTACATCTAGGACAATTGTAAATGATACTGCAACATTTAAGTTTTGGTGTCCATATATTGGTTGCTAGTATGTAGAAATACAATACATTTTTGTGTGTTCATTTTGTATTCTATGACCATTATGAACTTCCTTTTTAACTCTACCAGTTTTTGTTGTTGTTGTTATTGTTCTTTTTTTTTTTTTTAGATTCCTTGGTATTTTCTTAATAAAAAGATCATTTCACCTGTAAATAAAAACAGTTTGATTTCTTCCTTTTTAATATGAATAACTTTTGTTTCATTCATTCATTTATTGTTGCTTTATTTCATTGCCTAGAACTTGTAGTACTATGCTGAATAAGAGTACTAAGAGTAGATAACCATGACATGTTCCCACTCTCAGGAAAAAAACCACTAATTTTCAAGTAGTATGCTAGCTGTAGTGTTTCAGTATATGCTTCTTAACAAACTCAGGGTCGTCTCTCTATATTTGTTTGAGGACTGGCACAAAGAAGAATGGAGAAAAGAAAATAAACAAAAATATAAGAATACACAGTCTGTAAGTGTTAAAAGTTTCCCTTCACATTCCTTTATCAGGAAGTAGAGGATATTTCTTGAAATTACCTCTGTGTCCCAGTGCCTCTTCTGGTGCAATGATTTCAAGCCAGGGAGACTATGGAAGGAGAAAAATGATAAATTCACTGAAACTTTTATGGTATTTTGAATTCTGGTGTCTTTATTCTACCTACTCTATTTACTTATTAGAGTCCTCAGCTTAATGCTCAATTTAGGACACAAAGGTAGCATATGACTACATAGCTTATCCAGAACTTGAACCCCAAGTGCATATTTTTAGTGTCATTTTATTTCATAGTAAAATCAAAAAGGACGATACTTAGCTGGAATAATTCTGGCCAAATTCATTCCTCTACATTTACATATAAAATCATAAATAGCTTCTTGAGTCCATTATTATGTAACAATTTAAGGAGCAGAGCAAAGCAATGCTATATGTGGTGTGAATATTACATATTAAAATATACACAAAAAATAGTAGGAAATATAGAAACGATGCCAATTTCAGAAATTTGATTAGCTCTGGGGAATGAGAAAGAGAAAAGAATCAGTATGTGGACTTTTGCCTGTGCCTGCAAGATTTTATTTCTAAAAGGAAAAATAAAATGAGCTAATGTTAATATAATGGAGGTTTAATTACAAAAAAGAACATATGATTATATGTAAAATTATTTTGTTATTTTATGTTTGAAATGTGTTCGAATTAAAAATTTAAATATTTTGAAAATCCACGAAAAAATTACAATCTTACTTAATACTACAAAATCACGGTTATGATCAGAATACCAGAATCTTTTGGAAATATTATCCTTACACTGTTAATTGTATTACAGTAATTTTACAGGAAGGTAATAGTGATATGGATGGACAAAAAAATTAAAACTAACTCTTTGCCAACTGTCTTAAGTAACACTTGTAATACGTATTGGTAGAATTTACAACAAAAAAAGTCATTTATAATTCAAAACTGACAACAACATATATCTCCAAATACAAATGATAAAGCATATGGGATATATATAATTGAGTTGAACATAGGGGGTTGGGGGATTAGATAAGGGGAGCAGCAAGCTAAATTAATATGTTTCTAACTTAAGTATATGTGTACTAAATAAGGGCAAATACACAATTCCCATTAGCCTTTTAACATGCTTAAGTACCTCCAATGGCTACTTAGGAATTCTTAAAATGTGATATCTTTATTCAAAGTTTCTATAAAAAACATATATTATAAAAAGAAAAGAAATTTTATAAAATACACTCCAGTGTGGTATATTTATTTATTAACCATTTTCATTTCTTTAATTGTACCCTACTCAAAAGTTACACATGCAAAACTGAAAAAGAAATGTAATGATTCCCATTATTATGACATATTTTCATCTTATTTTAGTGTGAAAAGTAATTTCTCAAGACCTGCCTTATCTGACAAGCACTGAATCATCTCTCTTTCAATCTTTCTTTTAAAGGAAGAGATAAGTAAGGGGAAGTAAAACCTAATACCAGTTTGGCCTTTCATTTATATAAATTGTTATTATTTTGCTATTATTATTATATTTCACATTTCATATTTATGTTCTAGAGTAATTTATGTAAATTAGTAGACATATACATTATTTTTTGCTTAAAATATTTGAAACAATTTCAAGGCACATTATATGAGATGTCTTCTTCATTTGCCAACACAGACATCTGGAAATAAGTCTATGCCCAGAGTTTCTTTATTCTTGTTTTAGCTCTCAACAATGTAGCTGAGATTAAAGGTTATTAGCATACTGAAAACTATGTAATTGAAGGAATATTATCTTGCCTTTACTTTGACTGTGAGAGAAGAAGAGTATAGCTGCTAGAATAAATATGAAAGTCAGAGCCTTGATAAGGTCTAGTAACCCAATCATTGGCATTCACTATGGAAAAGGATGATGTGCTTTATTTCCCTCTAGTGGTTTAGTAAATGAATAAATAGAAGAAAAAAAAAGTGAAATGGCTTCGATGTACTAGCTTAAAAGCCATTCATAATTTTGAGATGCCTGATGTAGGCTACTTCTAAAATTACACTATAAAATTTGCAAACAGAAAATAAAGATGTGCTTATAATCAAACAAGCATGATGCATCAGAAAAATAAATTGGTAGAAAATCTGCAATCAGCACCAAATTAAATTATTTTTCTGTATTCAGGAAGTCAGTGTTCATGAGGCAGAAACAAAGAGATGAAGTGATGCTTTGCATCTTTCAAAGTTAATACACAAAAGCTATAGAACAAAGATTAAGAAAAAGAGAATTTAAAGTCTTTTATTTGCTTTTGAGAAAGCTTATTTAGTTGCAGGAATTTGATATTTACTTTTGTTAATAACCATTTTTGGTAAGACCAAGTTTAAAATAATTTGTATCACCTGAACATGTGGTCCTGGGCAGAAAATCATGAAAAAAGCTATAAAATTTCTAAATGACATATAAAGTGCTAAGTAGTTGGATGAAATTTTTAATTTAATTCCCAGACCAACATCATAAGATATGTATCATTATTACTATCACCATGGCCCAGATGTTTACTGAAGGAGACAGGTAAAATGTTTCTAAGGTAACAATAATTAGAATTAGACTGAAACGCGGGTAGTCTGACTCCAGAACTTAAATTGTTAGGAAGTCAGAACATGTCCTTGGCATGATTTTAAATATTTATCATGCGTAAAGGATACTTAAATAAGCCAGAGTTATTTTTAGGACAAGGTTCTGCCAGAAAGTGTTATTGAATTAGGGTTGTATAGTACATAGACCCTTGAATAATGCAGGGGTGAAAAGCACCAACTCCCCTCACCATGTAGTCAAAACTCCACATATAATACATGATTCCCCCAAATTTTAACTACTAAAAGCTAACTGTTAACCAGACACCTTATTGATAACATAAAGTCAATTAATACATATTTTGTATTTTATATGTATTATGTACTGTATTCTTACAAAAAAGTGAGCTAGAGAAAATAAAATGTTATTAAAAAAATAAGGAAGATAAAATAAACTCATTATTCACTAGTGAAAATAGATCATCATTTGCATCACCTGTAAGATTTCATTCTCATCATCTTCATGTTGAGTAGGCTGAGGACGAAGAGGAAGGGTCTTATTGTCCTATTGTCTCAGAGGTTGCAGAGGCAAATTAAATAGAGAAAGTAAAAGGGAAGGTAGGAGAAATTGACTGAAAAAAATCTGCAGGTAAGTGGACCCTTGCAGTTCAAACCCTTATTGTTCAGTCAAGTGTATTTTATTCAACTAGTTAATTAGATGAAAAGATACACAATTGAGAGAAGAAAAACATACTTAGTGATTTTTTTATTAAAAGAGAATTATTTAATAATATATATTTTCTAAGAAATTTAATAATATCAGTGACACCATTTGTAAAATTATTTTTACATGTCAGACTATTGTTATATATTATTTGATATGTTTTTCTGAAAAAAGGTGACAAAATTACTTAAAGTGAAAAAGCAATTATTTTCAGAAGTTATTTTCAGTTATTTTCAGAATTACTTTATTCAGTTATTTTCAGAATTACTTTAAGAAGTTGAATTAAATACAAAAAAACAAAAGACATAAATATTTCAATTTTTAAATACTTCTTAGCATATGACAACTTATAAAATCAACTGGAAGAAACATATAATACAATTATTATTTGAAATTATTTTTGAGAATTTTTTTCTACCAATTGGTAAAATATGAATCAATAGTTTCAATTTTAATAGCTACATTATCTTTAGGAAAGGATTTGCTATTATTTAGAGATATATTCAATTTTTTAGAAACCATAAAACTAATGTTAGGAATAATAATTTTGTCCAGAAAGGGTGTGAAGATATAGTCATATTCTGTGGTTTAATCATATCTTTGGAGAAAGTTTCAGAAGCTATATTCCCAAAAATATTTTAAGCAATTGAAGCATCATCGAATAAGTTTGCCACATATGTAAAAAATAACATTATACAAAGTAAACCCTTTGCAAATGATGGCTAATGTAATCTGCTTTACATGATTTGTAATTTCAAAGAACCCTTAGCTAAATAGATTAAAACATTTCTGTAACTTTATAATCACTTCTCTGCACACTGGAAACCACTTATGACCCTAGAAATTCTAAAAAATGAAATTTAATAGAAGATAAACTTGTTTTGGCTGCTATCCACAAATATTTAGTTGCTTAAATGGAAACAGTAAAAGGCAAAACAAAAATAAACCAAGCAAAAATGCTTCACCTTGTCACAAGTTTTATATTTTCAATTTAGAAAGTTAATTGCATCATTAATATTGACTTGTACTGTCATCATACATTATCCTATTAGTTTTAATTGGAAGATGACAGGAATGTTGAAGAGTATTATGTTAACCTTGCTTTCAAATCATTGCTTACATTCACAACTTGCTTTTTTTTTAAAATAATATTGAGGAAAACATAGAAATGATAAGCTATTCTCAGAAAAAATTGTGTTTGTGACATAAAAATAGGCTTTACATGTGACAGGGATTGCCTTTGTATTGATATAATTTTTCACATTTTTTATTGACACACTATCTTTCTTTAAGAAGCATATATTTTTATAGAGTAGACTAGAATTCAATTGCTTCATGTGAATAGTTCAGCCAAAAGGTAACCTTAAACCAACAATTTGGCTGAATACACTTTTGTTTTCGAATTAAAAAAAAAATCCTTAGAAGAGATAGACACTACTTTCTACGTCTGCTTTTGAGAAGTGTCTGTTGATGTCCTTTGCCCAGTTTTAATGGGCTTGTTTTTTACTTGTTGATTTAAGTTCCGTAAAGATTCCGGATGTTAGATCTGTGTCACATACAGTTTGTGAATAACTTCCCCTATTCTGTAGATTGTCTGTTTGCTCTGTTGATTATTACTTTTGCTTTGCAGGAGCTGTTTAGTTTAATTAAGTCCCACTTTTCTATTTGTGTTGTCATTGCTTTTAGGGACTTGGCCAAAATTTTTTTGCCAAGGCCAGTGTCGATAAGGTATTTCCTAAGTTGTCTTTCAGGACTCTTATAGTTTGAGGTCTTAAATTTAAATCATTAGTTCACAATGATATGATCTGGCTCTGTGTCCCCAACCGAATCTCATCTTGAATTGTAATCTGAAATGTAATCCCCAAGTATTGGGAAAGGGACCTCAGGGGAGGTTATTAGATCATGGGTGTGGTTCCCTCATGTTGTTCTCATGATAGTGACTGAGTTCTCACGAGATCTGATGAAAAGGGGCTTTTCCCTGCTTTGCTTGGCAATTCTCCTTCCCACCTTCATGTGAAGAAGGATGTGTTTGCTTCTCCTTCTGCCATGATTGTCTAAGTTTCGTGAGGCTTCCCCATCCATGAAGAACTCTGAGTCAATTAAACTTATTTATATATATATATATATATATAAAACATATATATTATATATAGAGAGAATATATATTATATATGCACATATATATAAATTACACACACAGATATTAATTCATAGCAGCATGAGAATGGACTAATGCTTTGGCCTTTTGGCAGGGTAAATGTGTACTGAGGTTAGGGGAATGATAAGACCTTTTGGAAACCACTAGACACGGGCTCTGAGCTGACATTGATTCTAAGGAACCCAAAACATCATTATGGTCCTGCAGTTAAAGTAGCGGCTTATGGAGGTTAGGCAATTAATGGAGTTTGATCTCAGGTCTGATTTACATTGGCTCCAGTGTGTTCCCAGACTCATCCTGTGGTCATTTGCCACAGAATGCATAGTTGGTATAGACATACTTAGCAGCTGGCAGAATCCCCACATTGGCTCCCTAACTGGTAGGGTGAGGGCTATTATGATGGGAAAGACCAAATGGAAGCCGATAGAGCTGCCTCTACCTAGAAAAATAGTAAATAATAAACAATATTGCATCCCTGGATGGATGACAGAGATTAGTGCCACCATCAAGGGCTTGAAAGATGCAGAGGTGATGATTCCCAACATCCCTATTCAACTCTCCTCTTTGGTCTGTGCAAAAGAGAGATGAATCTTGGAGAATGACAGTGGATTATCATAAACTTAACCATGTGGTGACTCCAATTGCAGCTGCATTACCAGATGTGGTTTCATTGATTGAACAAATTAGCACATCTCCTGGTACCTGATATACAGCCACTGGTTTGACAAATGCCTTTTTCTACATTCCTGTCCATAAGGCTCACCAGAAGCAATTTGCCTTCAGCTAGTCCATTACATTGATGAACTTTCAAATTCTTGATAACATGTTGCATCACCCTAGGAAGTAGTCAGCTAAATAGCCCTAAATTTGCATATTAAATGAAACAACTCAGATTAAGATCAAGTAACAAAATTTACATCATAAGGTATGGGGAGAAAAAGTTTGGTGTGCTAGAGGGAAATTAAAACAAATTTAACTGCCAATTAAATGTAAAATTATACAATTTAAAAAGGCCTTTAAATATACACATACATATATATATATATACATAAACATACACACAAAAAGATCCTATAACTTTACTTTAGTACTATGGCCATGAGATGAATATAAATTTCCCAAGTTGAAAAAACAAAACAAAACCTGTTAGATCCAAACAGTGTTGTTGTGGTTTTGTTTTGTTTTGTTTTGTTTTGTTTCCCCTAGTAGAAAACTCACAGCAGATTTAAAGCAGGCAGAAAAGAAAATAGAGAAAGAAAACTTAAAAATTCTATAGTTTGCAGGTCAACCTTAGGTCTCTTTTTCCTTAATGTAAAATGTGCACAAAGACCATATTATTACCATTTTACATAAACTCTGGCAAGAAGTAGAGGTGCCATAAAACCTACGGAGTGCCCAAAGGGGGGCTCTTTCTCCTTGTTTTTTTCTTATTCTTAGATTATTTCTTCCCCACACTTTTTTTTTTTAAAGGAGGAACTGAGCTGTGGCCTAGGTAAATTATCAAAGTTCAGTTCCTTATGGAGATAATCCAAATTGAGATTATGTCTGAGAGAAAAAGCAATAGGGAAGACCTTTTAGAAATGCATATACAAACTCAAATTACAATCCTTAAACAACAAATTCCTAGGAGAAAAACCAGCTCAGAATAAATTGAGGACCATCAACCAAAATGGGAGGTACAGGGCTCAGGAGGACTTACCAGTTCCACCAAAGGAGAAGCTTGAACTTGGTGAGTCTTCAATTAACCCTGGCTGGTACCTTAGCTCTGATTTCGGACAACTGCTTGGGGCTCCTGAGTCTTCTCTGAGTCCCCATGTTGGGGCGCCATTTATTGCCAATGAAAAGAGTCAAGCTCTGTAAAATATTTGAAGAGATTTATTCTGAGTCAAATATGAGAGACCACGGCTCATGATACAGTCCTCAGGAGGTCCTGAGAATATATGCCCAAGGTGATCGAGGTGCAGCTTGGTTTTATACATTTTAGAGAGGCATGAGACATCAATGAAATACATTTAAAAAATACATTGGTTTGGTCCAGAAAGGCAGAACAACTCAAAGTGGGGGGCTTCCAGGATATAGGTGAATTTAAACATTTTCTGGTTGACAATTGGTTGAGTTTGTCTGAAGACCTGGGATTGATAGAAAGGGAAGGTTCAGGTTAAGATAAAGATTGTGGAGACCAAAGTTCTTTTGAAGTCTTATAATAGCTGCCCTTAGAGACAATAGATAACAAGTGTTTCCCTTTCAGATCTTAGTTAATCTCTTTAGGATTGGGAAGGTCTGGAAGCAAATATCTAGCTATATTAACAGAGGTTATTTACAGATGCAAATTTTCCCCCACAAAGAATATCTTTGCAGGCCCATTTCAAAATATGGCAAAGAAACATGTTTTGGGGTAAAATATTTTTATTTTCTTCCTTGTCTCATAATGTTATGCCAGAGTCAGGTTGGAAAATAAATCACACTATATAGGGTTAAATAAAACCCATCTAATGAGAATCTATGATTTGTATGGCATGACTCCCCAGACACCTTAGATAAGAATTTGAGCTAGATAAAAATCAGAGTTTAGTCCTCACTATCATAAAAACACAAGTGAGTACACAGCCTACAAACCACATAAAGAAAATTACACAATCAAAACTAAAAGAAACAATCTAAACACCATGAAATTAACAAAACATCACATATCAATATTAACCTAGAATGTAAATGGTCTAAATGCTTCACTTAAAAGACAAAGAGTGGCATATTGGATTTATACAAAAAGATCCAACCATCTGTCTTCAAGAGAGCCATCTCACATGTAATTACATCCATAGGCCCAAAGATAAGGGATAGAGAAAGTTCTGTCATACAGAATGGGGAATGCTATTCTTGTATCAGATAAAAGAGACCTTAAATTAACAACAATAGAAAAGGACAAGGAAATGAATTACTTAATGGAAAAGGATTCAATTCAACAAGTCAATTTAAGTATACTTAATAAATAGCACCAGTGAAGCACCTAGATTTGTAAATAAATTACTACTATACCTAAGAAAGACTTAGAAAGGCATACAATAATAGTGGAAGACTTCGACACCTCTTTAACAGCATTAGCCAGATCACTGAGGCAAAAAACTAACAAAGAAATGCTAAATGTAAACTCTACTCGTGGACAGTTGGATCTACCAGACATATACAGAATACTTCACCCAACAACTACAGAGTATGTATTCTTCTCATATCCACACAGAACATGCTCAGTCATAAAGCAAGTCTCAACAAATTAGAAAAACATGAAATCACACCAAGTATTTTCTCAGACCACAATGGAATAAAAATAGAACCCAATACCAAGAGAAGCTCAAAATCACACAAATACATGAAAACAAAGCAGCTTGCTCCTGAAGAAAATTAAGGCAGAAATAAAAAAAGTTCTTTGAGACAAATGAAAATGATGACACAATGTATCAAAACCTCTGGGATGCAGCAAAAGCAGTGTTAAGAGAAAAGTTTATAGCACTAAGTGCCTACATCAAGTAGAAAGCTCTCTGATAGCAACCTAACATTGCACCTAAAGTAACTAGCAAAATGAAAACAAATGAAACCAAAACCTAGCAGAAGAAAGTCAATATTTAAAATTAGAGCAGAACTAAACACAATTGAGACCAAGAAACAACAGATAGGTGATCAAAACCAAAAGTTACTTTTCAAAAAGACACACAAAATCCAGAGACCCATCACTAAATAAATACAAAGAAAAAAAGAGACAAGTTCCAAACAAGCACAATTAGAAATGACAAAGGTGACATTACAACTGACTCTACAGAAATATAAAAAATCATTAGAGACTACAAGGGATATCTCTATGTGCACGAAGTAGAAAATCTAAAGAAAATGGATAAATTCTGAAAAACAAACAACCTCCGAAGATTGGACAAGGAAGAAATTAAACCTCTGAATACATTAATAATGAGTTACAATATTAAATCAGCAATAAAAATTATACTAACCAAAAAAAGCCTTGGACCAGATAGACTCAGAGCCAAATTCTACCAGACACAAAAAATGGAGCTAATACCAATCTTACTGAAACTATTCCCAAATATCAAGGAGGAGCAATTTCTCCCTAACTCATTCTTTTTTTTTTTTTTTGAGATGGAGTCTCGCTCTGTCACCCAGGCTGGAGTGCAGTGGCACGATCTCCGCTCACTGCAAGCTCCGCTTCCTGGGTTCATGCCATTCTCCTGCCTCAGCCTGCTGAGTACCTGGGACTACAGGTGCCCACCACCACGCCCGGCTAATTTTTTGTATTTTTTAGTAAAGATGGGGTTTCACTGTGTTAGCCAGGATGGTCTCGATCTCCTGACCTTGTGATCCACCTGCCTCAGCCTCCCAAAGTGCTGGGATTACAGGTGTGCTCATTCTATGAAATAAGTATTATCTTCATACCAAATTCCTGTAAAGACAACAACAATAAAACCAAAGACCTATATCTCTGCTGAACACAGATTCTGAAATTCTCAACAAAATACTGGCAAACCAAATTCAGCAGCACATCAAAAAAATAATTGACCACAATCAAGTGGGCTTTATTCCTTGGATGCAAAGATGGTTTAACTTATACAAAAAAAAAAAAAAAAAAAAAAAAAGGAATGCATTTTCCCCACATTAACAGAATTAAAAACAAAAACCATATAATTATCTCAATAAATGCAGGAAAAGAATTTGATAAAATCCAGCATCCATTCATAATAAAAATCCACAAAAACTAAGCATTGACGGAACATACTTCAAAATTATGAGAGCCATTTATGACAAACCCTCAGCCAATATCATACCAAGTGGACAAAAATTGGGATCATTCTTCCTAAGAACTGGAACAAGACAAGGATGGCACTCTCATCATTTCTATTCAACATAGAAATGGAAATCCTAGCCAAAAGCAATCAGGCAAAAGAAACAAGTAAAATGCACTCAAATATGAAAAGAGGAAGTCAAATTATCTCTCTTCATTGAAAACATAATTATTTACCTAGGAAACCTAAGGTTCTGCCAAAAGTCTCCTAGACCTGATAAACGATTTGAGTAAAGTTTCAGGATACCAAACCAATGTACAAAACTCAATAGCATTTCTATACATAAATAATGTTCAAGCTAAGAACCAAATTAAAAATACAATCTTATATACAAAAAAACACAAAAATAATAAAATACCTAGGAATACATCTAACCAT